>NC_000016.10:20607698-20910728 GCF_000001405.40 Homo sapiens
AAAGATCCAATTGATAGAGTGTCTCAAATTGTTCCAACATATAGAACATGAATAATAATTATTTTCGAACTCCTGTTCAAAGGAAAACTCACTGACATGAGACAAGTGACTTTTGGCAATTACCATCAACATTTTGTTATAAAAATGCTCATACATACAACATTGATTTGTTAACATTTTAATGAACATGACAACACATATCTACCCATCTTTCCATTCCTCTACCCATCCCTCAGCCCATCTTATTTTACATGTATTTCCAACTGAATTGGAGGCATCAACATACTTCCTGCTGAATAGTTTGGCAAGACTAACATTAACTAGAATTCAATATTTCTTTATAAAATTTTCTTCTAAAGAAGAGTGACATAGAAGAAAATATGCAAATCTTAAGTGTGAGTTTACTAACTTTGAAAAGTACCTACACCAGCATAACCCACCTCCTTTTCAAGATCTACACTATTATGTCACCACAGAAAGTGAACTCTCCCTCTTCCTAGCCAATCCCTTTCTCATAGTAGGTTAATTTTGCTTAGTCTGGAATTTCACATATATAGATGCATGCCATGCCATAGGTACTCTTTTGTGTCTGCCTTATTCTGCTCAACACAATGTTTCTGAAATCATTCCCATTGTTGCACAGATCTCTAATTCAATCCTTTCCATTTTGGACTCAGCATATTCTGAGTTTAACCTGTTGAATGGCTATCTCTGTTTAATTCGCCATCTTGAAACATTTAAAATTAAGATGTTTTCAAGAATATACAGTTAAATCCAAGGAATCAATGTAGGAATGTTATCAGAAGGTGTTGGAAGTTACTCAGGTGAAATCTTTGTCTTAATTCACGTAAGAGTCTAATGGAATTAATATCAAGAATCTTAGAGAAACCCCATACTATTCATGCCATTTTTATGACCTCTACATTGGTTATGTTTAAGCACTAAAATTTGATACTTATTTCTGAATGAAATCATCTCTTTATTGTATTTTTTTTACTTATGCTGATCTTTAAATAGCAAAAATTCATGTACTCTAAGAAAGAAGTATGATTCAGAGGGATTCTTTCATCATATGGTACATGACAAATAGATACAATGTCATATTCAATTTAAAACATAAGTAAATATAAGTAAATAAGTAAATAAAAGTAAATAACTTTAAAGAAAAGGTAATTACCTTATACCTAGCTTGTCTAACCCACAGCTGACAGGCCACATGCAGCCCAGGACAGCTTTGAATGCAACCCAAAATGAATGTGTAAACTTTCTTAAAACATTATGAGTTTTTTGTGTGTTTCTTATAGCTCATCAGCTATTGATAGTGTTAGTGTATTTTATGTGTGGCCCAAGTTGAAGAAAATTCTCCATCTTCTAATATAGCCCAAGGAAGCCAAAAGATTGGACATCCCTGCTTTAGACCAAGAAAAAAGACACACCACATTCACAAAGCCTAAGAAGACTACCAGCCATGCGAGAAACATGGGACTGGTAATTTCCAATCTTTCTTGAAACGGTGGAATCCCCTGGTGATATCTGAGGGTGCACTTACTTCTTGGAGGAGGTTGAGGGTTTCTAAGGATAATTCTTTGTGACTGAAATATTGTAAATGTCATTGACCCTTCTCATTATTTCAACTGCTATTATTCCAGGTCATCAATTTTCTGCCTGGCCATCTTCATCCTGGGCCTGACTTTTTTTGAATTCCTTGGATGCTTAACATTGTTGTTGTGTTCCTGGGAATTATTAAATTTGCCATTTTCTTCTGGAATACTAGCTTTGGTATGAGTATACTGACTTCCTGTAGAGGTATACTTGTAATCATAAATAAGAAGAAATCATTTTAAACAATTCATGGTTCTGGACTTCATTATGAATATTGGGTTTTACCAAAAAAATCAGAAAAAAATAATTTATTAGCAGAAGAATTATAAAAATAGCTGCCATTTACATTATGAAAATTAAATAGGTTTGCATTTGTTTAGTAGGATGCCAACAGAGCTTTTGGTCAAAAGTATTTTTTTTTTTTTACCTTTGTTCTCTTTATCCATGAGGGCAAAGATCATGTAAAACAATTTTGAGCATATAGTAGTTGCTTAACTAATAGGCATTGGATGAGTTATTAATTTGTGATAATAGTTCTTTCCCCTTAAATCTGATTGTTTGTTATTATGTTAATTCTGAGTCCAGAAACACAAATTTTTTAAGTGTTGATTTCTTGGATTTTTTAATGTGCTATTGCGCTTATTTTAAAGGCTAGTAAAACTGATCTTCTAAACAATTGCTATTCTCCTAGTAAATGTTCCTTCAATGGTAATGGAAGCCATGTGCAGACAAGACACCCTGCAGCCCTTCAATAAGAGCTGGCAGGCTGGCTGGATGAGAGGCTGGCCAAGGGGGCAGCTAGGAGGCTGGTCCAGAGGAAGTCTGAGAGGCCGGCACTCAGACCTCTCAGAGAGACTGGCTGAGAGGCTGTCTGGATTAAGAGCCAGACAAGAGGCTGCCTGAGAGGCTGTATGAGAGGCTGGCTGCCTCAGAGGTTGACTGGTTGAAAGGCTGGCTTAGAGGCAGGCTGAGAGGATGGCTGGATTAGAGGCTTGCTGAGATGCTGACTGGTAAGTTGGCTGGCTGAGAGGCTGGACAAGGGGGTGGCTGAAAGGCTTGCCAAGAGGCCGGCTGGCAATCTGGTACAGAGGCTGGCTGAGAGGCTGGTCCAGAGGATGGCGGCATGGGAGGCTGACCAAAAGGCAGGCCAGGAAGCTGGTTGGGAGGCTGTTTGAGAGACTGGCTGGGGAGGCTTGGAGAAAAGCTGGCTGAGAAGATGGCAGGCTGATAATCTCACTGACCGAGAGGCTAGCTTAGAGGCTTGCTGAGAGGGTGACTGGCTGAGAGGCTTATTGATAGGTTGGCGGGAAGGCTGGCTGGCTGAGAGGCCAGTCAAGGGGGTCTTGGAAGCTGGCCAAGAAGCCAGCTGCCTGGATGGCCAAGAGGACACCTGAGAGGCTGGCCGAGAGGCTGACTGGGAGGCTGTTTGAGAAGCTTGCTGCCTGAGAGGCTGGCTCAGAAGCTGCCTGGTTGAGAGGCTGGCTGAGAGGCTTGCTCAGACGCTGGCTGGCAGGTTGGCTGGCTGAGGGGCCACCCAAGGGTGTGGCTGGGAGGCTTGCTGAGAGACCAGGTGTCTCTCTGGTTGAGAGGCCAACTGGGAGGCTAGTCAAGAAGCCAGCTGGAAGGCTGGCTGAGAGGCTAGCCGGGAGGCTCCTTGAGAGGCTAGCAGTCTTGCTGACTGAGAAGCTGGCTGATAGGCTGGTCCAGAGGATGGCTGCATCAGAGGCTTCCAAAGAGGCAGACTGGGACGATGGCCTAGAGGGCTGTATGGGAGGCTGTGTGACAGGCTGGCTGGCTGAATGGGCTAGCGACTGGCTGAGAGAATGGCTGGCTGAGAATCTGCCTGGCTGAGAGAGGCTGGCTGCCTGAGAGGCTTGTTCAGAGGATGCCTGGTGGAGAGGCTGGCTTAGAGATTGACTGAGAGGCTGGCCGAGAGGCTGGCTGGGAGGCTGTTTGAGAGGCTGGGTGAGAAGATGACTGTTTCAAAGGCTGTCTGACTGACTGGCTGAGCTAATTAGAGGCTTACTGAGAGGCTGGATGGCTGAGAGGCTGGCTAGGAGGTTGTTTGAGACGCTGGGTGAGAAAATGACTGTTTCAAAGGCCATCTGACTGACTGGCTGAGTTAGAGTCTTACTGAGAGGCTGGCTGGCTGAGAGGCTTGCTGAGAGGCAGGATGGCAGACAGCCTGGCTGAGAGCTGGCTGCCTAAAAGGTCGGCTGAGAGGCTGCCTGAGAAGCTTGCTTGCTGAGAGGCCAGCTGGCAGGTTGGCTGGCTGAGAGGCTGGCAAAAAGGGCAGCTGTGAGTCTGGCCAAGAGGCTGGCAGTCTGGCTGGCAGTCTGGCTGGCTGAGAGGTTGACTGGAGGGCTAAATGAAAGACTGGCTGCATGGCCAAATGGCTGGCTGGGAGGCAGGCAGAGTGGCAAGTTGAGTGAATGGCTTGCTGAGAGCCTGGCTGTGAGGTTGCCAGGCTGAGAGGCTTGCTGAGAGTATGGCTGGCTTAGTACCTGGGAGAAAGTCTGGATGGGAGGGTGGCTGGCTGGGGAACTGGCCAAGGGGCCACCTGGGAGGCTGGCCAATGAGAGGCCAGCTGGGAGGGTAGCAGAGAGGCTGGATGAAGGGTGGCTGCCTGAGAGGCTTGCTCGCTGAGAGTCTGGCTGACTAGCTGTATTAAAGGTTGGCTGTGTGGTTTGCTGGGGGCCTGGTAGAGGGGCTGGTTGTGAGGCTGCATGACAGGCCTTCTGGCTGATAGGCTGGCAGGCTGGCAGTCTGGCCAAGAGACTTGCTGGGTGGCTTGCCGAGTGGATGGCTAAGAGGCTGGTTGAGAGGCTGGCTGGGGAGGCCAGCAGAGAGGTGGCTGGTTGGCTGGCTGAGAATCTGCCTGGCTGACAGGCTGGGTTAGAATCTTGTTGAGAGGCTGGCTGGCTGAGAGGCTTGCTGAGAGGTTGGCTGGTTGGTTGGCTGGCTGAGAGATCGGCCAATGCCGGGCTGGGATGCTGGCCAAAGGACGCCTGGGAGGTTGGCCGACAGTCCAGCTGGGAGGCTTGCTGAGAGGCTGGTTGGAAAGTTGGCTAAGAGGCTGCCTGGAAGCCTGGGTGAGAGGACAGATGGGGGGCTGGCTCTGAATCTGCATGGCTGAGAGACTGGCTTAGAAGATTTATGAAAAGCTGGCTTAGAGGCTGTTTGAGAGGCTGGCTGTCTGAGAGGCTGACTCTGAGACCTCCTTGCTGAGAGACTGGCTTAGTGGCTTGCTGAGGGGCTTGCTAGCTGAGAGGCTTTTTGAGGGCCTGATTAGCAGGCTAGCTGGCTGAGGCAAGTCAAGGGGGTGACTTGGAGGATGGTCGAAGGGCCATCTAGCTCACTGGTCAAGAGGCTCGCTGGGAGGCTGGTTGAGAGGCTGGCTCCCTTGATGGTTGGGAGGCTGGCTGATAGGCTGGTCCAGAGGATGGCTGCATGGGAGACTGGAGAAAAGGCAGGCTGGGGGGCTGGATATCAGGCTGTTTAGAGGCTGTTTTAGAGGCTGTCTGGGGAGTCTGGCCAAGTGCAGGCTGTGTAGCTAGCTGAGAGGGTGGAGGTGAGAATGGCTGACTGAGAATCTGCATGGTTGAGAGGCTGGGTTAGAGGCTTGCTGAGATGCTGGCTGGCTGAGAGGCTTGTTGGGAGGTTGAGAGGTTGGCTGCCTGAGAGGCTAGCTCAGAGACCACGTTGTTGAGAGGCTGGCTTAGTGGCTTGCTGAGAGGCTGGCTTGCTGAGAGACTTGCCAAGAGGCTGGGAAGCAGGCTAGCTGGCTGAGACGCTGGTCAATGGGGCGTCTTGGAGGCTGGCCGAGAGGATGTCTGAGAGGATGGCTGGCTGTGTTTCTGCCTGGCTGAGAGGCTGGCTTAGAGGTTTGCTGAGAGGTTGGCTGGCTGAGAGGCTTTCCGAGAGCCTGGTGGTATGTTACAGAGGATGGCTGCTTGACAGGCTGGCTCATAGGCTGCCTGGTGGAGAGGCTCACTTAAAGGCCAGCTGAGAGGCAGGTTGAGAGGTTTACTTGCTTAGAAGCTGGCTGGCAGGCTGGCTGGCTGGCTGAGAGTTTGCTTGGTTGGCTATCTTAAAGGCTGGCCAAGTAGCTTGTTGTGAGGCTGGATGGCAGGCTTTCCGGCTGAGAGGCGGTCTGTCTGACTGAGTGTCTGACTTAGTGTCTGGCTGAGAGGCTGCCTGGTTGAGAGGCTGGCTTAGAGGCTTGCTGTGAGGCTGGCTGGCTGAGGCTTGCTGTGCGGATGGCTGGCTGAGGCTTGCTGAGATGCCGACTGGCCGGTTGGCTGGCAGAGATGCCAGCCAATGGTGCAGCTGGGAGGCTTGCTGAGAGGCTGGCTGGCTCGCTGGTATAGAGGCCACTTAGGAAGCCAGTCAAGAGGCCAGCTGGGAGACGGACTCAGAGGCTGGCTGTCCTGCTGGCTGAGAGAGTGGCTCATAGCCTGGTCCAGAGGATAGCTGCAAGGGAGGCTGGGGAAAAGGCAGGCTGGGAGTCTGGCCTAGAGGCTGTCTGGGAGGCTGTTTAACAGGCTGGCTGGGGAAACCAGCTGAGAGGCTGGTTGACTGGTTGGCTGAGAAGCAGGCTGAGAAAATGCCAGGCTGAGAATCTGCCTGACTGAGAGGCTGGCTGAGATGTTTGCTGAGACAATGGCTGGCTAACTGTCTTGCTGAGAGGCTGGCCATGAAGCTGTTTGAGAGGCTGGCTGAGGAGGCTGAGCAAGAAGCCGGCAGGCAGGCTGACTGAGAGGCTGGCTGTCTGGCTGTTTGAGAGACTGGCTGTCTGGCTGTTTGAGAGACTGGCTGTCTGGCTGTTTGAGAGACTGGTTGAGCGGAAGTCTGGCTGAGAATCTACCTGGCTGAGAAGCCAGTTTAGAGGCCTGTTGAGAGGACGGCTGACTGAGAGACTTCTAAGAGTCTGTTTGAGAGGGTGGCTGCTTGAGAGGATGGCTGAGAGGCTGCCTGGCTGAGAGGCTGTCTTAGAGGCTTGCTGAGAGGTTGGCTATCAGGCTGACTGACTGAGAGGCTGGCAAAGGTGGTGCATATAGGCTGGCCAAGAGGACACCTGGGAGGCTGGGCAAGAGGTTAAATGCATGAGAGCCTGGATGAGAGACTGACTGGGAGGCTGTTTGACAAGCTGGCTGCCTAAAAGCCTGGCTCAAAAGCTGCCTGGTTGAGAGGCTGGCTTAGAGGCTTGCTGAGAAGCTGGCTGTATTAAAGGCTTGCCTAGAGCATGGTTGTCAGGCTGGCTGGCTGTCAGGCTGAGCAAGGGTTTATCTGGAAGGCTGGTCAAGATGCAGTCTGGGTGGCTGCCTGGCTGAGAGGCTGGTTGCCTGGGAAGCTGGCTGAGAGGCTGCCTGCCTGCAAGTCTGGCTTAGAGGGTTACTGAGAGGCTGGCTGGATTAGAGGCTTGCCTGGAGGCCAGCTAGTAGGTGGGCTGGCTGAGAGGCTAGCTGCTTGAAAGGGCAGTTGAGAGGCTGGCTGAGAGGCTGGCTGGGAGGCTGTTTGAGAGGCTGGCTGCCTGAGAGACTGGCTCAGAGGCTGCCTGGTTGAGAGGCTGGCTTAGAGACTTCCTGAGAGCCTGGCTGGTTGAGAAGCTTGCTAAGAGACTGGCTGGCAGGTTGGCTGGCTGAGAGATCTGCCAAGGGGGTGGCTTGGAATCTTGCCCAGAGGTGGGCTGGCTCCCTGGTTTAGAGGTTACCTCGAAGGCTCACCAACAGACTGCCTGGGAGGCTGGCAGAGAGACCCACAGGCTAGCTGTCTTAAAGGCCAGCTGGGAGGCTGGCCGAATGGCTGGGTGAGAGTCTGACCTAGAAGAGGGCTGGGAGGCTGGGCTGGCTGAGCTGCTGGCTGGCCAAGAGGCTGGATTAGAGGCTGAGTGGCTGGCTGGCTCAGACACCTCAGAGCCCTGGTCCATGGGTTTTCTTAACTATCAACCGCCTCTGGACAGGTAGGGCTCTAAGAAGCTACAAATGAGCTCTAAATCAGGGGTTCCCAGTACACATCAGAAAAAAGATCACTCATCCTGTAAACAGAGACTAAAATTTAAAATAGAAACAGCCATGGATTGGAAGAATATCAATAAACCCTGAAAAGAAACAGCACTGCTCCTTTTCTTCAAATCGTGTGGACATTTAAAGTTCTGTACATTTATAGCTACTTTAACTTTCATATCTGTCCAGGTACTATCAAAATGTAAGAACAGAAATGGACATAAACTGACTAGAAGTACTGAGAAAAGGTAAGAGTGTCAGAAATTAACTGAAAAGTTTTAGGGTTACACCTAGAATGTTAGAAGAGTAAGATTACATGGAAATTTAATTTCCTAATGGAGTTATATTATATAGTCCACAATAAACAATTAAACAAAAAAATGAAGCTCCAAAAAATGTAAATAAATGCTTCTTTTCTTAAACCAGACCTCATGGTGCAATATTGATCTATGAAGACATAGCCAGAAAACGTCTGCTCTCATCAGCACATATAGCTCCCATTCTAAAATGTTATTGGTATTACTTTTCTCAAATGAAGGAAAAATAAAGCCTAGATGCTGACCGAAGGTGGAAGGGGAGCTGGTCCCTTTGCTTTCTAGGCTCCTCTTCTCAGTTAAAAGTAACCAAGATGTCAGAGTGGGGCAACGTCCACAGTCAGTGGATGATCCTGAGCTCTGCCATTCTCAGGGGACCATCGAAAAGACATTCAGCTAGGGCATCTGAGAAAAATAGGGTCCTGCCACCAAGAGAGACACATGTTCTCTGTAGTAAGTGCTTAGAATTGCTTCCAGGAAATATAATTGTTACCCCACCTGAGCTCTCAACCCCAAAAGGAGAAGCAGGGTGTGTGGATTGTGCAGCAGAAGTGACTACCTTCACAGTGAGCTCCTACCTCTCCAGAAAGTGCTCTCTAGGCCCAGTTGTCCCTGGGCTGGCTCCTGACTCTTGTGTATCTCCATGACTCTCTGCTTTTCCATCATTTCCCATCTGGAAGACAGAGAAAGAATTCACTTGAAGAAGAATTAAAACACCAAGTTCTTTACTAGACACTCAAAGCTTCATCTGAAAACAAAAACATCCTTAAAAATGTCTATCACAATTACCTACCTGTGCTGCTTGTAGGCAGCCTTCCTCTCTGCCATCTCCCTCTACAAGGCTTTTGCACAGAGCTGTGGGGAGAAAAATACATCCACGTGCTGACCTGGCAGACTATGCCCAAAAGCAAGGGGGAAAAACTGTCCAGTTGTCAAGGGCCTTTCTTATAGAAGGGACAATCTGAAAAAAACCAACACATGAGAAATTCTATGTTGAGAGAGTCTAACGGCCATGGCATCATCCACATCAGCACCGAAGGAGCCTACAACTGTGGGGAGGAAGCTCCTTACCTTGCGTCTGTAGTAGCTTTCTACTCACCCCCAAAGCTCTTGGGTGTCTTGAATTATTTTCCAATGGTTTAGAATCACTTTCATCAAATAAGCACCATTTCAGTATGATTTTAAATAATCTGCCATGTTTCTGTTATCCTCACAACTGCACCCTTACACTATCTATACACAGAAGATGTATTTCACATGGTTTTCAAAGTACAGTATGATCAAAACTGTTGCTATAATGATTCTTCCTCTTTTACTTAATGCCTGCTGGGTTCTGAGTTCACATTGTCCTTACCCATTCTCATTCATCCTTCATTGGGCATCTTTGATTATAAAGCTCTAGTCTCCTTGTATTAATATCCTTGCCATATTTCACAGAGTAGAAACGGCTGGGCACAGTCCATTTGAAAAAATGTGGTTGATCCTACAACACGCTTTTCTAAGAATGACGGCAACGGATACCACCCCTACAATGGCAGAAATGAACTGAGTTTCTACACAGTCTGACCCCATTGGGGTCAGATGTTTTGCTACTTCACATGTCTTGGTCACTGATAAATCTTAAGGTATTTTGTTTTCTCTTGTGTGAATTCTCTCTTTCTCTAAATATGTCTTCTGACCATTTGTTTGTATTTCTGTGTTAACTGGGTCTAAACATTGTACAAAAGTTAAAAACAAAATACTCCAGTGGAAGTTTCCCATGTGGCTGGTGTTCAGTTTCTGAACTCACTTGTAGGTGTGAATTTTTTCCATAACCCATTTCCCTTTTTCCTCCACCTCTGACAGCTGCCTCTCTTTTTCTGCTCACTCACATTCTTTCATTCTCAGCTTCCTGAGATGAAAACGGAGAGAAATGCACACACATGATCCACTTGCCCATGTGGGATTCTTTCTGCCATTCTGGCATCTGAAGGCCATGATTCAAAGGTCCCCCACTGCCTTCCCATACATGAAACAACTGATATTCAACACTGGGGAGGAAGAATTGACACCTCCCATTGACAGACAGAAAGAATTTAAAAAAAAAAACAACACTCTGGCCTGTTAGCAAGTCACCTGTAATTTCCAGCTCGTCTTTGTGTCTCCATAGTCCTATTCTTAAGTAAATAAGGACCATTAGAAGCTTCTATGAGATGTGCTATGTGTACTTCTGGGGTCAGTCTTGTGCTTGACACACTGAAAGCTCATTTTAGTTCACTGTGGAAAATCAGATCTCACCAACTCATCACAACTAACTCCATCAAGATGGAGCAGGGGATCACTCTTCATCTGACTCCTCCCATAGGAAGACCTGATTCTCATTTACAGGCTGATGCCAGAACCCAGACAATTAGCCTTTGAGAGATCCTTCCAGGACATGATGTCCTTAACCCTGCAGTTCACTACAGCATGTTTCCATGACTCAGGACTGGAACTCTTGTCATTGACCTGAAGGCAAGAAACTGTTCTCCTTTCCAGGGCAAACTCATTTCCATACTATGGGGACTCCAACAGACAGCATAACTTCCTGGCTCTGCTTGTTGGACCTCCAAGCTCTCTGCTGCAGATCTGTGGATCCATCATTTACATTTCATGACTTTGAGACAGACTTGGGAAAAGACATCTAGGAAATAACTGAAAAATGACATGAGAATACCTCACACCTGAACTGTACACTTCAACATTGTTAAGACGGCAATGGTCATGTTATAAATGTTTTATTATGAATATTTTACCACAGGTTAAAATGTTTAACAATTTGAAAAGGAAGTAATTATCTTCAGTTCTCTAAGTTCTAGAATTTGTAACATTTCACCCCCTGCTCCTTCCCGATCCGGAGCAGAGCATCTTATTCTTTCCCTGCTCTACTCAGGATTCACTTTCCCTTATGTAACAAAAACATTGCAAATATTTTTTAAAATAATTACAAAACTTTACCTAGAAATCTGTAATTCAAATTAAAATGGAGATTAAAAATACAAACTCACAATGGTCAGGAAGCCAAGATCTTTTTTTAAATATTTATAAATTTGCATTACACTATTTGTAATATGTCCAAAAATATGTCCACACTGTATGGAAGAATGGGAAAAATATAAGAAAAAAAGGCTTACGGTTATAGATGAAAATATTACATAAAGACATGTTTATATATACACAAAACTGAGAGAGGACAGCTGCTGTAATAATAATACCTGGGTTATATTTCAACAAAATAAACACAGACTGTTGTTTAGCCCAAGTTTATAAAAACATTAACTTTTGAAAATTAATGTTCACTTTGCTGCTGAAACAGCTGCACTTCATGTCAGATTTTCAAAGTCCATAAAGATTTGCATAACATAGTCTTCCTGGAATTATAATTCAAACCGAGAGAATTGAAGTTAGTTAAAAACACAATACCAAGACACCAATAACAGGAGTTCCCCTTCATATTTTAGAGCATTGCACATAAAGAAAGCAATCAGTAGCAACCTTGGAAATCCATATGGAAAGCAATAAAAACTTTCTGGGATGTATAGCCACTGCCACAAAAGGCACACATATTATTTTACAAACACTAGATTTATGAGTACTGGGGGAGAAAATGAATACGAAATGTAATTCAGACCAACTGACATACCAAGACTCACTTTTGTGCAAACAAAACATCTCTAAAAAGCAGCCTCTGAGCTCTGCAGCACTTTCATCTTCAGCCTCACAGTGGAGGTGAGTGCGGCCTGGGCTCCTGGGAAGGACACACTGTTTCTGAGTAGCCTCTGTCTGAAAGGGACCAGGAGCTCTGGGCACAATGGTTAAAGATGTGGATCAAATGCACGAGAAGGACAAAGGCCATCTTTTCATTGACCAGGAAAACAACCCCCATCTTGGGCACTCTTGTCACATCTGACAACTATCTGGATGCAGCTTATCAGTAGTGGGCTCCTACCTAGATTAGGTCCAAAGGGGCAAGGAAAGCTTAGGTTCTGACAGTCGACGGCCATGAGCAAGGGTGAAGGTGGAAAATGCAATGAGGAAAACTTATCCAAGTCTTCAAAGGTGAGGTAGGGAAAGAGAGTTTAACTGATCTATGAAAATGCAGCCAGGTAAGGAGAAAAAAATTCCAACAAAGATTATCAAGACATTTCCTTCTTCATAACCTCAAAAGAAACAACAAATTCTTCTTTGGTTGGAGGTACTCATGCGAGGTGATTCTGCCTTGATGCAGTGGTTGCTCCCCATCACTAGACTTTTCCAGATCCCTCTCTAAGAATCTGGTGCATGCCGGTCAGAACAAATACTCTCATCTCTATAAGGTGCCCTCTCCTGAGGGTAGTGGTGAGGCTTATAATGTGAGGGTGGAAACTTTCAAAGTAAAAACCTGTCATTTCTTTATGTTTGGACACTCATAGGACTTTAAGACTCTTTCTGCTTTGGGTAAATCAATGATCTACACAAGACACATTTTACAAAACAAAGGTCAGTAGAGTTCTCATTCACATCCTGGTCATGTCACTCCTAGTGACTCCCGCATTGCAAA
Organism: Homo sapiens; assembly: GCF_000001405.40. NCBI lineage: Eukaryota > Metazoa > Chordata > Mammalia > Primates > Hominidae > Homo > Homo sapiens. The sequence goes on from NC_000016.10 coordinate 20,620,178, forward strand.
CATCCCAGCAGGATGCAACCCTTTCCTCTCCCATCTGATTGGCTTCTCAGGCTACCTTCACACCGATTGGACATAGACTCCCTGGAGGCAGCTCCCAAGAGGAGAACACATGGATGACTCCAAAGTTTCTAAACAAATCATCAAACCAGATGACACAAAACTCAAATGACATTTCACTTTTTTGTTTTGTTTTGTTTGAGACAAGGTCTCACTCTGTCACCCAGGCTGGAGTGCAGTGGCACAATCTTGGCTCACTGCAGCCTCCACCTCCTGGGTCCAAGCGATCTGCCCACCTCAGCCTGGGACTACAGGCATGCCCCACCAGGCTAGACCAACTTTTTTTTTTTTTAATCTTTCATAGAGACGGGGTTTTGCTATGATGCTTAGGCTGGTCTTGAACTCCTGGACACAAGCGATCTGCCCACCTCGGCCCCCACAGTGTGTGAGGAGTACAGGCTGTGTAGTTTTATGCCGCCTGACACTACCCAACAAAAAGGAAGAAACCCCATGGGTCCAGCATCTACTTACATGGGTGGGTTGATGGCTAGAAAACCCCTGCAGGAGGAGCCAAAACAGCAGCCACCACGCAGGTATGTCCTGGTCCTCTCAGGGCACCCTGAGGTGGCCAGGACAGAGGTGGGAGTGGCTTAGGACTGGGGGAAGGAAGGGGATAGGGATGGGGGTGGGATTGCAGTTGAGGAGGGAGGGGGAGGGCAGGGAAAAGGAGGGAAGGGAAGGGAGGGCTGTTGGGCACCCAGAGCAGGAGGAAGACAAGGGGCTCTGGGAAAGGATCTGGTTCAAACTAAGTCCTCAAGCACCGGTGGGAGATTCAGCTACAGGTTAGAGAGAAAGGCGATCAGCTATCAGTGAAGCAGCAGGACACTTGGGGCAGGGGAGTGGGAGGCTCAGGAGCAGGACTCTGGTTTCCGCCAAACCTTCTCCTGTCTGGAAGCTGCCTTAGCAAATCCTGAGGCTTTATACTCCCTCTTCACAAATCCCCAGCCCGGTACTTGGTGCCTCACAGTGGACAATCCACAAGAAGCTCGTGTTCTTCCAAGGTCCCCTCCCCCCACCTGAACCCCCACCCCCAACCCAAGGACAAGTCCTCTCTGGAACCTTCGCAGACCTTCTGATTTCTGGGTGCCAGCCCACTCTGGCCCAGGGTAGGGTCCTGGGGGGCACACCTCTCTTTCTCTCTTGACTTCTAGATCTGCTAAGCGCCATGCAACACCGCCCTGTCTAAACATACCCACACAGGGTCCCAGGCTCAACCCTGTGCCCCTGTCCCCACAGTCACCAACCCTGGCCTCTCTGGCATCTCAGGGCCCAGGAACAGCCCTTCTGAAGGCCCTGGAAGGGGCACACACCCAGCCCTGGGTTTGGAACCTGGAACATATCCCCTTCCAAGAGAGCTCAGGAGGGCCAGGTCATGCCTGGGTCTGTTCTCTCCACTGCCTTAGGAGTGCCCTGTGGAGTGCCATCGCCGTGTGGTTGTCCTGTGGGCTGGGGTCTGGGACTGTGTGCATGTCTGGATGTGTTAATCTGCACGTATGCACCTGTGCGTCTGAGTATCTGTGAGTATGTCACCGTGTAGCTGTCTCTGGATAGCTCTGTTTTTCTCTATCTTTGTATGCATTTGTGTGTCTTTCTTCCTGAATGAGTGTGTGTTTGTTGTACAAATATGTGTGTTTGTGACTGTGTAATGTGTCTCTGGGCATGTATGCCCCTGTGAGAGTGTCTGTGTATGCCTGTGTTCTGTATCTGTGTGTGTTGTTTGGTGTGTGTGTGTATGTGTGTGTTGTGTGTGTGTGAATTCGCCTCTCCTTTGGGCATCCCTGATTGTGTCTCTATTTGTTTATGTTTCTCTTAATGTCTGTGTTCTCTGTCTGTTTCCCTGCCTGTAGGTCTGTGACTGTGTGTGTGTGTGTGTGTGTGTGCATGCACGAGTGTCCATTGTGTGTGGGGTCTGCCCTGTGGGGCTGTGTCTCATGGCCTTGTGTATCTGTGGTCTCCTGGTGGGTGTGTGTGTGTGTGTGTGTGTGTGTGTGTGTGTGTGTGTAAGCCTGTCTGTGGGCCAAACTGCTGAGTGCCCAGGTGAAGCTGGGGCGGTTCTGTGCCTTTGTGTCTCTGTGCTTGTGGTGTCTATTTATTTACCTGTGAGTTCCTGGGTTTGTACACCTAAGAAATTGGCAGTCACAGAGGGCCCTCTGTGGGTGAGAAGGGGACAATATGTGCTCCTCTCATTCCCAGGCTAGGCCCTTTCTGCCCCTGCTCTTCTGAGCCTCTGTTGGCCCCCTGGTAGTTCCCTCTTAGGCCCCAAGGAGGGATGGAGAAAAGGGTCAGGTTACAGAATTCCAGGCCAAGGATGTGAGGAGGGCTCCAGATGCCTGGACAGGGTTACATTCAAAGAAGGAAAATTGTCTGTGGTCAAGGAATTCTGGACTACAGGGACCCTAGGCCCTGGGAGGGTGAATGAGTGGGGTCCTCTGGCAAGGGCTGGGGGACAGAGTTCCTGGGTCACTTGGAAGATCTGATATGTAGGGTCCTACAGGGGAAAGCTGGAGGCAGGGCTCCTAGGCCCATGGCAGGGCTGCAGGAGTCCTGGGTCCCTAGAGGTTGGGGCTCTCACTCACACACACCATAGGTTGGGATGCATGTGCACATGGGCATTATTGGGGGACACAAAGGCAGAAGCCCATTGGGCGGAAGATCATTGAGTGGAAGACCACTGGGTGGAAGCCCATTGGGTGGGGTGGCAGAGGTGGTCTGGCAGGCAAATGTAGTCCCCAAACCAAGGCTGACCACCCTGGACATCCGTCCTGCCCTGGCCTTGCTGGGGCCTCATCCAGACCATGGGCAGGTGCCTGGAGCCACATGGGGCATCCCTCCTGTACCCCTGTGTCCTGGCTATTGAAGGGTGCTTAGGTAACCCTGAGATGCTGGTGCCAGGAGGGAGAATCTGGTCCCAAGTTATCTCAGGTTAGAGATTAGGGAGAATTACAGAGGGAGGGCATTTAACATAGGTTAATTCCCTGAATAAATGCTCAACACAGGGTATTGTTGATATCAGTATTTTATTACTTGCGTTATGAGTGCTCACCTGGGAAATTCTAAAGATACAGAGGACTTGGAGGAAGCAGAGCAACTGAATTTAATTTAAAAGAAGGAAAACATTGGAATCATGGCACTCCTGATACTTTCCCAAATCAACACTCTCAATGCCCCACCCTCGTCCTCACCATAGTGGGGAGACTAAAGTGGCCAGGGATTTGCCTTAGGTGTGCAGTGCGTTCTGAGTTCACTGCCGATTACATCTGACCAGTCTCCTTTTTCCGAAGTTCCTTCCGTTCAATCTTGCCAGTGATGGTTTTTGGCAGCTCTGAGACAAACTCCACCTGGTTGAGGATAAAGCAAATCCACAGTGATTGAGTCCTGCTGCCATTTCCTAACAATTCTCCACTCTCCTCCTCTGCCCCTCCACAGTCTCCCATGCAGGCTGACACCATATGGTGGCCTTAATGGAGTCCCCAAGTATTTCAGGTTCTCCCCCTGGCCCCTAGAAGGTGGATGTACCCATGGGATTTGCTTTGACCCAGGAGATGTGAGTGGAAGTGAAGCATGTAACCTTGAGGCAAAAGAGTTGGGAGCCATTGAGACTGACCACCCTCTCCTTCATCTCTTAGAGCAGCTGACAGGTCCCATATGGAGGCTGCTCCTTTATTCTGGTGGCAGAATGAGGAGATGTGGAGGGCAGGGCCAAGGAGAGCCATGGAGGACATGAGGCATGAGCAGAAAAAGAGCCTTCAGTGTTGTAAACCTCCATTGTTTGGGGCTGTTTGTTACCTCCAGTGATACCTAGCCCGTCCTAGCAGGGAACGCTTCAGGGCCACCAGATCCCTTCCATCTGCCCTCACTCACCTTCCTTGGGTACTTGTATGGGGCTGTCACTGACTTGACATGCTGCTGCAGTTCCTTGGTCAGCTGATCCTTGTCATGGGACAGGAACTGTGGGGTCAGGACAATAAAGGCCTTCACCACCTGCAGAATGAAGTCATGGGCTCACAGTGAGTGCCAACCTACTCCATAGCTTAAAAAGTCAATGTTTATTGAATGAGTGGTAAAACAAGGTGACACTGAACCCTACAGTGTTTTGGAAAAGGAGAGGACCAGGTGTAAATCCCTGTGTTTCCAATTCCCACTCCATGCCTTGAAAAGTTATTTGACCTCTCCTTAACCTCAGTTTTCTTTTCTGTGAAATGGGGACAATAAAGCTTCCATTCTTCATTTGGTTTCTTTAAAGCTTCCATGAGATAATACATATAAAACATCCAGCTAGTTTACTTTTATTATTACTCCCGTCATCAATATTTTCATCATCATTTTTACTGTTATTATATATGTAATTCAGTGCCAGAAACCCAATGGGCATTCCATAATTACTGGCAATTTATTATTTTTAGATTAGCAATGTTATCCAAGTTTTATTGCACAAGGTCTCACATATAGAAGGTGATTAATAAAGACTTTTTTTTTTCAGATGGAGTTTCATTCTTGTCGCCCAGACTGGCGTGCAGTGGTGTGATCTTGGCTCACTGCAACCTCAGCCTCCCAGGTTCAAGCGATTCTCCTGCCTCAGCCTCTCAAGTAGCTGGGACTACAGGCGCCCACCCCCCATTCCACCCACCTGCCCCCACCACACCTGGCTAATTTTTTTTGTATTTTTAGTAGAGGTGGGGTTTCACCATGTTGGCCAGCCTGGTCTTGAACTCCTGACCTCAGGTGATCGGTCCACCTCAGCCTCCCAAAACATTGGAATTACAGGCATGAGCCACCGTGCCCGGCCTAATAACACTTTTCAATATACAAATGCATGTATGTTCGGGAGCCACATTGCTGAGATGCCATTCTGCCTCCACCCCTTACTCTAGCTGGGTGATGTGGAGAGGTTACTTAACCTCCTCCTGCTTCTCTTTCCTCATCTATAAAAAGCATAAGTGTTCTTAGATTACTACATTGTGTGAGAGTTAAGTGATTTGGCATATATAAGTGCTCATTACATAGTATCTAGCATCCTTTTATTCAGAGCCACAGAGAGTCCACACTGTCCCCTGGTGCCATACCGTGTAAACGCACATGCACACTATGCCCTTCCACCAAGGCTGCACAGGTAAAGCCTGGATGTTTCCCCTGCACCTGCTTTCCTAGTGCCCACGCACAGACATGATGATCTCTGTGTTCTCCTCACCTCCCCTCGAATCGGGTCTGGGCTGCCCACCACGGCTGACTCCGCCACCGCTGGGTGCTCCACCAAAGCGCTTTCAACCTCTGCAGGCCCGATGCGATACCTGGAGGATGAAGGGTTCTGAGGCAGATGCCAGGGCTGGGGTGAACCAAGTCCCCAGATCTCCTGCTTTGGAGTCACAGCTTCCTTTGGCACAGAGGGTGGAGGTCATAGGAAGCCAGGGACCCCTGACTTGTCTGTGTCATGGGCCCAAAGTGTAAAGACCTGGACATTATAGGCTGAGAAATACAAGACTGCGGTGCTCCCGGCTTCTTGCCTCACTGCCTGTACTGATGGAGGACGGCTAATGTTTTGTCTCCTCAGAGCTTGGCCCAAGCAGCTTCCCCCAACACGAAATCTCTTGGAAGCCTCAAACTTGGTCTTAAACATTCATGCAAATTCTGCATACTATTTCCCATTGTATCAGCAGGATTTTCGGCTTTTATTATATATACTTAAGGCTTACAACATGATGTTTTGATGTACATATACATAGTAACGCGATTAAAACACTCAAGCACACTAGCATATCCATCGTCTCACATAATTGCCTTTTTTTTCTTTTGTGGTAAGAACATAAAATCTACTCTTTGTGCAAATTTCCAGTACATCATGTTTTAGAAATTTAAAATAAAATCCCATCCAGGCTGGGCATGGTGGCTCACACCTGTAATTTTAGCACTGTGGGAGGCTGAAACAGGGGGATCAATGGAGGTCAGGAGTTCAAGACCAGGCTGGCCAAGATGGTGAAACCCCATCTCTACTAAAAGTATAAAAATTAGCTGGACATGCTCACTTGAAGCCAGGAAGCAGAGCTTGCAGTGAACCAAGATCAGGCCACTGCACTCCAGCCTGGGTGACAGTGGGAGACTCTGTCTCAGAAAAATAAAATAAAATAAAATAAAATAAAAAATAAAATAAAAAAATAAAAATGCCATCAATTTCTCTAAAATATCCAAGGGAAATTGTTACTGTAGTGTAATGCGCCTTTTTAAAAATCATGTAGGGGTAGGGACAGGGACTCAGAGCCAGACTACCTCAGTTCAAATCTGGATTGCATCCTGTGCTATCTTTGAATCTTTAGGCAAATTTCCTTGCCGGTCAGTGACCCACTTTCCTCGTTAGTAAAATAGGGATAATAATCACATCTCCCATCCAGCTTTGAGAGGTGGGTTATATAAAGCATTAAGGACAGTGTTTTCACATAGTAAGTACTCCAGGTTAGCTAAATAGTTACAGTAAATAATATATTTATACTAATAAATAATTTTATAATAATAGATTTATTATGCTCATAGATGTATAACAAATATATTCATAATAATAAAAATAAACAATAGCTAAAGGTTAGCTATTATTATTACTATGTTTGTCCTGTGACATTTGGTGCTGCATTAGAGGGGCACAAACATGAAATAGGCTCCCTGAACCTATGGAGACCAAGACAGAGTCTCCCTTCTCAATTCCACTCCCCCCACCCCACTGTAAATTGCACAGTGTCTTATTATGGCTCCTCTTCCAGACCCTCTTGAATTTCATTTTGCTTGATTCTTCTGCGTGCAGAGAAGGTTCGGGAGGTATACTGAAGCCTGGAATCAGGGCACCATAGACACGGCTCTATTCAGATTTAGGCTGAAATTTCACCAATGCGTGAAAAAATGTCTAGGTAAGCAAAATTCCGTGAGGCATGTGACGGCAACAACAGCCAGCCCAGCATCAGCCACACCTACCCAGAGGCATTAATGATGTCATCACTCCTCCCCAGGAAACAAATGTAGCCCTCTTCATCCATCTTACCTCTGTCCCCAGTGTTGTAGAAGTCCCCACATTCCACTTTAGCTGTCTTCTCTGGGTCACCCTGCAAAAAGAAGAGAGCTCCTTTGTTGAAGGCAGTGAATTTAGAGGTGATGAGCCACAACCTTGGGTTCCAATCTGGGTTTGAATTCTGCCTCTGTTTCTACTCGGTACCTGGGCAAGTTTTGCCATTTCTGAGTCTATTTTCATTACATGTAGCGCATGATGCATGCGACTGCTCTATGAGTGGTTGTGATTAAACCAATTTCAATGACAATGTTTAAAAATATCAATTCTGCCACGTGCGGTGGCTCACGCCTGTAATCCCAACACTTTGGGAGGCTGAGGTGGGTGGATCATGAGGTCAGGAGTTCAAGGCCAGCCTGCCCAACATAGTGAAACCCCATCTCTACTAAAAATACAAAAATTAGCTGGGCATGGTGGTGCATGCCTGTAATCCCAGCTACTGGGGAGGCTGAGGCAGGAGAATCGCTTGAACCTGGGAGGTGGAGGTTGCAGTGAGCCAAGATCGCGCCACTGCAATCCAGCTTGGGCAACAGAGTGAGACTTCATCTCTCTCTCTCTCTCTCTCTCTCTCTCTCTCTCTGTATGTATACATATATATATATATATATATATATATATATATATATATATATATATATATATATTCATTTTGTGTGACACTACACTAGAATGAAATTTCCATTATGGTGTGAACCTTGCTTACTGCTATAAGCTCAGCATTCACATAGAGCCTGGACAGATGAGAGGGGTCAATAAACATTTGCTGAGGGAATTTTCTTCCCTAAATACTATCTCATTTCATCCTCACAGAAAGCCTATGAGTCTAGTATGTTTTTAAGTTAACTTTTCATTTTAAGACAAATGTGGATGGCATGTAGTTATAAAAAATAATGTGGATCGATGCCCTGTACTCTTCACTAGTTTTCCACAGTGGTACCATCTTGCAAAACCATATGATCAGTATCTTAGGCAGAATACTGACCTTGATACAATCCACCAGTCTTCAGATGTCCCATTTCACTTGTGTGTCTGTGTATTTAGTTGTATGCAGTTTTATCACATATGTAGGTTTGTGCATTCCCCACCTCATCAGGAAGATCTCTGATGGTGCTCTTTTATAACCACACCCACCTCCCTCTCATTTCCTCTTCCTCTCCTCTCACCTTCCCTGACCCCTTGCTAACAACTAATTTGTTCTCTATTTTTATAATTTTGCTGTTTCAAGAATGTTATATAAATAGAATCATACAGCATATAACTGTTTGGGACTGTTTTTTTTTTTCTCAGCATAATCCCCCAGAGATTCATCCAAGTTGCATGCACAAACGGTTTGATCCTTTTTGTTGCTGAACAGTATTCCATGTTATGGATGTAGCTGAGTTTTTGTTTAACCATTTACCTGTTGAAAGCCATCTGGATTGTTGTCTTCAGGTTTTGACTATTTAGAGTAAAGCTGCTATGTACATTTGCATACATGTTTTTGTGTGAAGTTGGCACTTTTTTTGTCGCCCATTTTAAATAAGAAAAAAACCTAAGCTTGAGGGAGGCACATTTGCTTGCTCAGAGTCACTCAGCTGCTCACTGAGAGGGTTGATATTTGAATTTAATTCTTGCTTCATGACCGATTCACTTGACCCCTAAGCAATAGCTCTTGTGGAACATGAAATGGTTTTAAGAGCTACCCGAAAAAAACATTTTAAAAACATCAAATTACATCCCTTTTTGGATTCACTTCTGATTGTTCTGAGTATATCAAGTTGATTCTTAGTTTAGTGCTGATATGCTTTGAACTCTCTGGAAGTCTCAAGAGGAAGACATGCTTCAGGATCAGAGCTTCCAATGAGAATAGGATTTAGGGAGACTATGAGAAAATTGTTTTTTTTAAGCCTATAGTTATGGTTATAAATGCCTTCTGTTTATGGCAAGTAATACTGTTTTCCACTCATGATATTAGATCAATGTGAGTGCCTTTATGGACTGAGTTGAGAGGTACAAGATGACATCAACAACATAAATGGAAGATGGAACCATACAGGAGTACAGTTTTTTTTTATACAATTGAAGTTAAGTAGGTATTAATTCAAATTAGATTGTTACAACCTTAGGATGTTGTATGTAATATAGTAATCATAAAGAAAATATCTGTAGAATATAAACAAAAGAAAATCAGAAGGGAAAAAATGTGTCACTACAAAAAGGAAACTAAACGTAAAAGAAGGCAGTTATAAAGGAAATGAGGGCCAGAAAATATTAAGCCACACAGAAGACAAATAGCAAAATGGTAGAAGTCCTTCCTTATCAGTAATTACTTTAAATGTAGGTGGAGTAAGCTTTCCAATCCAAAGGAAGGAATTGGCTAAGTGGATAATAAAACACGATCCAAATATACACTATCTACAAGAGATTCATTTTAGATTTAAAGACACGAATTCCACTGGGCGTGGTGGCTCACAACTGTAATCCCAGCATTTTTGGAGGCTGAGGCGGGTGGATCATGAGGTCAGGAGATGGAGACCATCCTGGCCAACATGGTGAAACCCCGTCTCTGCTAAAAATACAAAAATTAGCTGGGTGTGGTGGTGTGTGCCTGTAATCCCAGCTACTGGGGAGGCTGAGGCAAGAGAATCACTTGAACCAGGAAGTCAGATATTGCAGTGAGCTGAAATCGCACCACTGCACTGCAGCCTGGAAACAGAGGGAGACTCCAACTCAAAAAAAAAAAAAAAAAGACACAAATATGTTGAAAGTTAAAGGATGGATAAAAATATATTCCCTGTGAATTGTAACCAAAAGAGAGCTTGGGTTGTGGGTTGTTATACTAATATCCGACAGAAAAAACTTGTTTTTTTTTTTTTTTGAGTCAGAGTTTCGCTCTTGTTGCCCAGGCTGGAGTGCAATGGCACGATCTCAGCTCACCACAACCTCCGCCTCCAGTAGCTGGGATTACAGGCGCATACCACCGTGCCCGGCTAATCTTTTTTATTTTTAGTAGAGATGGGGTTTCTCCATGTTTATCAGGCTGGTCTCAAACTCCTGACCTCAAGTGATCCACCTGCCTCGGCCTCCCAAACTGCTGGGATTACAGGCGTGAGCCACGATGCCCGGTCAAAATAAAGTTTAAGTTAAAAATAATTGCAAAAGATAAAAAATGATATTGTCTATTAATAGAAGGGTCAATTCACCAAGAAGATATAATAATCATAAACATATAAGCAATAAACCTCAGAGCCCCAAAATACATGAAGCAAACATTGTCAGAATTTAAGGAAGAACTGTACAGTTCTACAGCAATAGTTGGAGAATTTAATATACCACTTTCAATAACGAGTAGAAAAACCAGAGAGAAGATCAATAAGAAAATGGAGGACTCGAACACCACCACAAATTAACTGGATCTAGCAGACATATACAGGAAACTCCATCCAACGGCAGAAGAACACACATTTTTCTCAAGTGCACATGGAACATTCTCAAGGATGGACCATATATTAGGCCAGAAGAGAAGTATTAATTAACTTTAAAAGACAGAAATTATACAAAGCATCTTATCAAGTCACATGAAAGGAATTAACAGAAGGAAAACTTTTAAAAAATCACAAATTTTCCCAATCTTTGCAAAATTAAACAACATACTCTTAACTAACCAATGAATCAAAGAAGAAGTCACGAGGAAATTTAGAAATTATCTTGAGACAAATGAAATAAAAAACACAGCATATTAAAACTTATAGATTGCAGCAAACACAGTGCTAAAAAGGTAATTTACACACATACTGTCTTAGCCCATTCAGGCTGCTGTAACAAAATGCCATAAACTGGGTGGGTTATAAACAATAGATATTATCTCTTAGAGCTCTGGAGACTGGGAATGCAAGATCAAGTCACCAACAAATTTGGTGTCTGGTGAGGCTTCATAGATGGCTGTCTTCTTGATGGGGCCTCACATGGAGAATGGGACTCTTCTGGAGAACCCTACTGGAGTTGCTTTTTAAAGGGCACTAATATCACTAATCATCAAGGAAATGCAAATTAAAACCACAATGAGATATTACCTTACTCCTGCAAAAATTGTCATTGTTAAAAAAATCAGAAAACAATAGATTTTGGCATGGTTGTGGGAACACTTTTACACTGCTGGTGGGAATGTAAATTAGTACAGCTGCTATGGAAAACAGTATAGAGATTCCTTCAAGAACTAAAAGTAGAACTACCATTCGATCCAGCAATCCCACTACTGCGTATCTACCCAAATAAAAAGAAGTCATTATATGAAAAAGACATATGCACATGCGTGTTTATAGCACAATTTGCAATTGCAAAGATATGGAACCAACCAAAGTGCCCATCAACCAATGAGTGGATACAGAAAATGTGGTATATATACACCATGGGATGCTATTAAGCCATAAAAAGCTGTGAAATCATGTCTTTCGTGGCAACTTGGAAGGAGCTGGAGGCCATTATTCTAAGTGAAGTAACTCAGAAATGGAAAACCAAATAGCGTATGTTCTCACTTCTAAGTGGGAGCTAAGCTATGAAGGCACAAAGGCAAAGAATGATATAATGGACTTTGGGGACTAGAGGGCAAAGTTGGCAGGGGGTAAGGGTTAAAAGACCACACTGTTCAGGTGATGGATGCACTAAAATTTCAGAAATCACCACTAAAGAACTTATCCATGTAGCCAACAACCACCTGTACCCCCAAAACTACTAAAATAAAAAAATTAAAAGGGCACTAACACCATTCATGAGGACCCCATGCTCACGATATAATCATCTCCAAATATTGCATTGGGGGTTAGGATTTCAACATATGAATCTGGGGGACACACAAACATTCAGTCTTTAGCACATACGTTAAAAAAGATCTCAAGCCGAAAACCTTACACTTTAGGGAACCAGAATAAGAAGAGCAAACTAAACCCAAGCATAGCAGAAGCAGGAAATAAAGATTAGAGTTCATATAAATAAAATGGCAAATAGAAAAACAACAAAGAAAACTTAATCAAAAGTTATTTCTTTTGAAGAGATGACAAGTCTTCAGCTAGATTGATTAATAAAAAAGTGAAAATTTAAATTACTAACATTTTACAGAAATGAAAAGAATTATAAGAGAATACTATGAACAATTGTATGCTAAAAGGTTTGATTACCTAGATAAAATGGAAAAACTACTGGAAACACACAATCTACCAAAAACAGGAGTCACAAAGAAATAGAACTCTGAATAGATCTGTAACTCATAAGGAGGTAAAATTAGTTATCAACACCTTCCAAAAGAGAAAAGGCCTAGGCCAGATGGCTTCACTGATGAGTTCTGACAAATATTTAAAGAAGAATTAAGACCAATCCTTTTCCAACTCTTTTTACAAAATTAAAGAAAAGGAAAAATTTTATAAGTCAATCTATGAGGCCAGCATTACCCTGACACCAAAGCCAGACAAACACTGCAAGAGAAGAAAACTACAGACCAATAACTCTTATGAATATTGATGCAAAAATCTCAGCAAAACACTAGCAAACCAAATCCAGAAACACTTTAAAAGAATTATACATCATGACCAAGTGGGATTTATTCCTGTTTCAACATACAAAAGTCAACAAATATAATAAACCACATTAATAGGATGAAAAGAAAATAACCACAAGGTTTTCTCTCAGTTGAGGCAGAGAAAGCACTTGACAAAACTCAATACCCTTTCATGGTAAAAACACTAAATAAACTAGGAAACTTCCTCAACATGATGAGGCCACATATAAAAAACCAACAGCTAATATTATTCTCAATGGTGAAAGTTGGAAAGATTTTCTCCTAAGACCAAAAACACAAGGATGCCTGCTTTCACCACTTCTATTCTACATAGTCCCGGAAGCTCTAGCCAAATCAATCAGGCAAGAAAGAAAAATAAGAGGCATCTGAATTGGAAAGATGAAGTAAAATTATCTCTGCATGCAGATGGCATGACCATATATAGAAAACCCGAAGAATTTTACACACTCAAAAAAAATGTTAAAGCTAATACATAAATTCAGTAAACTTGTAAAAAACAGAATCCATACACACACAAAAACTCAATTGCACTTCTGTGCACTAAAAATTAAAAATCCAAAGAGGAAATTAAGAAAGCAATTCTATTTACAATAGCATCAAAAAGAATACAAGACAGTAGTACTCATAATAAATTTAATCAGGGAGGCAAAAGACTTGTACACTGAAAACTACAAAACGTTACTACAGAAATTAAAGAAGAGATAAGTAAATGAAAAGACATATGATACTCATTTATTGGAGACTTAATATTAAGATGACAATACTGCCCAAAGCTATCTACAGAGGCAACACAATTCCTGTCAAAATCCCAATGGTTTTTTGTTGTTGTTGCAGAACTAGAAATACCTATCCTAAAATGCATATAGAATCTCAAAGGACCCCAAACTGCCAAAACAATCTTTAAAAAGGTGAATAAAGGCCAGGCGCGGTAGCTCACATCCATAATCCCAGCACTTTGGGAAGCCTAAGGCAGGTGGATCGCTGGAGGCCAGGAGTTCAAAACAAACCTGGGCAATATGGAGAAACCCTGTCTCTACTAAAAATACAAAAATTAGCCAGTCTTGCAATCTGGCCTCAAAAATAAAAGGAAATAAAAATTTTTGAAAAAGGAGAATAAAGTTGGAAAACTCACACTTCCTGACCTCAAAACTTACTACAAAACTACAGTAATAGAAACAGTGTGGTATTGGCATAAAGACAGACAGATCATTGCAATAGAATAGAGAGTCCTGGAAGAAACTCTCCCATATATTGTCAATTGATTTAAGTATAGGTGCCAAAACCATTCCATGGAGAAAGGTCAGTCGTCAACAAATAGTGCTGGGAAACTTCAATGCCCAATTGCAAAATAATGAAGTTACCTTACAACACATACAAAAGTTAACTCAAAATGGATCAAAAATATTCTGGTGGGTATATAAAATGGTGCAGCCATTGTGAAAGTGGTTTGGTAATTTATTTCAAAAAGTTCAACATAGAATTACCATGGAACCCAGCAATTCCACATCTAGGTCTATACTCCCAAGAAATGGAAGCAGGAACTTGAACAGATACTTAAACAACAGTGGTCATAGAAGCAACATTCTCAATAAGCAAAATGTGGAAATAACCAAAATGTCCATTAAGAGACAACTGAGTACACAAAATGTGTTGTATACATACAGTGGAATTTTATTCAGACTTACAGAGGAATGACATTTTGTTACATGCTAAGACATAGATGAACCTTGAAAACGTTATGCTAAGTGAAATAAGCCAAACGCAAAAGGGCAAATGTTGTATATTTTCACTTATATGAGGAACCTAAAATAGGCAAATTCATAGATTTTAAAAAGCAGATTAGAGATTATCATGTGCTGGAGACTGGGGCAGTGAGATGTTGCTTATTAGTAGAATTTCTGTTTGGGATGGTAAACATTTTCTGAAGATGGGTAATCGTGATGGCTGTACAACATTGTTACTTTATTTGATACTACTGAATTGTACACTCAAAAATGGTGAAAAGAGTAATTTTATGTTACATTTTATATAAATAAAATATAAAGTAAAAAATAAAGTATCTGTTCAAGTTCCTGCTGCCACTTCTTGGTAGTAAGTAGCCTTAGAAGTAGAATTGCTGGGTCTCATGGTAATTCTGTAATTCTTTTACATAAATAAGGAGGGAAAAAAACCCAAAGAAGTCCCAATGGAGGAATACTGACATTTCATGGATACGTAGGTGTGGGTATATGTTAGGAGTTCTTTGGAAAATAAAATATGTCATGCTCAATCAAAAAAAAATTAGCTGGGTGCAATAGCTCACATCTGTAATCACAGCACTTTGGGAGGCTGAGGCAGGGGGGTTACTTGTGCCCAGGAGTTTGAAAGTAGTCTGGGCAACATAGTGAGACCTTATCTCTACAAAAAATCAAAAAATTAGCTGGGCATGGTGGTACCTGCCCGTGGTCCCAGCTCCTTGGGAGGCTGAGTTGGGAATATCACTTGAGCTCAGGAGGTCCAGGATACAGTGAACTTTAATCACGCTCCTGCACTCCAGCTCGGTGACAGAGCAAGACCTTGTTTTTTTCTTTAAATATATTTCTTTGGATTATCCCCATTTCAGCTCAATCAGAATCTCTGGTTGCATCCAAGTACTACTATTTTAAAAAATCTCCTGAAATGATTGTAATATGCAGATATATATCTGTGGTCCTCAAAGATGCCTGGACATTATATAAAATATATGTGTTACCCCATGTTTAATTTTTCTTTTTCTTTCTTTCTTTCTTTCTTTCTTTCTTTCTTTCTTTCTTTCTTTCTTTCTTTCTTTCTTTCTTTCTTTCATTTTGAGATGGTGTCTAGCTCTGTCACACAGGCTGGAGTGCAGTGGTGCGATCTTGGTTCACTGCAACCTCCGCCTCCCGGGTTTAAGTGATTCTCCTGCCTCAGCTTCCCAAGTAGCTGAAATTACAGGTGCATGCCACCATGCCCAGCTAATCTTTTGTATTTTTAGTGGAGATGGGGTTTCACTGTGTCAACCAGGCTGGTTTCGAACTCCTGACCTCGTGATCCACCCACCTAGGCTTCCCAAAGTGCTGGGATTACAAGTGTGAGCCACCCCACCCTGCCTAATTTTCTTTTATCCAATCTTTAAGTTGTGTTGCTGAGAATTAATGCTAAGTAAGGCCTGTATGTTCCCCTTTGGTCAAAAGTATCACAAAGGAACCATCGCTCCCTTGAAACCACAGTGTGAGGATGGCAGTGACACCAGGACAGCCGCCAATGAAAGTGTCTTTAGAGAAAGGAGATGAAGTCTGAAATCAATTTCAGGGTCTGGTCATCCTTCCATGGCCAATATTGGGAGCTAAGATTTTCCTCTTTGTGGCCATTCCTATCCTGGGAGGGCCATTGCTTATTTGATCAGGAGTTTCAGCAGGTTTCCTTGTAATCCATCTCAGTTTTCTATAATCTCTGGTTTTTACTTTTTTTTAATCCTAAACCTACCATTTATTTGATGTGCAGAAGATGTGCAGGGCTTTTAATCTGCAGCTTTTCTCTCTGTAAAATGGGATAATAGAGTTCCCTGGAGGCTCAGCGAGGATAAGTGATTTGTTTACACTCTGTTGTTGGTAAGTGAGATGGTATTATTTGAATCCAGTCAAAGCCTATATTCTTGACTACAGTAGATCATTGAAACCCAAGTCTGATGGTTCTGAAGCCAGTCTTCATTCTACCCCAACATCCCAAAAGTTCCAGGTGGGTTCAGACAGGAAAGGATGGGAGAATGCACGGTGAGCTTCGAGTTGAATGAAAACTCATTCATTTCATTGAGTTAGAGCAAATAAAAGAGGACTTGAAGAAGCCTCAGGATGCAGAGCTCCCTGTTGGGATCCTTGGGGCCAGGATGGGGGCAGATGGGGGGTCATTACCTCATAGCACATGAAGAGGCTCACAGGCCTGACAGGTTTGATTCTGATGCCAATGTTTCCTTCTGTGTTAGGTGGCAGGATGCTGCCCTTGTCATCAATGACCTGTAGCAAGAGGCCTGTGAATCATACACTGCAGGAGGCCGCAGCCCTTCTGCCCCACCCAAGCACTGTCTGGTTTATGCATGGGACACCAGTGTGGATGAAATAACAGAGGAAACATCAGAAAATGGAATAAAACTGTCAAAAGCCTTTAAAATACGCAAATGTGAAACTCAAGCCAAGGGTCTATGTTTCATGAGTTAGTAGATGTCACCAATGTGTCTTCAAGTTGGAAAACAGTGATCAAAAAAAATGAAAAGCACCACTTGCTAGAGAGGGCTCCCAGTGCAGCCTCTAGGTATTCTTTCCTACCTACTGTGTGTGATGCCCTGGCTGCCAGGGTCAGCGGTGTTCATGCTCACAATAATGCAGTTTTCAACTGAGGCCTCCATATGAAACTGAAGGGATAAATGAGAAGAGAGGAGGAAGGATGACTGGAGCAGGGAAGTGCGGCTGGTGTTGTCACCTGGTGTCAAATTGTCCAACCCCCGCTGAGCCCTAACTGCTCCCTGCCAATGCCCTTAGGACCAGACCTGGACGTCGTAGGGTGGAGTGGCCTTCCCCATGAAACCCGGCTTGATCTTCATTCCCCAGTAGGTGGCACAAATTAGTCCCTGTTCACAAAAGAAAGAAGATTTGGGTTGATCAGAGAGGCCAGGCTGATCACAAAGCAGTCAGAATCATACACAGCATCCTCTGCTCAGAGATGTAGTATTCCTCTCAATGGATGCTGCCCAAAGAGCCCTCGTAGGGAAGCTGGAAGGCCTTAGTCTAGGCTCAAGGTGTTGACCCAACTCTATTCCACAGTCATTTTCTGCAGCCAGTGTGGTCTGGCTCTGTACTAAGTGGAGTCTACAGAATCCAATGGGGAAACAAAGAAAGAAGAAACAGGGTATTCCCCTGGCTGTGGGCATATAATGTGGGGTGTGGCATGCCCACCATTGAACAGGCATGTGTCAGTTTGCTAGGGGAAGACCACTAGTCTATCTAACAAACATTTACTTGGGGCTGTTGAGCAGTGATAGGGATTCTGCCACAACTTCTTGACTGATCCTGATGCCAACTTTTCCCCCTGTGTTGGGTGGCAGAATGTTGCCTTTGTCATCAGTGATCCGTAGGAAGAGGCCTGTGAATCTCACCCTGCAGGATGCCCCAGTGTGTGTGGAGGTTGTCTGGATTGCTTGTGCTGTTCTCTCTGTTAGCACTGCCCTATCTTCATCTTTCTTCCTGATGAACTTGATTCCTCCTTTATTGTTCTCACAAATATATTTATTTCTGTAGCTGCGTGCTTTACATTCAGACCAATGAGGGTTTGACCCTTGACTCCACCACACACTAAATGCATGCCAATGAATCCCTCTTGATCTCCTCCATCAAAGGGTAATAATGATAACACTTACCTCCCAGAGTGCTTGTAAGCATATGGAAAATTCTGCATAATACAAGGCACACACCACGTGTTCAATGAATGATGACTACTGGCTATTACTCAAGCTACAAGAGAAGTCAAGGGAAAGATTCTCTTTCTGCAGCATTTCTCCTATACTTCCATTGCAGCCCACAGGGCATTATAATTATTTTTGTTTGTCTGTTTCCTTCAGTAGATAATGAGCATCCCAAGAATAGAGACTGCCCTATTTATCCCTGAGCTTCCAAAATCTGGAACAATAGCCACCAAAAATAGCAAGGACCACAGCAGCTGCAAGGTGAGCATATACAACAGGCGGGACACCAGCCAGAGCATTATATACTTCTTTTTATTTACCTTATCACAATCTGTTAAGATTGGCATTATAATTTCCATTTAAAGGTGGGGGAGCTGAGGTGAGAAAGCATACATAATATCCTTATGGTCTTCAAGCTGTAATTGGCAGAGCTGAGACTTGGACCCAGGTCTGTGCTCCTGGGATAGGAAGATCTTTGCCCACTGCCACATCACTGCTCACACTGTAGGCATGTGAAAAACGTTGCACACATGAGTGAACAGATGTGAAAGTGTTTTCAGAAATTAAGCACCACCTAGTGCTGCAAATATTGGAGTCGTGGGTGGAGTGTGTCTTCCTGGCCCACCCTCCTCCTTGTCCAAATATGACCTGTGAGCCATTCAAACATAGGCCCGAAGTGTCAGCATTTTTCAGGTCTGGAAGCAGACAAATTAACTGAATTGCTATATATTTTTTACAAAATAATGTCAGCTGAGTATGTGAGTTGGCACTAAAGTAATAATTTTGCACAGGGCCTGGGATAGCAGTCATCCTTTATGTGCTAGAGGGATAATGGAGACAGAGGGAGAAAGTGGCTCTGTCCAGCATTGGAAATGGATTGCAAATATGTTGGAAGAGATGCTCACCCACACTGTAATTGATGAGGTCCTTGAACTTCCAGACATGCATAGTACTCCAAATGCCCCACTCACCTGGCAGCTCAGTGATACTCTGGAATGACACTGTTTGTGTGTACATGTGTTTGGCATATACAGAAAGTCCCTGCTCCTCACCCACCCTGCTAGTATCCCACAGTCAAACCTGCGAGTTGTCCTCCTAAACCCCAAGCAATGCACTTTTTGAGCCAGCTTCCTCCTGCCTCTGCAGCCCTAGGGAGGGTTAGTGGAGTTGACAGGACTTCCTGGAGGAGGTGGTCTCCATGTTGCTGGAGAGAGTCTCCTATCCCACCCACCCTCTGGGGATCCTCTGAGCTGATGATAACAGGGACAGTGTGAAAACGCCCTTAGACCCCTTTTTAAGGTTTTGTCCAAGAGTTTTAAGCACATTAGTCCCTTGGTAAGATGACGAGTTGTACATTTTCTTTCTGCAGATAGATTTGGGACAAATTAGCCTAGAACTCTAGAGCCTCTGGTTGGCATCAAACAATGCTGTGCATGCGATGGGGCTGTGTCCCGCACATGTGGCATAATTCAGCACATCTGCTGGGCTCAATCGCTGAGCACATCATGACTATCCAGAAGGGACCTTTCCACTATGAAAGGAAAACAAACCCCAAAATCACTAAGCCAAAGGGAAAACTCAAGTTGGGAACTGCATCAGTCAAACCTGCCTCTCATTTTATTCCTAAACAAGAGCTAAAAAGATAAAAAACAAAACAAAACTACATGCCTCCGCCACAATTTTCCCACTAAGAAATTCCTTGTGGGCCCCAAGATCGTTACTGTCAAACAGTTCTGCTAAATTTCACCCTGACATTTATAGCTCATCTTCACACGTATAGGACAAAGAACAGAACTCAAAAATCATCTCTCTGCTCACCTGAGACAAATATGTACCTAGTTGCTTTCTCTGACTTACGTTTATCTTATGTAAAAATGCAGATTCACTGATCTAGATGAATGCACAAGTGACTCTTCCTCTACCCTTCTCTCACATGTAAACAGCTGATCAAAGACTCACAAGAAGGCAACAATTTGCCTCGTAACTACCCCACCTTTAGAAAATTTCTTCCTTTTTCCCCAATATCTGCCTTTTCTCCTTTAAATATTGAAGCCCTCAAAATCATCTTTGGGGAAAGGCACAAACCTGTTTCCCAGATGCGTGTCATTAACCTTAGCAAAATAATCTTTTAAATTAATTGAGACCTGTCTCAGACACTTTCTGGTTTGCACCACCTACCGTTTCCGACTGCCCATAGTTCTCGTAGAGCAGAAGGCCCGTCCGTCTTTTCCACTCCTCCTGATCCTTGGGCAACACGACCTCCCCGCCAGTATAGCAGTGCTCCAGGGCAGGGAACCTGATGCTTAGAGGAAGACAAGGTGCCAGGCATTGGTGAGCCACCCTGGCTCTGTGCATTCAGAGCTCTTAAGTCTGTCACCCAGATCATTCATCCTTCTAGTTCCTCACTTTCTTATTTACTTTTTGGTCATTTTACAGTTGGCCATGGCCAAGTGGATGTCACTCACTTCCTGCCAGTCCCTGCGAACTATTCTGGCAGACGGTGGATGGGTGGTGGTGAGGCTATTGTGTTCAATTGGGAATGTTTGGATTAAATTTGGATATCAGTGTAACAAGAGGGAGAACTGTGTGTTTATCAGAACTCCTCTTGGGGAAGCATTCTGTATAGCTAAGAAGGACATTTTTATAATCATAATGGGGTAAAGGATGAGATCTTAAGGACATGCTAGGGTGATAATAGAACTATACATTCTTTTATGGAGCTTACACTACGCTAACTAAAGGGCTTTTGTATTTCTGAATGGGGAATGCATGTTAGGGATTGGAAGTGAATTGCTCAGGACATCAGAGCAGATTAAGCTGAGTAGGGAAAGAGAGAGGGAGAAGCATTACAGGGTACAGCCCTGACAGAAGGAATTTCAGAGAAAACAGAAAAGGCTGATGTGAACAGGAAAAAATAAAATATTTTACCCCAAAATATATTTCTTTGACATATTTTGAAATGGCTGCCATTTGGCTAGCTAATAGAGGTGGCCTTGCAAAGCCATCTTTTATGGGGGGAAGTGTACATCTATAGAGAATATCTATTAATGCAGCCATGCCCTGCCCTCTTTTTGTAGGGAAAAAGCTGAGTGTTGGGAAGAAAGCTGAGGCAGGGCTTGCACGTCTGGTGTAATGTCCTCTGGAATGTGTCTAGACTTGCTGGCTCCTTGCTTCTAGCCTTCCTAGGCTCCTAGATTGATTGTATTCCCATTATCTAAAGTAGCAGAACATGCTCCTTATAAATGCTATACCATCACAGGTGTTCATCATGCACCTGATCTTTTGACCTCCTCATTCTCACCACCTGTTTCTTTGTTGGATTACCAATAAATAGCATGGGCTCCCAGGGCTCGGGGCCTTCACAGCCTCCACAGTCTTGATGGCCCCCTGGTCCCACTTTACTTCTCAAACTGTCTTTTTCTCAATCCTTTGGCTCTGCCAGACTTCATTGCCCCCACAACCTGGTGTTGGGCCTGATCAGCCCAACATTCCTGGGTGCCCAATGTGGGGTGATGAAGACCCTGGTGAAGGAACTCTAGATCATGTGAAAGCAGAGGACACATCATCAAGGGACACCCAAGAACGTGTAAAAGAAGCTCGGTGGGAAAGTGGAGTGCTCGGAAGAATCAGGGTAACAATGGGACAAAGTGAAAGCAGACATTCTGCTTATTTAAATATCCTAAGACATGTATTACGAAGAGTGGGAGTGAAAGTTAGTACTCAGAATTTGTTATCACTCTTTAGTGCAGTGAAGCACTTTTGCCCATGGTTTCTGGAACAAGGGACTATGGAGTTGGATGAATGGGAGAGAAATTGACAGAGATTTTTAAAAAGTATATAAAGATGGAGCAAAAATTAAAGTCTTGGTTTGGTCAACGTGGGCACTAATAAAAGCAACTCTTGAGCCATTTTAAACAGATGATGAGGCAGATTTAGATGAGGAAGAGGAGGACAAGTGTAAAAAACTAACCTCAGATTTTGAATGTGAGGAACAGGAAAGGGAGGAAATTAAAGAAAAGAAAGGGAAACTGAAAAAAGCATGTTTTACTAACCCATCAGCCCCACGTGCTGAATTAAGTGAAGAGCCACATCCTCTCTCTCCTCTTAATGGGTGAGAAGATGAATTAGCTACAAAACTTACTGCTCCTGTAGTTGCAACTTTAAAACCTGGAGCAATTGGTGGTGGTATACAAAATTCTATTCAGAAGGCTAGAGCCAAGGGAGACCTTGAAGCATGGCAATTTCCCATAACTATAATCCAGCAGGGAGGACAGAATATAGCTAATTGGACCACATTTCCTTTTAAGATGCTCTCCTCCCCAATTTCTACCCAGCTTATCCCCCGTGCAATACAATCTCCAAGCCTTGACTCCTTGGCCAGGGCCTTAGAACTGATAACCCAGTACTTTAACAACTGGAACTGGGTCTATGACAACGTAATAGATCAAGATGAAAATGAATTGAGTAAGTTAAAGGGAGGCACATATTCCTATAGTGGCAAATGGGGGCAACAAGTAAAAATCCTTCCACTGTGTTTCCAAAATCCACCTACAAAGGAGAAAGAAAGAGATATACAAGTAGTTAAAGAAAAAGCAGTGTGCCCTATTCCTTTAAAACCAGGGTAAATTTAAAACCTATAATTGATAATTGAAGGTATTCTCCATGACCCTATAACACTCAATACTGCCTTGTTGTCAGTGTAAACAAGGGCGTAATCTGAAAGCACTTCACTTTGAGAGTTCTGCTCATGGCCCCAGGGTCAACCAACTTGTTGTCAAACCCTGGAGCTAATGGCTTTCCTCTCTGTTGACCCTTGGCTCAGCCCAGAAGTACAGGAAAAGTGGAAGCTGGTTCCAGGCAAACCAATGTTCCCAACTCTGAAGAGTTGGGGGTTGTTAGAGAGCCCTTTTCCAGAAAGCCTGACACCCATGTCTTTAGTCTGGCAGCCGCCCTAGTTGCTTTTAACTCGCTGGCAGGTGCCTGGTATTTAGCCCCGAATTCTAAGGAAAAATAGGAAGGAATAGCAAGTGAAATGGGTCCGATGGTGCTCACCACTTGGCGATAGGTGATAGTCCCTTTGTGGTTGCCAAACTGTGTCTGGAATTTATTCCTTCCAGTGGGTTCTTGGTCTCGCTGACTTCAAGAATGAAGCCGTGGACCCTTGCAGTGGGTGTTACAGCTCTTAAAAGTGGTGTGTCCAGAGTTTGTTCCTCCCAGTGGGTTCATGGTCTCACTGACTTCAGGAATGAAGCTGCAGACCCTCGTGGTGAGTGTTACAGCTCATAAAGGTAGTGCAGACCCAAAGAGTGAGCAGCTGTAAGATTTATTGTGAAGAGTGAAAGCCCAAAGCTTCCACAGCAGGGAAGGGGACCCAAGCAGGTTGCCACTGCTGGCTCTGGTGGCCAGCTTTTATTCCCTTATTTGGCCCTGCCCACATGCTGCTGATTGCTCCATTTTACAGAGTGCTGATTGGTGCATTTACAATCCTTTAGCTAGACAGAAAGTGCTGATTGGTGCATTTTTACAGAGTGCTGACTGGTGCATTTACAATCCTTTATCTAGACACAGAGCGCTGATTGGTGTGTTTTTACAAAGTGCTGATTGGTGAATTTACAGTCCTTTATCTAGACACAGAGCACTGATTGGTGCATTTTTACAGAGTGCTGATTGGTGCTTTGACAATCTTTTAGCTAGACACAGAGTGCTGATTGGTGTTTTTTTACAGAGTGCTGATTGGTGCATTTACAGTCCTTTAGCTAGACCCAGAGCACTAATTGGTGCATTTACAATCCTTTAGCTAGACACAAAAGTTCTCCAAGTCCCCACCTGACCCAGAAGCCCAGTTGGCTTCAACTCTCAAGACCACTGACAGCCAGCAGCCTTTCTATCAAAAATCCTAACCAAGTAACCCACAGATGGCCCAAATGCATTCAATCTGTAGCAGCAACTGCTTCGCTAGCAGAAGAAAGTAGAAAAATAACTTAGAAGAAACCTAATTGTGAGCACACCTCACCAGTTCAGAGCTACCCTAAGGAAGAGAAAAGCAAAAGCGTAGCTTACTAACTTAAAAATCTTAAAGTATGGGGCCATTCTGTGAGGAAAAGGTGATTTAACATTAACCACTGAAAATTCCCTTAACCCAGCAGATTTCTTAACAAGGGATTTAAATCTTAATTACATACAGAGGACCGACAAGACCTAGGAGGAACTCCATTCAAGACAGGACAATAGATGGCTCCTCCCATGTGATTGAGGAACACACACACACACACACACACACACACACACACACACACATAATGGGTATTCAGTAATTGATAGGGAAACTCTTGTAGAAGCAGAGTTAGAAAAATTGCCTAATAATTGGTCTGCTCAAACATGTGAGCTGTTTGTACTCAGCCAAGCCTTAAAGTACAAAGCCAGGAAGGAACCATCTATACCAATTCTAAGTTAGTTTAGACTAAACAAGGTCTTATAGACAGCAAAAGATAATGGAAATCCCAAACTTACAAGGGTTTAAACAAAAGTAAAATTTGCTAAAAGTTAACGGTGTAACATGTATTATCCTAACTTCTAGTCTTGTGGCCTTCCTTATGTCTAGTCCATAGACATAAAGGAAGTTCCCTTTGGAAAAGTGGTTATCTTCAAAATATAAATAAATAAATTACTCTATCTCAATCCTGACTCAAAACATTGCCTACATCCTCTCTGAAATGAATTTGCATAAGAACAGTTGTTTATGGGAGTGCATCTTGATGGGGAAGCTGGGTTGTTATGAAATACTCAGGAACCTAGCCCAGCTCTAGAACTCACCTCTGAGTGCAAAGGCAATGTTGGGTAAGCTGGTAAAGGACCACTAGAATCCAGCAGCCCATACCCCTTTCTTTGTGGTCAAGAAAGGTGGGAAAACAGGTGCAGGACTGCTACATTGGTGAGCATAACTAATCTGATAAGCAGAGGTCCATGGGTGGTTATGCACCCTGGAAAGGAAGAAGTATTAGGACTATAGAGGATGCTCTAGGACTAATACTCATCAGAAAATGACTAGGGGTGCTGTCATCCCTATGTTCTTTTTTCAGATGGGAAACGTTCCCCCCAAGGCAAAAACACCCCTAAGATGTATTCTGGAGAATTCAGGCCAGTCAGAGTGTATGTACCTTTTTCCCTCTCAGACTTGAAACAAATTAAAATAGACCTAGCTAAATTCTCAGATAACCCTGATGGCTACATTGATGTTTTACGAGGGTTGGGACAATTATTTGATCTCACATGGATAGATATAATATTACTGCTAAATCAGACACTAACTCCAAATGAGAGAAGTGCCGCCATTACTGCAGCCTGAGAGTTTGGTGATCTCTGGTATCTCAGTCAGGTCAATGATAGGATGACAACAGAGGAAAGAGAACAATTCCCCACAGGCCAGCAGGCAGTTCCCAGTGTAGACCCTCATTGGGACGCAGAATCAGAACATGGAGATTGGTGCTGCAGACATTTGCTAACTTGCATGCTGGAAGGACTAAGGAAAACTAGGAAGAAGGCTATGAATTATTCAATGATGTCCACTATAATACAAGGAAAGGAAGAAAATCCTACTGCTCTTCTGGAGAGACAAAGGGAGGCATTGAGGAAGCATACCTCTCTGTCACCTGACTCTACTGAAGGCTAACTAATCTTAAAGGATAAGTTTATCACTCAGTCAGCTGCAGACATTAGAAAAACTTCAAAAGTCTGCCTTAGGCCTGGAGCAAAACTTAGAAACCCTATTGAACTTGGCAACCTCAGTTTTTTATAATAGAGATCAGGAGTAGCAGGTGGAATGGAACAAACAGGATTAAAAATGAAAAAAAAACACCACTTTAGTCACAGCCTTCAGGCAAGTGAACTTTGGAGGCTCTGAAAAAGGAAAAGGCTGGGCAAATCAAATGCCTAATAGGGCCTGCTTCCAGTGCAGTCTACAAGGACACTTTTAAAAAGATTGTCTGAATAGAAATAAGCCACCCCCTTGTCCATGCCCCTTATGTCAAGGGAATGACTGGAAGGCCCACTGCCCGAGGGGACGAAGGTCATCTGAGTCAGAAGCCACTAACCAGATGATCCAGCAGCAGGACTGAGGGTGCCCAGGGCAAATGCCAGCCCATGCCATCACCCTCCCTAGGTATGCTTGACCATTGAGGGCCAGGGGGTTAACTGTCTCCTGGACACTGGCACGGCCTTCTCAGTCTTACCCTCCTGTCCCAGACAACTGTCCTCCAGATCTGTCACTATCCAAGGGGTCCAAGAACAGACAGTCACTAGATACTTCTCCCAGCCACTAAGTTGTGACTGGGGAACTTTACTCTTTTCACATGTCTTTCTAATTATGCCTGAAAGCCCCACTCCTTTGTTAGGGAGAGACATCCTAGCAAAAGCAGGGGCCATTATACACTAGAATTAGGAGAAGGAAAAAGGGTAAATATATATACAGACTCTAACTATGCTTACCTAGTCCTCCATGCCCACACAGCAATATGGAGAGAAAGGGAATTCCTAACTTCTGAGGGAACACCTATCAAACATCAGGAAGCCATTAGGCCCCAAAATTCTCCTTACCTCTGAATATACTTCCTCCAATTCCTGCCTAAAGATAATTTTATGGGGAAGAGCATTTGCTTGTGTCTCTCCAGGTGACAATCAGGTGCCTATGTGGGTGCCCACCAAACATCTGAAGATCTATCATGAGCCACAGCATATAGTGGACCCAAACTGAAGGTTTGAAAAGCCTCAATTTCCTTTCCCTCTGCCTTCTGTTAGAAGGTGCCTGTTTCTCATTATCAGTGGCCTCCTGGCTACAGACACAAAAGTTTTTGCTTCTGTTTCAGTAGATTTACTAACATGGAGGTGAGGGTATGCTTGTGTTTTTGCAGGAGATAAATGAACCATGTGGATGCCCTCAAGATGTGCATGACCATGGAATGGGAGACTGGAGGGACACTTGGATTAAAACCTTGGACCGGGTTCGCCCAGTATGAGCCATGAGCCAGCTGAACCTGAATGCAAAGAAGGAATGAAGACCGACTAGAGTCATGCATGCTTAATGGACCAATGCGTCCTGACTCAGCTCTTTTCTACCTGAATACAAGAGACCCTAATAGTTAGGCAGGAATATCATCACCTCTATTCAGCATGAAGTTACAGAAGATAGACCTTCATCCTTCTGTAACCCCTAGGATTAAGGGTCCTCTTGTAAAAGGGAAAGGGGAGATATGTGGGAAGCATTCAAACCAGAGTGACTCCAGTTTGAATAAGGGCTAAGAAAAATGAAGCTGGATGACCAACTGGCAATTCAAGCCTTCACAGCCTGCAATTGCCTTCTCAATTAAAAGAGGCCAACTTTTATGCTACTAATTACGATATCTAGTAATAATGATAGTAATAATGACATTTCTCTTTTACAAAAAAGAGAAAGGGGGCATGTTGGGAAAAAGCTGAATATTGGGAAGAAAACTGAGGCAGGGCTTGCATGTCTGACATAATGTCCTCTGGAATGTGTCTAGACTTTCTGGCTCCTTGCTTCTAGCCTTCCTAGTCTCCTAGATCCATTGTATTCCCATTATCACAAGTAGCAGAACACGTTCCTTATAAATGCTAAACTATCACAGCTGTTCATCATGCACCTGCCCTTTTGACCTCCTCATTCTCACCACCTGTTCCTTTGTTGGATTACCAATAAATAGCATGGGCTCCCAGAGCTCAGGAACTTTGCAGCCTCCACAGTCGCGATGGCCCCCTGCTCCCACTTTACTTCTCAAATTGTCTTTTTCTCAATCCTTTGACTCTGCCGGACTTCATTACCCCCACCACCTGGTGTTGGGCCTGATAACCCCAACATTTCTATGCCTTTCTCATATCCAGGAGAGACTGAGAATCTGACAACTTTAAAAGTCTGAAAAGAAACATTTACCATCTATTCTCTCTGAAGGAGTCTTCATGTACCTAACAAGGCCAGCTTTGCTAGCTAATATTCTTCTTTTCTCTCTCTCTTAACCTTTCTTGCCACTCAACCTGATTTACCAACATAACCTGTTTCTGGCCATGCTCTCAGTCTGCATTCTTTACTGTAGCCTCAGGATGGTAATGTAAACCAAAAATGAAATTTTAAGCAGCCCCAGCCAACAGAATGGACCCCTCCTCTCAGTCAATTGCATTCCAAAGTTATCCTAAGACAAGAGGTCAGGCCATGATGGAAATGGGTGGTTGGATGTACCTCATTATACCCTCCTTCCTTTGGAATTCAGGCAAAACTAACCAGCATTAACATTAAAACAGAGACCTTAAGATAATTTATTATCTCTGAAGCCTGCACCTGGAAGCTTCATCTGCATAATAAAAACTTTTATTTCTACAATCCTTTATCCTAACCCTCTCTTTTATTGATTCCAGGTCTTTAGATAAACTCAACCAACTGCCAATCAGAAAATCCTTCTATGACCTGGAAGCCTCTGCTTTGAGTTGTTCCACCTTTCTGGACCAAACCAATATACACCTTACGTGTATTAATTGATGTCTTATGTTTCCCTAAAAATATAAAACCAAGCTGTAGACCAATCACCTTGGGCACATGTTCTCAAGATCTGCTGAGGCTGTGTCACAGGCATGTCTTTAACCTTGGCAAAATAACCTCTAAATTGATTGAGACTTATCTCAGTATTGGTTTGTAGTATGAAAATTTCTGTAAATCCTCGAGAAGTTGGGGTTTCATTCTGAAGGCTCCCATGTATACATGTTAAATAAATTTGCAATCTTTCTCTCCTGTTAATCAATCTGGCTCATGTCAGTGATTTTATAGTGAACCTTTAGGGGTCCAAGAGCCTATGGCCCTCACAGAATGTTGGTAGTGAGGACAAAGCTCTGTTTTATTTTATTTTATTTTATTTTAATCTTGCCCAAATTCCTACCTAAAGGGTCTAGGGAGTCATGCCCTACAAACCATAAATTCTCATCAGATGGGTTTTATTTAACCCTTTATATCATGACTTACTTTCCAATCTGACTCTGGCATACCATTATGAGACAAGGAAGAAAATCAAAATATTTTACCCCTGAACATATTTCTCTGCCATATCTTGAAACTGCCCTGCAAAGTCCCTTGTGGGAAAAGTCCACATTCTATAGAGAATCCCCTTTCCCATTTGTTTTCCTTCTTTCCTTTCCAGATCCAGGAGATAATAAACTAAGAGCCAGGCACTCTTTTAAATCCAGTAAGAAGCATTTTACAACCTGTTCTCTCTCTCTCTCTCTGATGTCTGGTATCTGACAGATTCCTCTGCACAATAAAACTTGGTCTCCACAAACCTTTATCTTAACCTGAACTTTTCCTTTGATCCCAGGTCTTCAGATAAACTTAACCAATTGTCAATGAGAAAATGTTTAAATTTACCTATAGCCCGGAAGCCCCCACTTTGAGTTGTCCTGCCTTTCTGAACCAAACCAATGTATTTCTTAAATGTATTTGATTGATGTCTCATGCCTCCCTCAAATATACAAAACCAAGCTGCATCCTGACCACCTTGGGCGTATGTTCTCAGGACCTCCTGAGGGCTGTGTCACAGGCCATGGTCGCTCATATTTAGCTCAGAATAAATCTTTAAACATATTTTACAGAGATTCACTCTTTGTCAACAATAGTTTGGTGCCCAAACACGTGGGGCCTCAGAGAAGACTCAGGACCTTGAAGGAGTTGCCCAAACTTGGAGCTAAGGTACCAGCAGGGCCCACTGAAGCCTATTCTTTTGAGCTTCTCCTCTGGTGGAACTGGTAAGTCCTCCTGAACCCCAGACTTCCCTTTGGTTGACAGTCCTTGATT
This sequence comes from Homo sapiens, assembly GCF_000001405.40. Taxonomy (NCBI): domain Eukaryota; kingdom Metazoa; phylum Chordata; class Mammalia; order Primates; family Hominidae; genus Homo; species Homo sapiens. The sequence goes on from NC_000016.10 coordinate 20,650,128, forward strand.
TATTCTGAGTTGGTTTTCTCCTAGGTAGTTGTTGTTTCAGGATCCTTATTCTAGTTCCGAGATGCATTCTAAATGGAATTCTCTCCTGCATTTTCTGCTAAAATTTATCTTGATTTGGTTCATCTCAGTGCATTTGCATGAGGAACTGAAGTGTCGTTTTCACAGATAAATGAGAGACTGAGTTTTTCTGCTCCAAAGAGAAAGGTCATTTGCTTCTCCTAGTCAAAAAGGTGCCCCTGGGTGATCAGGGGACTCGTGGGAGTGTCTGGGAGCTTGACCCCCCACAACGTGCAGCGGCCCTACAGGGAAATCCCCAACAAAAATTAATTTAAAATTGCTCATCCAGGAAGTGCATATAAAGGCTGATTACCCAGCATTTTGAGCCCTCTCAGAGGTCATAGACCTCTGGAGAGAGAAACCCAGACACCTAGGAGGTGGGAAGGACTCTGTAGTGATACACGGTGGAGTCCTGCCCACAAGCAGCATGCACTGATCCACCACACAAAAGCCCTAGGCTACAGCTCAGTTCCTCCTCTTAAGAAAAAAAAAAAAAGCAGGAAACAAAATCTAAGAATAAGGAGTAAACAAGGAGAATGAGAATGACCCTCTTTTGGGCACTCTGTAGGTTTTATGGCACCTCCACTTGCCAGAGTTTATATAAAATGGAAGTAATATGGTCTTTGTGCACATTTACATTAAGGAAGAAGATTCCTAAGGTCGACCTGCAGACTATAGAGTACATAGCTTCTATTTTCTTGTCTGCCTGCTTTAAAGCTGCTGTTACTTTTCTACTGAGATAAAAACCACCATTTGGATCTAACCGCTTTTTGCAAGCTGGCAAAGTTGTATTTATCCCATGGCTAAAGTACTGAAGTAATAGCTATGGGAACTTTTTGTGTGTGTGTGCATGTGTGTGCCTATTTAAAGCCTTCTATAATTTTATGTTCAATTGGCAGTTGAATTAATTTCCCTCTAGCATACCAGACTTTCTCTTCATACCTTATGATGTAAATTTTGCTATCTGATTTCACCTGAGTTGCCTTTAATATGCAAATTTAAGACGATTTAGCTGACAACTGCCTAGGGTAAGATTTTTTTAAATGGCAAAAACAAAAAGATCTTTATGAGTCTATGTGATGTGCTTCTACCAGCATGCCTAATACATGTATATATTTATGTGTGTGTATACAATATTTTCATGACTAAAAATATATGAAGAGGCTGGGCCCAGTGGCTCATGCCTGCAATCCCAGCACTTCAGGAGGCCGAGGTGGGCACATTACCTGAGGTCAGGACTTCAAGACCAGCTTGGTCAACACAGTGAATCCCCATCTCTACTAAAAGTACAAAAATTAGCTGGGCATGGTGGCACATGCCTGCAATCCCAGCTACTCCAGAGGCTGAGGCAGGAGAACTGCTTAAGCCCGGGAGACGGAGGTTGCAGTGAGCTGAGATTGTGCCACTCTAGCCTGCCTGACTGAGCAAGACTGTCTCAAAAAAACAAATAAATAAAATAAAATAAAATACTATATATATACACACAAACACACATATGAAGAGCTCTAATTAATTGGCTTTAAAAAGTGCTTAAATCAGATACTAAACAAAAAAAACTAGTCAAATGCTTTTTCAAGTTCATGTGACTTAAGTAAAATCTTTACTAAATAAGATTTTATTTTAGTAAGTATCTAGCCAGCTTTAAAATTATTGGTAAAATAATATCAGCAATGTCTTTAGAATTGTTAGAATTTTTTTTGCATCTATTGATCAAATGGTTTCATGTTTATTCCCACAGAATACTATAAAATTTGCCATAAGTGTTATAAACTATAAAATCCAGCCCAAGACAGAGTGATCTTTGATTGTATATGCTTATGAAATATTGTTGGCTTAAATGAAAACAGCTAAATACTGAATTATTGGTATAAATATCCTTAAAACTAACCATAAGTTTTATTACTTAAGTAAACACCTCAAATTCACAGCTATAAAAATCGTTAATAGAAAAATAACTTAAAATATTGGCTATCAATTTTTTGCAAATAACCTAGGTAAACTACTAAATTAATCAGGTACATGTAATGGAATAAATGCTTGTAAACACACTTGTCATAATTTAGGATTTAAGGTTATTATTTGATATTAAGTTTCTGGGTAATTTCCAATTTAAGAAATTTTTTAACATTCTTATTAAGGTAAAATATCTTTGTCTAATTAAAACCTTATTTAAGGGTTATATATGAAACAAGGGAAACCAGGAAATAAGAGCAATATAAAGAAAGTTATAAAAATAAAGAGGTATTTTTGACAAAAAAATTTAAAAAGTCTTAAAGAAAAGATATTTTATATAAGAAAGAATCTTGTATGGTAAATTTTTGTCCTAAAATAAAAATGATGGGATTACACAAGAAAGAGGGATATTTAAAAAAATGATAAAGGGGATATCACCGCTGATACCACAGAAATACAAACTACCGTCAGAGAATACTATAAACACCTCTACACAAATAAACTAGAAAATCTAGAAGAAATGGATAAACTCCTGGACACAAACACCCTCCCAAGACTAAATCAGGAAGAAGTTGAATCCCTGAATAGACCAATAACAGGCTCTGAAATTGAGGCAATAAATAATAGCCTACCAACCAAAAAAGGCCCAGGACCAGATAGATTCACAGCCGAATTCTGCCAGAGGTACAAGGAGGAGCTGGTACCATTCCTTCTGAAACTATTCCAATCAATAGAAAAAGAGGGAATCCTCCCTAACTCTTTTTATGAGGCCAACATCATCCTGATACCAAAGCCTGGCAGAGACACAACCAAAAAAGAGAATTTTAGACCAATATCCCTGATGAACATCGATGTAAAAATGCTGAAGAAAATACTGGCAAACTGAATCCAGCAACACATCAAAAAGCTTATCCACCATGATCAGGTGGGCTTCATCCCTGGGATGCAAGGCTGGTTCAACATATGCAAATCTATAAACAAAATCCAGCATATAAACAGAAACAAATATAAAAACCACATGATTATCTCAATAGATGCAGAAAAGGCCTTTGACAAAATTCAACAGCCCCTCATGTTAAAAACTCTCAATAAATTAGGTATTGATGGGACATATCTCAAAATAATAAGAGCTATTTATGACAAACCCACAGCAAATATCATACTGAATGGGCAAAAACTGGAAGCATTCCCTTTGAAAACTGGCACAAGACAGGGATGCCCTCTCTTACCACTCCTATTCAACATAGTGTTGGAAGTTCTGGCCAGGGCAATCAGGCAGGAGAAAGAAATGAAGGCTATTCAATTAGGAAAAGAGGAAGTCAAATTGACCCTGTTTGCAGATGACATGATTGTATATTTAAAAAACCCCATCGTCTCAGCCCAAAATCTCCTTAAGCTGATAAGCAACTTCAGCAAAATCTCAGGATACAAAATCAATGTGCAAAAATCACAAGCATTCTTATACACCAATAATAGACAAACAGAGAGCCAAATCATGAGTGAACTCCCATTCACAATTGCTTCAAAGAGAATAAAATACCTAGGAATCCAACTTACAAGGGATGTGAAGGACCTCTTCAAGGAGAACTATAAACCACTGCTCAACAAAATAAAAGAGGACACAAACAAATGGAAGAACATTCCATGCTCATGAGTAGGAAGAATCAATATCGTGAAAATGGCCATACTGCCCAAGGTAATTTATAGATTCAATGCCATCCCCATCAAGCTACCAATGACTTTCTTCACAGAATTGGAAAAAACTACTTTAAAGTTCATATGGAACCAAAAAAGAGCCTGCATTGTCAAGGCAATCCTAAGCCAAAACAACAAAGGTGGAGGCATCGCGCTACCTGACTTCAAACGATACCACAAGGCTACAGTAACCAAAACAGCATGGTACTGTTACCAAAACAGACATATAGACCAATGGAACAGAATACAGCCCTCAGAAATAATACCAAACATCTACAACCATCTGATCTTTGACAAATCTGACAAAAACAAGAAATGGGGAAAGGATTCCCTGTTTAATAAATGGCTCTGGGATAACTGGCTAGCCATATGTAGAAAGCTGAAACTGGATCCCTTCCCCTTATACAAAAGTTAATTGAAGATGGATTAAAGACTGAAATGTTAGACCTAAAACCATAAAAACCCTAGAAGAAAACCTAGGCAATACCATTCAGGACACAGGCATGGGCAAGGACTTCATGTCTAAAACACCAAAAGCAATGGCAACAAAAACCAAAATCGACAAATGGGATCTATTTAAACTAAAGAGCTTCTGCACAAAAAAAGAAACTACCATCAGAGTGAACAGTTAACCTACAGAATGGGAGAAAATTTTTGCCATCTACTCATCTGACAAAGGGCTAATATCCAGAATCTACAAACAACTCAAACAAATTTACAAGAAAACAACAAAAAACCCCATCAAAAAGTGGGCGAAGGATATGAACAGACATTTCTCAAAAGAAGACATTTATGCAGCCAACAGACACATGAAAAAATGCTCATCATCACTGGCCATCAGAGAACTGCAAATCAAAACCACAATGAGATACCATCTCACACCAGTTAGAATGGCGATCATTAAAAAGTCAGGAAACAGGTGCTAGAGAGGATGTGGAGAAATAGGAACACTTTTACACTGTTGGTGGGACTGTAAATTAGTTCAATCATTGTGGAAGACAGTGTGGCAATTCCTCAAGGATCTAGAACTAGAAATACCATTTGACCCAGCAATCCCATTACTGGGTATATACCCAAAGGATTATAAATCATGCTGCTATAAAGACACATGCACACGTATGTTTATTGTGGCACTATTCACAATAGCAAAGACTTGGAACCAACCCAAATGTCCAAAAATGATAGACTGGATTAAGAAAATGTGGCACATATACACCATGGAATACTATGCAGCCATAAAAAATGATGAGTTCATGTCCTTTCTAGGGACGTGGATGAAGCTGGAAACCATCATTCTCAGCAAACTATCACAAGGACAAAAAACCAAACACTGCATGTTCTCCCTCATAGGTGGGAATTGAACAATGAGAATACATGGACACAGGAAAGGGAACATCACACACCAGGGCCTGTTGTGGGGTGGGGGGAGGGGGGAGGGAGCACATTAGGAGATATACCTAATGTAGATGACGAGTTAATGGGTGCAGCACAGCAACATGGCACATGTATACATATGTAACAAACCTGTACGTTGTGCACATGTACCCTAGAACTTAAAGTATAATAAAAAATAAAATAAAATAAAATAAAAAAAGAAAGAGGGATATTTAAGATAAAACAGTCTGAACGCTTGTGAATGAACTATGTAAGTCATAATAACATTAATAAAATAAATTTTTAAAGGAGTTGTGTAATTTAGTTGTCTATAACTAAAAATAAATCATGATAATCTTTCTAGAGATGGGTCTTTAATATTTTTAAAAATGCAGTAGTACAAAACTAATTGGTTAAAGCAAGATTTTATTACAAATATTGTCTTATTATTTTATTTTGTTTTGTTTTGTTTTTGAGATGGAGTCTCACTCTGTCACCCAGGCTGGAGTGCAGTGGCATGATCTCAGCTCACTGCAACCTCCAGCTCCTGGGTTCAAGCAATTCTCCTGCCTCAGCCTCCTGAGTAACTGGGACTATAGGTAGGCACCACCACCCCTGGCTAATTTTTCTATTTTTAGTAGACATGGAGTTTCATCATATTGGCCAGGCTGGTCTCGAACTCCTGACCTTGTGATCCGCACACCTCAGCCTCCCAAAATGTCAGTATTACAGGCATGAGTCACTGTGCCTGGCTGACTTATTTTTAATGCAAGAAGTTTTTAAATTTTTAATTGTTTCTTTAACATTCTTCAGGTTGATATCTTAAAAGTGCTACTCTTTCTCTGTTGAAAAGGCTTTGAAGGACGGCTCTTTCCTTCACCTTTTGTTGGCTCCTGTAACTTTTACTAGTTATATAAAGTAAGGGAGAAAAATTGTTTTTGAAAACAGGCAAGTGAAGTAACTTTTGAGCATGTCTTTTATTCTGCATGCCTGTTATATCTCTATATTTATATGTGTCATGTGGAAGTGATATTTCACTTCCAAACTACATGAAAGAGTTCTAATCAACTAACTTTAAAAAATGTTAAGTGCCTGTCAGATTGGCAAAAACTAGCTCAGATGCCCTTTTAATTTACATAACCTTGATAATCTGTGGTAAAAATTTAATTTGGTAAATTTAATCTCAAAATTCTCCAGTAATTTAAAAATCTTAAAGTCATGATTTAACCCTCGGGTTTTGCACCCCACCCCACCGAGTGGAAATTTGGGTGACTAAAAAGTTAAAATAATAGAAGCACAAAATATGCAGCATTTGTTAACATTTTATAAACACAAAGATGTCAATTCTCAAAAAATGTAAATTTCTTTTTGGTTAAGAAACATTTAAGAGTTGCTTTATAATGAAGGATAGTAACTCTCCTAACTGTCAAACTATGAATGTTATTTATCTTTCCTTGTTTACTTCAAGGAAGCCAATATGATGGTACTCTGAAGACCATATGAAACTCATTTGACATCCCGCTGGGCCTGGATCTGTTTCACTGCAAATGCTCTGCTGCCAAAACTATACAAGTTGCTCCCTCTGGGCCCAGGAACTATCACGGAAGAGGTGGGCATGTAAGATTGTAAGGGCCAGCTTTGAGGGATAAAATTAGAACAAGACCAAACCCTCCAAATCAAGAAGAGGTTACAAAAAAAAAAAAAATGCCTAAACAGCTGGTAAAACAAGTTTAGTTGTCTTCTAAACTATTATGTGTCACTTTTGCATACATCCCAACCACAAACATTTTCTGCTTCCTATAAAATTAAAAAATATATATATTTACTAATAGGATAAAGTACCTTGTAACAAACCCTCCTGGGTATAATACTGCCAGTTATAAGTTGTGAAGATAAATATGTCTATACATATATACATATTTTAAATTATTTTTCAGAACAATGCTTATATTTTGAGTAGCTAATTGCTGTAAGTATGTAACAGAAACTAAGCTTACAGTAACTCAACACATAAAAGTTAAAAAGAAGCCAGTCTTGTAACTTTGCCTTTTGGTTCTATTGTTGGGTTTGTTTTTTTGGGTTTGTTTTTTTGGTTTTGTTTTTTGTTTTTTGTTTTTTTCACACAGAGTCTCTCTCTTGTCACCCAGGCTGGAGTGCAGCAGTGCGATCTCAGCTCACTGCAACCTCTGCCTCCTGTGTTCAAGCAATTTTCCTGCCTCAGCCTCCTGAGTAGCTGGGATTACAGGTGCCCACGACCACGCCCAGCTAACTTTTATACTTTTAATAGAGACAGGGTTTCACAATGTTGGCCAGGCTGGTCTCAAACTCCTGACCTCAGGTGATCCACCCACCTCGGCCTCCCAAAGTGCTGGGATTACAGGCATAAGCCACTGTGCCCAATGTTTTTTTTTTTATTATACCTTAAGTTTTAGGGTACATGTGCACAACGTGCAGGTTTGTTACATATGGATACATGTGCCACGATGGTGTGCTGCACCCATTAACTCATCATTTAGCATTAGGTATATCTCCTAATGTTATCCCTCCCCCCTCCCGCCACCCCACAACAGGCTCTGATGTGTGATGTTCCCTTTCCTGTGTCCATGTGTTCTCATTGTTCAACTCCCACCTATGAGGGAGAACATGCAGTGTTTGGTTTTTTGTCCTTGTGATAGTTTGCTGAGAATGATGGTTTCCAGCCTCATCTATGTCCCTGCAAACGTCATGAACTCATCATTTTTTGTGGCTGCATAGTATTCCATGGTGTATATGTGCCACATTTTCATAATCCAGTCTATCATTTTTGGACATTTGGGTTGGTTCCAAGTCTTTGCTATTGTGAATAGTGCCACAATAAAGATACATGTGCATGTGTCTTTATAGCAGCATGATTTACAATCCTTTGGGTATATAACCAGTAATGGGATTGCTGGGTCAAATGGTATTTCTAGTTCTAGATCCTTGAGGAATCATCACACTGTCTTCCAAAATGGTTGAACTAATTTACAGTCCCACCAACAGTGTAAAAGTGTTCCTATTTCTCCACATCCTCTCTAGCACCTGTTGTTTCCTGACTTTTTAATGATCGCCATTCTAACTGGTGTGAGATGGTATTTCATTGTGGTTTTGATTTGCAGTTCTCTGATGGCCAGTGATGATGAGCATTTTTTCATGTGTCTGTTGGCTGCATAAATGTCTTCTCTTGAGAAGTGTCTGTTCATATCCTTCACCCACTTTTTGATGGGGTTGTTCTTTTTTTTTTGACTTAAAATCATTTCTAGAAGTAATCAATGCCTGTCCACATCCATTCCTATCTGGCCTAGAACAATTAATTGGCTATAAGTCTTTTGACTTTTAAGGTCTTCAGCCATGGGCAGTCCTGCCAAGGAAAAAATGACGGTGCAGAATTATGACTTCTCCTGTGACAAAACCTTTTCTCTCCCAAATACCAGTATATGGTGCAATACAAAAGTGGTGGGAAGAATAGATTCGTCTATATTAACAAGGCTATAAGAATTTAGATATTGAGGAACAGGTGTTTCTTGCATTTAATTTACACCCTCCTCAGGATGCTATACCTATGGAGACAAATTGGCCGGAAAAGAGATTAAATTTATTAAATTCCAATTTAATGTTGGTCCCGTAATTTCCAAATAAGATTTATCAGAGGGTTGAAATAACCCTTAATAAGTAAGGTAACCACATTGTGAGTCTGATCAAAGAATATGATGATGTATGCAGTGTTTATTCTGGCTGAAATATTCTTTCTGCTCTCTGATGCCACCTATAACCTTGGATACCCAAATCTTCACTATCTTTATGATAGACATTTTCTTGTAAATGTTATGCCAGATACAGCAAAAGGGAAAGGCACAATTAAAGACTCAGATCATGATAACTCAGAACATAGATCTGATCTGGGATTTTTTTGTAAAAGACTAAACCCTAAGCCTGACTCCATCTCACCCCTTAAACTCCAGGTCTTCCCCCCATTATCCAAAACGCTAGTGTTTAAAACTATTACCATCAAATCAGAGGACTCTAGGAACAAGCTTTCCTAGCACTGTGGGACCCTGCCAGATGGCCAAATCAGACAACTCTAGGAATGAGTCTTCCTAGTGCCATGGGACCTGCTGCTGTTTGTTGGCCTACATGTGCATTCTATGGAATGCTTTTTGGCCAAGAGCGGGGACTGAGGACTGAGCTCTGATTTTTACAATCTTGCCCAAATTCCTATCTAAGGTGCCTGGGGAGTCATACCTTACAAACCATAAATTCTCATCAGATGGGTTTTATTTAACCCTGTATATTGTGACTTAACTTTCCAATCTGACTCTGGCATAACATTACGAGACAAGGAAGAAAATCAAAATATTGTACCCCAAAACATGTTTCTCCGCCATATCTTGAAATTGCCCTGCAAAGTCTCTTGTGGGAAAAGTCCACATTCTATAGAGAATCCACTTTCCCCTTCATTTTCCTTCCTTCCTTTCCATATCCAGGAGATAATCAACTAAGAACCAGGCACCCCTTTTAAGTCCGATAAGACACATTTTACAACCTTTCTCTCTGAAGTCTGCTATCTGAGAGTTTCCTCTGCACAATAAAACTTGGTTTCCACAATCCTTTCTCTTAACCTGAACATTTCCTTTGATCCCAGGTCTTCAGATAAACTAATCATCAATGACAAAATGTTTAAATTTACCTATAACCTGAAAGACCCCGCTTTGCATTGTCCTGCCTTTCTGAACCAAACCAATGTGTTTCTTAAATGTATTTGATTGATGTCTCACGCCTCCCTAAAATATATAAAACCAAGATGCATCCTGACCACCTTGGGCACATGTTCTCAGGACCTCCTGAGGGCTGTGTCATGGGTCATGGTCACTCATATTTAGCTCAGAATAAATCTCTAAAAATATTTTCCAGAGTTTCACTTTTTTCATCAACAGTAGTAGTTTCCTATGTACAGCATGTGATATAAAGTCTCTTGTCCCTTTTTCCCATGAAATTTTCCCAAAGAATACAAAAACAATCACAAAATAATAATTAGATTCCCTGAAGAAAATGGAGAAAAGTGATGGAAGTTTGAAAGCCAGCTGGATGCATCTAGCATGAGGCTCAGCCCAGCCAGCTCTTGGTGATGAGGAAAGTGGCACCATCTAGACCACTTTTCCACCTCACTACCCTCTCCTGATACAGACAGGGTCAAGAGTGAGGATAGGAGGGTTGTGTTCACTGAGGATCTCTTCCTCATTCTTTTGAAGCTAAACCAAAGTACATAAAGTGGGCAGAGTCTCAGATGGAATCATTAGTTATGCCATGATAAGATGTGTGCCAAGTTTGGACCAAGGCCATCATGTGAGGAATGTTCCAAAACTTGGCTGTCATATGAGCTTTGAAATACAGATGGAAACAGAATACAGCCAGACTGAAGCTTCATGAGTAAAATCAAATTATAATTCAGAGTTAGCTCTGTAAGGGCAATCATTAAACTCTGATATTTTAACTTTTATGTCTAAAACATATTAGCTCTGATTTTTGAACTAGCCATTTCAATTTCAGAGTCCCTAAAAGATACATAAATATCCATAAGTTTCAAAGAGTGTGTTTTGGTTTAGCTTAAAATTAATTCTCAAACATAGGAAGATGCAAAAATAAAGTTGTATTAAGATAACACCACACACCCACCAGCCTGGCAAAAATTAATAAGTCTGACAATACCAAATGTTGGCAGGAACATGGAACAATGGAAATTCTCCTGCCCTGCTTATATAAAGAAGCATAAATTGGTTTGGAAGATAGTATGGTATTGTGTTGTATCAGTGTGACCCGCAATTCCTCTCCTTGAAAAACTCTACAGAAATGCATGCTTGTACACACCAGGGTGCATGTCCTAGGATTCTATGTAGCATTAAACATCAATAGCCTCAAAGCGAAAACTACAGAAATGTCCATTAATGGTAGGACTGGTATAAGAAATTGTGGTATTTTCATAAAATAGGATGCTGCACACAATTAAGATAAACTACAGCAATATGCAACAACAGGGACACATCTTAGAAACACAATTATTATATAATAATGTAGCATTACCTGTTTAAAATTCGAACACATGTAAAATAAAATTTTGGTTAGGGATAGTTCCTTAGGAGGTAAATTATAAAGGCAAGTAAGGAATTAACAACATAAAGGTCAAGATAGTTGTTTCCTTTAAGGGAGATGGAAGTCTCTGAGGTACTGGCAATGTTATGTTTTTTTGACTTGGTGAGTGGGTTACACAGATATTTTAATTTCAATAATTTATTAATCTGTAAATTTCTGTCTTATGCATTTTCTGTACAATTGTTATTTTACAACTGAAATGTTTAAAAAGGAATCAACCCACAATCATGCAAGGCTCACTGAGTTTCCTTTGGATCTCTGGATTTGCTTTAACTAATTAACTTTTGATCATCATCGCCACCAACACTTAACACACAAACACACACACACTCCTCAAAGAACCAGAAGAAAAACAGACCATGATGTATCAGATTCCTTAAAATCTTACCCAAAGATGTTGTTACAAGCCACTTCTACCATACCTGGTGAAATCCTGCTGCAGAATCATTCGATATATAGATGATACCCCCCAAAAGTGGTTAATGGGGTATTTCAACAATGTCTGGAAAGGGAAGAGAGAAGAAATTTTATTTTTACAGTTAAGGTTAAACTAACAGCCAATTATTAGCAGTCTAGTTCTGACCTTCCCACTAGAAGAGCCCATTTGTTAATTTCTTAATCCTTTAAATACACACATACTGAGCATGGATTTCATACATGGTATGCATCAGGTACTGTTGGGGAAATACAAAAACGCAGATAACGTTCCAACTCCTATGGTGAGTAGCCACTAATAGGATAAAACAGGACTCGAATGATAAGGCAGAAGTGGGTAGATGTCATAAGAAATACTTGAAGTACAAAAGTTCTGTAGGAACACAGGAGAGGGAAATACTCTTTCTAGTTGTGTGTCCCAGGGGCTTGATGGAAGAGGTGGTATTTAGTCAGGACATTAGCAAATAGATATGGTGTCTACAGGCAGGGAGAGTGGGAGTCTCTTGGAGATAGATGAAATAACAAGAAATAGGGTCTCAGGAGCTAAAGAAACATTTCAGTCAAGTCAAATAATATGATTTATTTAGACCCACTAGAGAGGAGCAAGAATTAAATTTAGGAAGATAAGGTAAGTTGGAGCCAGGTTATTTAGACTCTAAAATGTTTGGTACTCATGATTAATTGGCTGGATGTGTTTTCTTTCCGAGTTTCAGATCAGGGTGGAGATACACTAAGAGAGTGAAGAACAGTAAAGAGAAGAGAAAGTGGGTTTGGGTATCTTAATTTAAATCCTGTTACTTAATTTGTCTGTAATTCAATTTCCTTATCTGTAAAATGGGAACGTCCATATATTCCATTTAGAATCATGATGAAATATAATTGTCATTTGTGGACAAATCTAGCTCTACTTCCAGTCCCTCCCTTCATAAAGACCCAATCAGCTTTCAATCTCTAGCCTCTATCTCTTTAATATCTCACATTTATATATGCTTTTAAAATTTTTGTCCTACTCTCACCCCTGGCCCACTGCCCCTACCCCAACAGGTGTCTTTACATGTCTGTGAAAGTCTCAGGCCCACTCCAGCAATGTCTGTGTCAGTAACCTCACCCCAGGCACAGTGAGTTGGATTGCTGACTTGGTGACAGACAATTGCCTTAGGCTGTGTTGGTAGAAGAGCTGAGGCAGGACTGGCTTCTCTGTCATGATGTAAAAGAGTCTTGGAACATGTCCTGGGTCCAGGGCCTAAACCCCCTTGTGGCCTTTGGGACACCAATCTCTGTGCCAAAGGGTGGAAGGCTGCCCTGCCGCACCATAATCTAAGCCCAGGGCATAAAACCCCTTGTGGCCTCTGGAATGTGCACAGACTTGTTGGCTACTCTCCCAGGCTCATAAATATGTTCTCCATTATCTCAGGTAGCAGAGCATATTACATATGCATCAAAGAAAATGCTAAACCGTCACAGTTATGCTTGATGCACTGCTACTTTTCTACCCCCATGTCCTCCCATCCTCACCTCTTTACCCCCACATCCGCATGTCCTCACCACCTGCTTCTTTGTTTGATCACCAATAAATAGTGTGGGCTCCCAGAGCTTGGGGTCTTCACAGCCTCCATACCAGTGTTGGTCCCCTGGACCCACCTTATGCACTCTTAACTTGTCTTTTCTGATTCCTTTGACTCCGCCGGACTTTGTAGCCTCCACGGCCTTGTGTTGGGTCTGATCACCCCAACATTCTGGACCACTCACTCAGCCTCTAGTTGACCTGGACTGGTTATCTGGGAAGGGGGAATGTCGCCCTGAAATGCTGTGATTGCTATGTTTGACTATGTGCATGTGAAGTAGCAAAAGTGTTTCTACAAACAGAAACAAGGAAGCACATCTATAGAGAAAAGCAGAGGAGACACTGAAGCTGCCTTAATTGCTGGTATCTTTCTACTTTCTGTTTTAGATCTTTATCAAGCTCATATTGCTCTTCTCCTACAGAATAATGAGCTATTCTAGTTCCCCCTTCCGTGTATTTCTTTTTCCACTAAGCTACGTTGAAGTAGGCTTCTGTTACTGGCAGCCAAGGGAGCTCTGCTTAGTAGGTAAGAATTAGACATCATAGGTGTCTAAGGCCTTTCCCAGAAATTGGCACTTAGTAGGTGTTCATCAAATGTGGGCTCTGGCTATTATCATGTAAGTTGTAATCTATGACTACTCCTGGTGCTTTGCAGCTTTCAGTAGGGGTGTGGAACGGAGATCAGCAGACTCTTGCAACAGATTTGGCAAGGACTAAGTTGACAGGGGTGGGTAGAGAGGAAATAGAAGGAATGTTTTGTTTTACTAAATTGAATAGTATTTATTTATTTATTTATTTATTTATTTTTGGTCTAAATGCCCCCTTTAAAAGGCAGAGTGGGAAGATGGATACAAAGAAAATACCCAACTGTCTTCTGTCTTCATGAGACCCATCTCACAAGTAATGATGCCCACAGGCTCTAAGCAAAGAAATGGAGAAATATCTGCCACACAAATGAAAAACAGAAAAGAGCAGGAGTCCTTATTCTTATATCAGATAAAAACAGACTTTAAACCAGCAATGATTAGGAAGGACAAAGGAGGGCATTATATAATGATAAATGGTTCAGTTCGACAAGAAGACTTAACCGTCCTGAATATATGCACACCAAATGTTGGAACACCTAGATTTATAAGGTGAGTTCTTCTTGACCTATAAAAAGATTTTGCCAAACAAAAATAGTGGGGGACTTCAACAACACACTGAAAATGTTAGACACATGATTGAGACAGAAAACTAACAAAGAAATTATGGACTTAAACTCAACATTTGACCAATTGGACCTAATAGACATCCACAGAATAATTTACCTAACAACCACAGAATATACATTCTTCTTGTTCCCACGTGGAACATATTCTAAAATTGACCACAGGTTCAGTCATAAAGCAAGTCTCAATAAATTCAAAAAATCAAAATCTTACCAAAGTACATTGTTAGACCACAGTGCAAGAAAAACAGAAATCAATGTCAACAAGATCACTGAAAACCATATAAAAACATGGAAATTAAACAATTTTCTCCTGAATAACTCTTGGGTGAACAAGAAGTCAAAAAAGTTTCTGAAATTAATGAAAATGAAAATAGAGATACCATCTACCAAAATCGTTGAGATGCACCTGAAGCAATGTTAGAGGAAAGTTTATAGCACTAAATGCCTTCATTAAGAAGTTAGAAAGATCGCTAATTAAGAATCTAATATCACTTCTAGAGGAACTAGGAAAAAAAAGAACAACCAACAAACACCAAAGCTATCAGAAGAAAATAAATAATTAAAATTAAAGAACTGAATGAAATTAAGATGCAAAAGTTTATACAAAATATCAATGAAACTGAGAGCTTGTTTTTCAAAAGAATAAACAATATTGATAGACTGCTAGCTAGATTAACAAAGAAAAAAATGAGAAGATCAAAATAAGCCCAATCGGAAATGACATAGATGACACTATAAATGGTCCCACAGAAATATAAAAGATTCTCAGAGACTATTATGAACACACTGATGCACCTGAATTAGAAAATCTACAGGAAATGGATAAATTCTTGGGAACACACAGCCTCTCAACATTGAACCAGAAAGAAAGTGAAAACCTGAACAGACAAATTACAAGTTCTGAAATTGAATCAGTAATTACTAATCCCAAAAAGCCCTGGACAAGATAGAATCACAGCTGAATTCTAACAGATATACAAAGAACTGGTACCAATCCCTCTGTAACTAATCCAAAAGATTAAGGAGAAGGGACTCCTTTCTAACCATTCTATGAAGCCAGAATGCTTTTGGCACCAAAATATGGCAGAGATACAATGACAAAAGAAAACTCCAGGCCAATATCCCTGATAAACGTAGATGCAAAAATTCTCAACAAAATACTAGTAAACTGAGTCCTGCAGCACATCAAAAAGTTAATTCACCATGATCAAGTAGGCTTTATTCCTGGGATGCAAGGTTGGGTCAACATATGCAGATCAATAAACAGGATTCACCTCTTAAACAGAATAAAAAAGAAAAGCCATATGATCCTCTTAGTAGGTGCAGAAAAAGCTTTCAAAAAATCCAATCTCTCTTCATGATAAAGCCCCTCAAGAAATGAGGCATTGAAAGAACATACCTCTAAATAATAGCCATCTATGACAAGCCCACAGCCAGCATCACACTGACCAGGCAAAAGCTGGAACCATTTCCCATGCGAATTGGAAAAAGTGTAGGATGCCCACTCTCACCACTCCTATTCAACATAGAATTGGAAGTCCTACCCAAAGCAATCAAGCAAGAGAAAGAAATAAAAGATATTCAAATAGAAAAAAAGTCAAACTATCTCTTTTTGCTGACAATATATGATTATATACATTAAAAAACCCTAAAAACTCTACCAAAGGGTTCCTGGAACGGATAAACAACTTCAGTAAAGTTCCAGGATATAAAATCAGTGTACAAAAATTAGCATTTCCATACACCAACAATGTTCTAGCTGACAGTCAAATCAAGAACACAATCTGATTTACAACTACCACTAAAAATGAAATACCTAAGAATACATCTAACCAAGGAGGTGAAAGATGGCTACAAAGAAAACTACAAAACACTGCTGAAAGAAATCAGAGATGACACAAATAAATGGAAAAAGATTCCATGCTCATATATTGGAAGAATCAATATTGTTAACATGACCATATTGCCTAAAGCAATTTATAGATTCAATGCTATGCCTATTAAAATACCAATGTCATTTTTCACAGAATCAGAAAAAACGACTTTAAAACTCATATAGTACCAAAAAGGGCTTGAATACTGAAAAGAACAAAGCTAGAGGCATCACGTTGCCCAACTTCAAACTATGTCATAAGGCTACAGTAACCAAAACAGCATGGTACTGGTACAAAAACAGACAAATACACCAGTGAAACACAATAGAGAAGTCACAGCTATAGCCATATGGTCTTCAACAAAGTGAACAAAAATAAGCAATGGAGAAAGGACTTCCTATTCCATAAATGGTGCTGGGAAAACTGGCTAGCCATATGTAGCAGAATAAACCTGGGCTCCTACCTTTCGCCATATACAAAAATTAACTCAAGATGGAGTAAGGATTTAAATATAAAACATTACACTGTAAATATCCTAGAAGAAAATCTAGGAAATACTCTTCTGGATATTAGCTATGGCAAAGAATTTATGGCTAAGTCCCCAAAACCAATTGCATCAAAACCAAAAATTAACAAGTGGGACCCAATTAAACTAAAGAGCTTCAGCACAGCAAAAGAAATTATCAAGAGAGTAAACAGCTTACAGAGTGGGAGAAAATATTTTCAAACTATGCATCTGACAACATCCAGAATCAAATATCCAGATTCTACAAAGAATTTAAGTTATTTGTAGACTCTTATATGTGATGTCTAATTAGAACTAATATCAGAATCTACAAAGAACACAAATCAACAAGTAAAACCCAAATAATCCAATTAAAAAATGGGCAAAGTACATAAACAGACACTTCTCAAAAGAAGACATGCAAGCATCCAACAAACATATGAAAAAATGCTCAATGTCATTAATCAGAGAAATGCAAATTAAAACCACAGTGAGATACCATCTCACACCTATCAGAATGGTGATTATTAAAAGGTCAAAAACAAATGCTGGTGAGGCTTTGGAAAAAATGGAATGCTTATATACTATTGATAGAAATGCAAATTAGTTTAGCCACTGTGGAAAGCAATTTGAAAATTCCTCAACAAACTTAGAACTACCGTTTGACCCAGCAATCCCATTACTGGGTATATATCCAAAGGAAAATAAATGGTTCTACCAAGAAGACACAGAGGCTCATATGTTATTGGCAGTGCTATTCACAATAGCAAAGACATCAAATTGACCTAGGTGCCCATCAATGGTGGACTGGTATAAAGAAAATGTGCTACATATACACCATGCAATACTACACAGCCATAAAGAAGAATGAAATCATGTCTTTGGCAGCAACATGGATGAAGCTGGAGGCTGTTATCCTAAGTAAATTTATGCAGGAGTAAAAAACCAAACATCATTTTTTTCTCACTTATAAGTGGGAACTAAACATTGAATACACATGGACATAAAGTTGGAAACAATAGATGCTGGGGATAACAATAGACACTATGAGAAGGGAGAGACAGGGAGGGGGTCGTGGGCTGAAAAACTTATTGGGTACTATATGCACTAGCTGGGTCATGAGAATATTCTTACTCCAAACCTCAGAATCATGCAATATACTCATGTAACGAATCTGCACATGCACCCTCTGAATCAAAAATTTAAAAGACTTTTTGTTTTAGTCTTCAATAAGATGGACTAATACAATATCTAAATTAAAAATTATTATGAATAATTCATAAAAATAGTAAGTGGGAAATAGTAATGCAAATGCTTTTTTGGTAAATTTGTAGAATTTTAAACTTTAAGCATTTACTAAGGCTTAAAATACATAAAGACCTTTTGGGACACTCTCTATAGCAGCGGAAGAATTAGGCATGAGGATGGGAAGGGTGGTCAGTCTTGTTTGTGGTGCTTTAAGTCTCAGGTGCAGAATGTGGTACAGAAAATAATGATGGTGACACAGGAGGAGGCATTGATATAGAGGTAGGTAATGAGATATGGGAAGTGCAGTTTGATGTTCTGGAGGAATGATCAGATGGGCTTTACCAACTAGCAGGTTGGAAATGTTTTGCTAGCCTGGGAGAATCAGCTTGGACCGAGAAGACTAGACCCTAGGTACAGTCCTGACAGCCACCTGCATTGATGTGCTTGCTGAGAAAAATGGAGGTGAAGGAAATTGCTTAGAAAGAAGAACAGTAAGGGCAGACCACTGGAGCACTGCAGTATTCAGGAGCAGGCTAGGTGAAGCAGAGGTGGCTGCAGCAAATGGAGGATGTTCTTTGGTGAAGTTTGGTATTAAGGTGGAAAAGATGGGTTGACCCAGTGTGTAGCAGGTTCAAAGGAAGGCATTTTAGGATAAGTACACTGAATATGTTTACGGACTGAGGGTGTAAAACTAGCGAAAAGTGAGAGACTGAAAATACAGGAGAAAATGCATAGTAGATTAAAGATTAATAAAGAAATGCTGTTTATCCAAGGCCAGGAGACAGAACTCTGCAGTGGTTGTGCAGAGCGGGTGGATTTTGAGAGGTGGAGGGCAAGGTCTGCCTCTGAGAGGGAAAGCAAGGGTGTGAGTGGAGACATAAAGAAAATGTTGGGGTGAAGGGACATAGACAGAAAGAATTCATGCAGGTGACTTGAATTGTCATCATGATGTACTCATCATAACAATAGCAGCAGCAGCTCCCACAGATAGAGTGTTTTCTATGTGCTAATGTCAGGGTTAAGTACTTTACACATATCGCCTCTATCATCTCATTAATATTACCTAAGACTTTATGAGGTAGTAATTATTAAAAGACCTATTTTGCAGATAAGGAAACTGATGCTCAGAGTGGTATGTAACCTGCTAGTTAATTTCAAAGGTGGGATAAGAAGCTAGATCTGTCATATTCCAAGGGCTGTTTTTAAACATTTTATCATATTGAGTAAGAAAACACACACACACACACACACACACACACACACACACACACACCCCAGCTGCTTGGCCCTGGCAGCATCAGGGTCCAGGATCTGGGAGACTTGGACTTGTGCTTGCTTTAATTTTTCAAAATGCACATCCTGGGTCCCAAGTCTACAAAGACTGATCTACAGGTCTGAAGGATCGCCCAGTAATACACATTTTCTTCAAGGTCACATTTTGATGTGACTCAGGTATAGTGACTCAGACTCAGTGCATCACACTTTGAGAAGCCCAGGCTCAGGATCATCTTAGGCTCATGGGCTTCTTTGCTTAATAAAATATTTTTTTAGCAAGGTCCAGGAAACATGGATTTTTTTCTGGAATTTTGCTGATAGGGGAAGGTGAGTCTTCTTACCTGTATGATGACCTTGGTGTCAAACTGTGGCAGATGGTGGATAAAGACTGTACAACCCGCTGTCCATGGTTCTACCAGGGTCCAAATGGTAGCCACAATCCATCCTGAGTCCGACAGGCACCAGGAGACATCAGATGTCTTCAGGCTCCGTAATTTCCTACTAACTCCAAAATGCAGTGGCCTCAGCTGTGTGATCATGGCTGATGTGATGAAGGGCTGTGCACTCTGGTTTTTAGCTACGAACCCACCTTTCTCACTCTCAGTTCATGTGATTTGTGTGGGGCTCCATACCACCCTCAGGCCAGGTCTCAAAGGTGTACTGCCAAATATTTCCCAATTACGTACAACTGAAACTGGTTCAATCATGCTACCTCTCTTGAACTGATTCTCCTCCAGTGTTCTCTGTAACCAGACATGTCATCCCTATCCATGAAACTGTCCAAGCCCCAAACTTTGGCATCAACCTTGACCTCCTCCCATCTCCCATGTTTAACCAGCAGATCTGGTCCACTCTATTTCCTGAAATCTCAACTGTGTTAATTTCCATCATATGTCTAGTACCTGATCCATGCCACTACTAGCTTGCACCTGGATTAGACTAGGAGCCTTTAACTGGTCTTCCCTAACTCTATTCTAATTTTCTCCAATCCATCCTGCATCCTGCAGCCATGATGATCTTATCAAAATACAAATTTGATCAGATCTCCTCCTCCCTAAAAAACTTTCAATATCTCCCCGTTGTTTTCCTAATAAAGTCCAAAATCTACTACAAGGTCTGCAAATCCCTGCACGGTCTGAGTCCTGCTCACTTTTCCAATTGTTCCCATTGGTCCTTCACCCTACACCCTGAGCACCAGATATTCCCAAGTCTCTGTAGTTCTATGAATACTACTTTTTATATCTTTGTGTCTTTGCACATATTATTCCACCTGCACAGAAGCTCTCCCTTCTCTCACCTCCATTCCTCCCTGGGTTTTGCTACTCAACTGTCATCATTAGTGTAAATACCCACTGCCCCTCTTCGGGTTAATACAAAAAGACATCTGTGCTCCATATTCTGTTTAATATGTTAATACATTAAAAAATATAAAGAATTTGGTCCATTCTGAATATTACTAGTTGGAGATGAGAAGGCGTAGAGAAGGAGAGGTTTGGTTTGCAGGTGATTAAATAATTAACCCAAGGATAGAGCTTTGCCCTCTTAGAGGTGATGGCTTGGCATAGCTTGGTTCCAGATATTTTCTTCCCTAGAAGTGAATAATTGAGGAACCCTAAGTCTGATTTGCCCATAATAGGGGAGAGGTGAGGCTCTGTCATCTCAGGTCACCCTGCTAGAATATTCTGTCTTTCCCTACAAAATTATGGAACCACTGTCAGGCTTGTCATGTGTGTGGCATCTGGAATGTCTACTGTCTCTACCCACATTTCCTCCACATCTCCTATGAAGATGCTCTGGTAAAACCTAAATGTGCCTCCTTTGTCACTCTCAGGCCTCTGTCAGCAAACATTTAGGATTCCCAGCCTTCACCTCTCAGACCCTGAGAGGTCTGAACAAAAGAGAGTGGAAGGGAAAAGGAGTATGTAGTCACTTCTACTTCCAGTTCCTTTCCCAAGACACACACACACACACACACACACACACACACACACACAAACTTTGCCCACATCTGGGTCCAGCCTCTATGTCGGTGCCCTCTTTCCTACCTTCCTGGGAAGGAGGGTTGTAAGGCCAACCCATGGGAGTGTTTTGCCATCTTGGGGAAGCCTGTGGTCCCACTGGTGAAGAAGATGACCATTGGGTCCAAGGTCTTTGACTTAACACAGGTGTGTTCTGGGGATGCTGATCTGCAAAGGGGTTCAAGACAAAAGGAAAAAAGTCATGATTGCTGTTTCTTCATCTTCTGGGAATGCAAAAGAAACATAAGGCACGGACAGGAAACTGGGAGTTTGCAACACTAGAGGAAAACTGGCTCTCCCGGAGTTAGGCATCACACTGACTTGATGGGTGATTCGGACATGTGGACCAGCATTTTTTTATTTGAAAAATTAGTAAAATACAATGAATCTTAAGTCATTTAATCTTAAGTAATTTAAGTAATGAATCTTAAGTAATTTAATGAATTCATTAAGTAATCTAATGAACATTTGAATAGCACTTGCTATGTTCCAGGCAATGCTCTCAATGAGTTACAAATATGAACCATTCAGTACTCAGAGCAACCCTAGGAGATGAGTACTACTCTAATCATGCCCATTTTGCAGGTAAGGAAACTGAGACTCAGAGAGGTTAGGTAATTTGCTTGGTAATATACAGCTAGCAAATGGCAGAGCCAGGATTCAAACTCAGTCGGCATCCTAGTCTGTGCCCTTAACCAGACTGCTAAGCTTGTTTTTTAAAATTAAACTCTGTGACCTTGGTGATGAGGGGTGGGGAAGAGAAAGAGAGAAAGGGGGAGAGTAAAAAAAATATATTTAGTTGGGCATGCTGGTGGGCGCTTATACTCCCAGCTACTCGGGAGGCTGAGCCAGGAGATTAGTTGTGAACCTGGGAGGCTGAGCTTGCAGTGAGCCGAGATCAAACCACTACACTCCAGCCTGGGTGACAGAGCAAAACTCCATCTCAAAAAAAAAAAAAAAAAAAAAAAATATATATATATATATATATATATAAAAAACATATTTATATATTATATATCATATATTAAATTTATATATAAAATTATATATAAATATATAAAATATATACTTTTATGTCATATATAATATATACTTACATGTCATATATAAATATAATTATAGGATATATAATTTATATATAAGTATATATAATATATATCATATAGTATATATTGTATATAATTTATATATAAGTATATATATACATATACATGTATATGTAAGTATATGTAAGTTATATATAATATTTATGCTTATATATAAATTATGCTTATATATAAATTATGTACAAAATATGTATAATATATAATATATATTATATAATATATAAAAATATAAATATATAATATATGTAATATATAATATATAAATATAAATATATATAATATATAATAAATATAAATATATATAAAACATATTACATATAAATATATAAAAACATTTATATATTATATCTCATATATAAAATTTATATATAAAATTATACATAAATATATAAAATATATACTTATATGTCATATATTATATACACTTACATGTCATATATACATATAATTATATGATATATATACTTATATATAAATTATACTTATATATAAATTTGCATATTATATATATATTATATATAAAATTACTGCGATCAATGTACCTCTGCCCTAGCATGAGCTTGAGATGGCAGATAAGATCTGTGGTTCCCTCAGTCTCTCTTGTTTCTCAGGAGCTTCCCCTGGACTGAGAGGGCCTTGGGCCTACTACAATTGTAAATGCAAGGCTTCTATGGTGTTCAAAGCAACTGCAAATAATCCCAACACGAGAGGAAACACTAGGTCTGCTGGTCTTGCTGTGAAATGGTATCATACTGACTTTGGGAAATTCGAGGGATTTTTCAAGAGTACTCTGTTTTAATTAAATTCTCTGACATTAGACTACAGCATAAGATGTGACTTTGCTGTAATGTTTGCCTTTTGGGGTTGAAATAAAGAGCTTTAAAAACTCAAGTATTACTCCAAGAAAACAAACCCAGCATGGTTTGTGTGTATAATGTGAGACATGACTGAAGGCTTACAGAATCAGAGTTTTGGAGGCAGAAGGGGCCTTTCTTATCTCCAGCCTTCCTTCACTTTGCCCCCAGGTGTCTCTGAAGGCACCCAGTCCCTGGGAGATGGAAAGAGTTTGCTCCCAAAGCTACCTATAAGCCATAGTTGGCAATTCCATTTTTCTTGGGGTCTTAAGTTTTACCTTAAAAATTCATTTTAACCTTTCATTCAACTACTTCATATATTTTTAATAGAAAAATAAGACTTTAGGTTTCCCACCTACAAGGAATATGTAACACAATAACCCCCTGACTTTACAAATCTCCTTTGCACAGTCCCAGGGGTGAGTATATTTTAATGAGAGGAACATGGAAGGTTGACTTGCTGAAAAATGTGAAATTTTACAGATAAAGCAACTGAGATCAAGAGAGGGCAAGGAACTAGGTCAGGGTCACATAGCAAAACAGTGACATAAGTGAGGTTTCTGACAACTGACTTGATGACCTTCCTACCACTGGCTGCTTGTCTCTCACCACTTGGGAGTGAATGGCATTCTTCTACCTGTGGAACAGGAATTAAAAGAAATTAAAGAATGTGTAAGCAAAAACTCAGTTGTATGTAAGAAAACCCAGTTGCCCCAGAGGAAGAGAAAGAGGTGGAGTCCTTTAAAAATTAACTGCCTGTTTCTCTGTCTGTGGCTAGTGAGCCTTATCTCTCCCTTTCCCAGGCATTGTGAAGACCCTGTTTCTCTAGCTGTGCAGCTGCAAGGTCACTAGACAGATAAACCCAAGTTGCAAAACATGTTTTTCCTTGAAAAGTAAGAAATGATGTAATGCATGTCTCAATTGAATAACTGTCTTTGTTTCTCACTTCTGTAATATGCTTCCCCCTGAACAGATCTCTCCCTCCCCCCTCTCCACCCCCAAAATGCTTAAAAGGTAACCTGACTCTTTGTTCTGGGCTCAGTCCTTTGGATATTAATCTGACTGGGTTGGCTGGTGCACCTAAATAATACATATATCCTCCTCAACCCCATCGGTCTCTCTGATTCCTAAATCATCCCCAAACATTTCTGGTGGCCCATATGGGGATTGGAGATAACAGATTTACTGTCTCCTTTGCCCATGGGACTAGGGCCCTGGGGCTGTGGAAGACCTGGCATCCAAGGCATGCCATGGGGGAGTTTCACCCGGATGGAGACTGGCTCTCCCCGCATCCTGCCCAGCAGTGCAACTGAACCTGAGATGGGGCTGCAGGATGACACCAGCACTTCAGGAACCGCGGTAAGGAGAAAGGGCCCAAGGTAGGAAAGCCCATCCCATAGGGATGAAGGTGAGCTTGATCACCTCCCAGGGACCAACCACTCATCCAACCCAGAGTGGCTGGGGGTGGCAGGAGTGGCCCGCCAATTTGGATGAACCTCGTGTCCCCCTAACAAAGTGAAAGTGGTTCACTGGTGGAGAAAATGGGCCGATACAGCGGCAAGTGCAGCAAGGAAGAGTTTGCTGGCAGAATGGTAAGAGTGGCTTGCCACCCCAACTGGGAGTGTGTGGGTGTGTGCGGACCTACCCAGGACACCAGAGAGGTTCGTTTCCTCTGATGAAGAGTCCTGGGGTAGAAGTGGTGTGTGTATGTGTGTGAATGTGGGAATCTAACTAGGCTCACCCGGGACACGAGAGAGGGTTGTTTTGTCCGATGAGGAGTCCTGAGGCAAGGGAGGTGTGTGAAAGTGTGTGAAAGAGACGGTCTCAGGAGAGGCCAATGCGGGGAGTAATGTGGGGAGGCACAGATCCCTTAGCGCAGGCTGTGTGCTCCCAGGCGAGTGTGGGGGAAATCAGTCCTAGGATGTTGCATATGGCTGATAGGTTGAGCTTCACAGCTGCAGCAGTCTGTGGCAGGGAAAGGCACGTTCCTGGCTAAGCAGCGTCTGAAACTCCTGTAATAGGACCCAGTCTGGTGGACCTTAGAGTGAAAGTGCACCTCAAGGGAGGAAATGGGAGGAAAAGCATGGAAACCAACTCCTTTTGGAGTGCATGATAAAGAATTTTTAAAAAGGATTTAGAGCTGATTATGGGATGAAACTGGATGTTCAAAAGTTAAGGACATACTGTGAATTAGAATAGCCCTCTTTTAGTGATGGATGGCTGACCAATGGCACTATAGGTAAATTGGCTGTGTGTTTTAAGGTAGTGACTAGCCCTGGAAGACAGCCAGGGCATTCAGACCTAGTCTTTATATTGATTCATGGCTAAATGAATGCAGCCCTGCCTAGCAGTTTATTGTAGAACGTTCACAGCTCACACCCAGAGAAACCAGCTGCGCTGGCGGCTACGGAGTTAAAGGTAAAGTCACAGAGGCTTGTAGCACCAAAAGTGAAAAGTGAAAGCCAAAAGTAAAAGTAAAAATCAGCTGCCCTGGCAACTACGGAGACAAAAGAAAAGTCTCAGGAAAGAGAAAACCAGTTTTGCAAGAACCACAGGAGGGAATAGAGACCCCTCCTCCCTACATTCCAATCTACCTCCCTTTACCAAGGCTAACTGCCCCTAAGGAATTAAGTTCAAAGAGATACAGGCTCCCAGTCTCACCTGAGAAGGAGAAATTAGAGCTCCAGGAAGTTAAAGTGAAAGGCTGGAAAAGTCAGGGAGGGTGTCTCAGGTCTGGTCACGCCCAAGTTATGCTTATGCCTCTTAAGAGGACAAGAGGACACCCACTAGGACCCAGATGATGCAGTCCAGCTTCAGCACCTACAAAAGTGCCAAGAAGCCCTTCTGCAAAGGCTAAAGGCTGGTAAAAGAAAAAGGCAACCAATATAAAAAATCTCAGAGGTGCTCCAGGGTGCAGATAAAAGCACCAGCCAGTTTTAAGAAAGACTTTTTGAGGCATTTTGGTTGTACACTCTGTTTAACCCTAAGGCTGCTGAAAATCAGTGCATGGTGGACACAGCATTTGTAAGGCAGGCCCAAGGAGATATCAGGCACAAATTGCAGAAGTTAGAAGCTCCGTAGGTGTGAATGCAACTCAGCTTATTAAAGTGGTTACAAGGTGTACATTAACTGAGTTCAGGAGGCAGAGAAGAAAGCTGATCAGAGGCTTAACAAAGGCTAATTTACTAGCAGCAGCCCTTATGGGAAGAGAAGCTGGCTTTGCAAGGAGGCATGGTCGTGGGCGTGAACACAGTCATGGAAAAGGCTGGTTTGGACAGGAGTTTGAAAGCTGGCCAAGGCTAGAGAGAGATTAATGTGCACGGTGCAAAAGGAAATGACACTAGAAGAATAAATGCCCCAAAAAATAAATAAATAAAATAAGGAGAATGGTCAAGGCCATGGTATAAAAAAAAACCCTCCAGCCAAGGGCTACTGCACCCAGGAGAAACCCAAGACTCCCTGCACCTGCTGTGAAAGGCAGGACATAAAGTGTCAGAAAAAAGCTCAAATCTGCTCTAAAAGTCTCCAGTATTTAAGCCTTTATATAAGCCAAGAGGAAAGATGGCTTAGTAGTAAACAAAAGCAATCTGTTTGTGCACTTCCTACTCCAACCACCTGGTGTCAAATAAGAGAGTTCCTAAGGGCAGCAAGGTTCTGCTGCATTTAGATCCCAAATTTCTAGCTTATGGCTAAGCCACAAAGAGAAGGAAAGAAAGAGCCCCTCCTCTAGGAGGCTAACCAGGAGAAGACTTTTAAAGAAATTAAAAAAAAAAAAAAAGCCTTGACTCAGGCCCCAGCTTTAGGACTGCCAGATCTAACTAACTAAGCTTATCTTCTTGTATGCCCATAAGTGAAAGGGAGGCCATGAAGGTTCTAACTCAAGCCATAAGGTCATGGCATCACCCAGTGACATACTTATCCAGGCAATTAGATTCTGTGGCACTTCACTGGCCTCCTTGTTTTAAAGCAATAGCTGCCACTGCCCTACTGGCTCAATAAGCTAACAAACTAACTTTAGAGACTGTGAATACCCTAAACCCGGCTACCTTGCTCCTCATCAAGTCAGTACCAGGAGACCCCCTTCATTGCTGTGTAAATGTGATAGATGAAGTGTTCTCAAGCCAGAGAGATTTGACAGATAGGCCCCTTGGGGAGCCAGACATAGAATATTTTACTGATGGAAGCAGTTTCATACGAAAGGGAATCTGCTGAGCTGGGTATGCAGTGGTGACTTTGGACTCAGTAGTAGAGGTGCAGTCTTTGCCTACAGAAACTTCTGCTTAGAAAGCAGAGCTAATAGCTCTGACAAGAGCTCTCTGGCTAGCAAAAGACCAAAAGACAAATATTTACACAGATTCCAAATATGCTTCTGACACTTTCCATGTTCATGAGGCTATTTACAAAGAAAAAAAAGGCTTTTAACTGCTGAAAGTAAAGAAATAAAGTACAAGGAAGAAATTCTACAGCTCTTAAATGCTGTATAGGCCTTAAAAGATGTGGCAGAGATGCACTGCAAGGGGCACCATAAAGGAAGAATACTAAAGGCTAAAATAAATAAATAAATAAATAAATAAATAAATGAGACAAAGAGGCAAAGCAGGACAACCCCACCTTCTAAAGAAGAAGCCTTAGCTATGCCTCTCCTCCCAGAGATTCCCCTTCTGTAGATCCCAAGCTACACTCCAAATGAAAGGGCTTGTTTTGCCCAGAAAAATATCAACTACATTGAAGAAGGATAGTAAAAATTTTCCAGTGGGAGGCTAGCCATCCCTGAAACGGTGGCCCCCAGATTTGTAAAACAGTTCCACCAAGGAACTGACCTGAAAAAAAAACACACAAAAAAACAGCACTAAAGACATTATTAAGGCATCATTTCTATGTGCCATGGCTCACTGCTATTACTCAAGCCATTTGTAAATGAACAATATTTAACTTGTGTTCAGAACAATCCATGACAAGGGCTTACTCCACCCCCAGGAGTTCAGGAAACAGAAGCCATGCCATGTGAAAAACTGCTTATGAACTTCACCGAATTACCCTGTGATGGGGGCTATCAGTACATGTTGGTGTTCACCTTTTCAGGATAAGTCAAGGCCTTCCTCACCGGGACAGAGAAGGAACTAGAGGTGACCAAAGTGTTGTTAAAAGACATTATTCCCAGATTTGGACTGCCTCTAACTCTAAGATCTCACAATGGACCAACATTTGTGGCTGAAATAGTTCAGGACTTAACTTGACTATTAAAAATAAAATGGAAATAACATATAGCCTACAGACTGCAGAGCTCAGGTAAAGCGAAGAGCATGAACCAGACACTAAAACAACTGCTGAAGAAATTGTGTCAAGAAACTCATCAAAGGTAGGATCAGGTCTTGCCCATGGTCCTCCTCCAAGTCAGGTGCACCTCCACCAAGCAAACTGGGTATTCCCCCTCTGAGATTTTGTTCAGCCGGCCACCCCCCATCATCTGTAGACTAGAAGAAGTAACTTTAAGAAGGCAAATGCAGACTTTAAGTATGGCCATGCAAAAATGCATGGCTAGGTATAGAAAAATGCCTATAAGTCTAACAGACCCAGTACACCCTTTCAAACCTAAGGATTTTCTTTAAGTTAAAAAATGGAATCCAACCACTCTAGGACCCATACAGGATAGGCCTCATATTGTAATCATGTCTACTTCTACTGCTGTTAAAGTTGCAGGTGTCACACCTTGGATTCACCATAGCTGGCTGAAACTAGCAGCAGCAGTGACTCCCGACTATGACCAGTGGATTAACCAACAAGACCCTGATTGCCCCACCCGAATAGACCTACGGCGAATCCCAACCACCAGTAAGAAGGACAACTGCCCTGCTCTGACCACACTGGAGGCTGGTCAGTCTACACATGGCTGAAGCTTGAAGATCTTGCAAGCTCTGCTCTAGTCACATCCTGGAAGCTGACTAGTCTACACACAGCCGAAGCTAAGAGGACCATCTCTAGATAAGTAAATGTAGATAAAATTTATAAGCCTAGTTATAATTGTTCTGTTGTTACATTATTACTGCAAATGCTGCAAATGTCCATGCCCAGAGGAAGGTTTGCCATTCCTATGTGTAGTGTAAGCATGTTTCTATTACATACACTAATGTTGTTACCATTTCTGCCTATACTAGAAGGGGAGAAATCTCTAGAAGGATGCCCACACTGTGTACATACTACCTGGGTAAGGAATACCATAGTTAAAACTCTACTGTACCATACCTACAGTACAGGAACCAAGTTAGGAACCTGCACATACAACCAGACCACCTATTCGGTCTGTGACCCAGGAAATAATCAGCTATATGTATGTTATGACCCTAAGCTCTTACCCTATGAATTCTGGTTTGAAATACATATTAAATCAGAGGGAGAAAAAGAAGGAGAGTTATAGCTCGAACAAAAGAAGCCCCTCCCTCCTGTAAAGGGCCTATTTCCTTGTACTTTGATGCCTGCTATGCTGCATATGTTCACAATCCTAAAAAAAAACAGAAGCAGTCTGCAATGGTGTAACACAAGAGAGGCTTAGCAGGAGCAGCCCTAAGCATCTGTACAAAGAACCACAAATCGGATGCCCAGACTGTAACATTCAGTGGTCCACACTAACACAACTCCAATATTTATATTCAGGAAGGAGTGCTCTGCTAAGTAGTATGTTAACCAAACCAAACTGTAAGACAAGAACATGCAATCCTTTACATTTTACTATCTTAAAGCCAGAGATACCTTTCTGGTCTACAGGACAGACAGCACTATAACGACTTGATAGACTAGGAGCAGGCCTTGGAGTTCCACTACTAATTGTCAAAAAGACTAAAAGGACTCAAATGCATCCAACCCCGCAATTCTGGGTCCATAATCATTCTATAAGCATTTGGATAAGCCAGTGCCTGAGCTTCCCCCACCAACCAAAAACTTATTTGCTCAACTAGCTGAAAACATAGCTGGCAGCTTAGGAATTTCCTCATGCTATGTACGTGGAGGAACTAATATGGGGAACCAGTGGCCATGGGAGGCAAAGGAATTAATGCCACAAGATAACTTCACTTCGCTTAACCCTGCCAGTGAACCAACAGCCTCAGCCAGTGTTTGGTTGTTAAAAACCTCCATAATTGGAAAGTACCGTATCGCCCGTTGGGGAAAGGCTTTCACAGAGGCAGTAGGAGAAATAACCTGCCTAGGGCAACAGTATTATGATGAGACTAAAAACAAAACTCTATGGAGAAGCACCCAGAATTACTCCTACTTACCAGATCCAAATCCTTTATCTCCATTCTCTACCCTAAGCCACACTTGGCATCAACTAGAGGTTCCAAATGCTTCGAAAGCACCCTCTGGCCTATATTGGATCTGTGGAGCATGGGCATATTGGCAACTGCCAGCTAAATGGACAGGAGCATGTGTGTAGTAACAATCAAGCCATTCTTCTTTCTAATTCCTCTAAAGCAAGGGGAACTCTTATGGTATCCAGTTGATGATGAAAATAAAAGAAGAACTAGAAGAGCATAATCACAAAAATAGACACAAATGTCAAAAAGGATGTGGACATAGGAGACTGGAAAGATAATGAATGGCCTCCTGAAAGAATAATTAAATATTATTGGCCAGCTACCTGGGTGCAAGATGGGTCATGGGGTTACCACACCCCAATCTATATGCTCAACTGCATCATAAGGTTGCAGGCAGTCTTTGAAATTATAACCAATGAAACATCAAGGGCACTAGATTTATTGGCAATACAAGCAACACAAATGAGAAATGCTATATATTGAAATAGATTGGCATTAGATTATCACTTAGCCTCTGAAGGAAGAGTATGTGGAAAATTTAATTTAACCAACTGTTGCCTAGAAATTGCTAATAATGGCCGGGTTGTCATGGAAATCAGAGCTAGAATGCACAAGTTGGCCCATGTTCCAATTCAGACTTGGTCCTAATGGTCCCTGGATTCTTTGTTTGGAGGATGGTTCTCAACCTTTGGAGGATTCAAAACCCTCACTGGTGGGTTTTTGTTTATTCTTGGCATCTGCCTCATCCTCCCTTACCTTTTACCCCTGTTTATTAGGAGGATTCAGTCAACTATAGAGGCAGTAATAACTCAACACACTACCGCACAGTTGATGGCATTAACCAAATATCAGCCACTGCCAGTAGAAGAAGCTCAGCTCTGTGAAGAGGTGGCAAATAGTGGTGCTTTCTATTAACACCTTTGTTATAAAAAGCAACAAAGGGGGGAAATGGAACAGGAATTAAAAGAAATTAAAGAATGCATAAGCAAAAACTCAATTGTATGTAGGGAAACCCAATTCCTCCTGAGGAAGAGAAAGAGGTGGAGTCCTTTAAAAATTCACTGCCTGTTTTTCCGTCTGTAGCTAGTGAGCCTTATCTCTCCCTTTCCCAGGCATTGTGAAGACCCTGTTTCTCCAGCTGTGCAGCTGCATGGTCACTAGACAGATAAACTCAAGTTGTAAAACATGTTTTTCCTTGAAAAGTAAGAAATGATGTAATACATGTCTCAACTGAATAACTGTCTTTGTTTCTCACTTCTGTAGTAAGCTTCCCCCTGCACAGATCTCCCCTCTCACCCCATGAAATGCTTAAAAGGTAACCTGACTCTTTGTTCAGGGCTCAGTCCTTTGGATGTTAATCTGACTGGGCTGGTGCACCTAAATAATAAATACATCCTCCTCAACCCCACTGGTCTCTCTGATTCCTAAATTATCCCACAACAACTGTACTCAGAGATTATATTCATCAGACCAGAGACTCACTTAACCAGCGATCGGAAGTCCAGCCACCCTTCACGGCTGTGATCAGACACCAGGAGCTTGGTTTTCAGAGAGGGGCACTGAGAAGCTATGGAGTCCACCTCTGAGGCAAGGGCATCTATGGTCACAATGCCCTTGGCTTTAGACAACTGTAGTCGATAGAGAATGTCTTTGGCCTTCAACAGGATGGTCGCAGGAATGAAGATGATCCCTGGGGATGAGAAAGGAACTGATTGTTTTGGTTTCTTTTTCACAACCATGGGCTTTAGACTTGGCTTGTCTGCATCGAAATACCCTAACTTCTTGTTATGTAAAGTACAGGCCACAGAACAACAGCAGCAGCACTATCCAGGATGCAGAATCTCACACCCTGTTTCAAACCTACAGAATCAGAATCTGCATCTTAACAAGTTTTCCAAGTGATTCTTTTGCACTAAAATTTGTAAGCCCTGCCCTAATCTTTTCTACTGTAAATGGATCTAGCCAAAAAATGGGTGGACACTGCTTTACACACATTTACACAGGATCTGGAAGTATAGATGTAAACAGAACAGTGTCTCTGACATCAAGAATAGCTGCATCTCTCCCCCATCTTTCCCTTCCTTTTCCCCTTTCTGTCATTCCTTGGATGTCATCTTGAATGTCCCCTCTTTCCTTCATTCTGTATTTCACCACATTGTCCTTTGAGTTTTTTGCATTCCCTTCTATCTCCATTGCCAACAGTGAGCTCAAGCCTTTGTGTTTCCTTCTGGATTCTCATCCCTCCACCAGTTTTGAATCTTCCTGCTACCCATCTTCCATATTATTATTTGCTTAGTTCCATAAACATTGACTTTTTTTTCCTCTGAATTTCTTTTTTTCTTTTATTTATTTATTTTTTTTTAAGGTGGAGTCTCCCCCTGTCACCCAGGCTGGAGTGCAGTGGTGTGATCTGAGCTCACTGCAACCTCAGCCTCCTGGGTTCAAGCAATTGTCCTGTCTCAGCCTCTCCAGCAGCTGGGATTAAAGGTGTCCACCACCATGCCCAGCTATTTTTTATTATTATTATTATTTTTAGTAGAGATAGGTTTTCACCAGGTTGGCCAGGATGGTCTTGGACTTCTGACCACAAGTGATCTGTCTGCCTTAGCCTCCCAAAGTGCTGGGATTACAGCTGTGAGCCACCATGCCTGGCCTCCCTACATTTCTTCTCTGCACTAACACCTGTACCCTCTCTCCAGGAAAACACCACACTTCTCGTCCTGACTTTGAAGATGCTGCTTTCTTTCCATCTTTCTCCCCTACACCTTATTTTCTATTTCAAAATGGCCATGCCTCACCCCATGCTTGGAATGTCCTTCCTTTGTTTCTAATCCTCTTTAATTCTTCTTAGCCCAGAGGGCTCAGCTCAAGTCTTTTTTTTTTTTTTTGAGAGTCTTGCCACCACGCCTGGCTAATTCTTTCTTTCTTTCTCTCTCTCTCTCTCTTTCTTTCTTTCTTTCTTTCTTTTTGTATTTTAGTAGAGATGGGGTTTCACCATGTTGGCCAGGATGGTCTCGATCTCCTGACCTCATGATCCACCCACCTCAGCCTCCCAAAGTGCTGGTATTATAGGCCTAAGCCACCACCCAGGCCAAGTCTTAGATTTCCCATGGACCATCTTATAGGTCTACAGATGACATGGCTTTTCATCTCTATACTCCTTCCACCAGTTTTATTACTTCTTGATTTCACATGATCTGGCTGAATGAATCACCTATTTTATTTGTGAGAGAATATGAGACGGAGAGAGAGAAAATATGATCAAGAGTATGGCAGAGTGCTGTACACATGATAAAATGAGAGAAGTGATTCAAAAAAGAATCTGTGAGTCACTGATTCTAATCTATATAGACAAAAAATAAGTCATCAAAAGGGGAAGGGAAATCTCTACATAAGAATTCTAACTAATAAATGAAACTGACAGAAATAGAAAATTTCCATGTAAAACCAACATGGTAATATTCAATTAGGTAAAGAATCATCACTAGGTACTCAAACCATAATGTGAAAGAATGTTAGGGAATAGGAATATTCACACAATCGCTTAAGGATCACACAATGAATTATTTATTAATTACAAGGAAAAATTGTGCCTTTGTAAAGGATAAAGGTTTTCTGTGAAAACCACCTTGCTTAAGTGATAAAACAGTATAACTGAAGAGGGAACAAACTGACTTCAGAATATACCCCCTGATGTGATGCACAGAGGAAGACACAACTTTGTCCTTGCAATTCTCCTGCCTAACGTGTCTAATCTGAATATAATCACAAAGAAAGAGTCAGAAATACAAATTTGGAGATATATTCTACAATACAACTTGCATTCTTCAAAAATGTCACTGTCATGCAGAAAAGGCTGTGGAATATTTTGGATCTTATCAGATGCCTGCTTTTGTGTTTATGAGTGTTTACCTGGTGTTCATAGGTGTCACAATGCCCACTAGTGATTCTTAAATAATTCAGTAAGAAAGGGAGAGAAAGAGAGAGGGAGAGAGTGCTCAAATATGGAAAAACATTATCAATGAATCTTTAAAAAAGTAAGACTCTCTGAGGCTGTGCAAGAGAAAGTGTATGTGTGTTTGTGTGTGTGTGTGTATGAGACAAAGTTTGGCACTGCACTTGAGAGTGTATGAATGTGAGAGTGTGAGGGAGAGAATAAGAGAATTTGTGAGGGAGTATGAGAAAGACAAAGACTGTGAAGAAGAAAGGAGGTACAGAGAAGAGAAATTGTTTTGTCTCTAATTAAACTGATAATTCCCACAGGGCAGGAAGCCTTGCTTTGTGGTCCCAGCACAGAAACTGGGGCGAAGGCTTCAAAGCTGTGTCAGTGCCAGGCTGGGTGCACAGCACCTAATATCTCAGGACCCATTGGTTCTAGAACAGCCCCGAGGTCCACCAGGTCCCTCTTGCATCACTGACCTGTTCGCATGCAGCCCACAGCCACCAGCCACCACTCAGGAACTCGAGGCAGCATCAAGGCCAGATGGTCTCCCTGTTGTAGGCCACAGGTCTGTGTGAAGACGTTGGCTACACGGCGGGTTAGGTCTCCCATCTCTCTGAAGCTCCACTTTACTTCATCCCCTTGGCCATTCACCCACCAAAAAGCTGGATTTGGACCTCTCTTGCCCTCCTGGTCAAGACCATATATTATGTGTTATTTTCTGCTTCAAAGAAAAAGGGCACTTAGTAAACTAATCCACAGCCATAGTCACGTTCCAATGTGAACACAGCTTAAGGACTGAGATCCCATTTTAAAACATTTATACAGCCAGGCGCAGTGGCTCATGCTTGTAATTCCAGTACTTTAGGAGGTGGAGGCAGGTTGATCATGAGGTCAGGAGTTCGAGACCAGCCTGACCAACATGGTGAAACCCTGTCTCTACTAAAAATTTAAAAATTAGCTGGGCATGGTGGTGCATGCCTGTAATCTCAGCTATTCAGGAGGCTGAGGTAGGAGAATTGCTTGAACCCAGGAGGCAGAGGTTGCAGTGAGCCAAGATTGCACCATTGCACTCCAGCCTGGATGACACAGTGAGACTCCGTCTCAAAAAAAAAAAACAAACAAAAAAAAAACAAAAAACTTATAGCATCAGGAGAGGTTTAGGGGTGGAGCGGGACTTCTGGCCTACTGTAGCCACCCTGCCTCAAGCCACATAAGACCATAAACAGCCTTTATGCTTCCTATTGAAGATTTAAAACTCCATTCCACCACATGCCTGCCTTAATTCCATATGGACTGTGCATTCTTCTCTGTGCCTTAGTTTCTCCTCAATAAAATGCTGACAATAATTATTACCTAGAAAGTAGCAAAGTTTAAATAAGTTATTTACATAAAGCATGTAAGAGTGCCTGTCACATAGTAAATGCTCAATAAATATTATTATTATCACAATAAAACAAAACAAAAGAGGCTTACTTAATTGCTAAATTTTTGAAAAAAATTTTTTTAATTAAGTTACTCTTAGAGGTGAGGGCAGTAACAAAGCAGACTAGGAAGCTCCAGGCCCTTTTTTGCCTCATAGAAACAGCAAGATTCTACCTACAGAAACAACAGATGGACTGAAATAGCTTCATGGGAGGTCTAGAAACCAGCCAAGGATCTGCAGAAAACCAAACAAATGCCCCCAGTCATGAAAAAGCCATACTCAATTCCCACTTACACAGGCAGGGGAACAACACACACTGGGGCCAGTCTGACGGGTCAGGGGCCATGGGAGGGAGAGCATTAGGACAAATAGCTAATGCATGCGGGGTTTAAAACCTAGATGACCAGTTGATAGGTGCAGAAAACCACCATGACACGCATATACCTACATAACAAACCTACATGTTCTGCACTTGTATCCCGGAACTTAAAGTAAAATAAAAATAAATAAATAAAAGCTAAATATAGAGCCAGGCGAGGTGGCACACACCTGTGGTCCCAGCTACTTGGGAGGCTGAGGCAGGAGGATAGCCTGAGCCCAGTTTCAGGCTACAGTGATTGTGCCACTGCATTCCAGCCTGGGAGACAGAATGAGACCCTGTCTCAAAAAAGAAAAAAAAAAAGTTTAACTATGGAAAGTGATTAACATGTTAATTGGTATGACTGCAGTAGTATATGTACAAGAAGACATCATGTTGTACACCTTAAATACGTATGATTAAAAATTTAAAAAGGAAAAAAATGAAAAAGCCATACTCAAAATGGTAGAAAATTTTGTGATTTTTTTTTTTTTTTTTTGGTCACCATTGCCCCCATCTCTTTCTGGTGTGGTGCGGTGCAGTCAAGAGGAAGCCCCCCAACTCCCACCTCTTCTCTCAGGACTGAAGGAAAGGAGTGAAACTTGTTTACAATGTTCTGGCTTGTCCAAGGGTTGCGGAGGGACTGGCTTCTGTCTTGCCTGACTTGCAGGTCAGATAGAAACCATGGCATAATTTGAATATGATGTTGGGGGTCTCTGAAAGCAGTGGTGGGTAACAGGCTGTGCAAAAACATCAGACCTGCAGGCACGTAGGGGAAAGAGAAATACAATAAAACATGTAAGACCCTGAAGAGAAGCAAGGAAGAGACTTTTAGGGAAATTAAGAAATTAAAACAGCCATTTATACGGGAAAATTAGCGAGGTGGGGCGGGATGCACACACAGAGGCCAAGGAAAGATAAATGCTAGAAAAGGCCTGAGAAGGCCTAAAGCCTTCACACTATGAAGATTAGTGAAGGTCTACCCCTGCATGCAGCTGCTCTTCAAGACTGAGAGAGGGGGGCTGCTTTTTTCAAATGCCTAACTTTCAACATAAAAACATAAAGCACACAAAGGAGCAGGAAAACATGGCTCATTCAAGGGAGCAAAATAAATCTCCAGAAACAAACCCTAAATAAACACAGGATTCAGCTACTAGGCAAAGATTTTAAATCAATTGTCTTAAATATGCTCAAAGAGCTAAAGGAAACCACAGATCCACACCTAAAGGAAATTAGAAAAACTATATATGAACAAAATAACAATACCAACAAAAAGATAGAAACTATATATTAAAAAAGAACCCGGCCAGGCACGGTGGCTCATGCCTGTAAACCCAGCACTTTGGGAGGCCGAGGCTACCGGATCACTTGAGGTCAGGAGTTTGAGACCAGCCTGGCCAACACGGCAAAACCCCATCTCTATTAAAAGTACAAAAGATAAGCCAGGCATAGTTGCATGCACCTGTAATCCCAGCTACTCAGGAGGCTGAGGCAGGAGAATTGCTTGAACCCAGGAGGTGGAGATTGCAGTGAGCTGAGATCGTGCCACTGCGCTCCAGCCTGGGAGACTAAGCAAAACTCTGTCTCAAAAAAAAAAAAAAGAAAGAACCAAACAATATTTGGAGCTGAAAAATATAGTAACTAAATAAACATAGTAACTAAATTGAAAATTCACTAGGGGTTCAATGGCAGATTCAAATAGGTAGAAGAAAAAATCCATAAACATAGACAGGTCATTTAAAATTACTGAATCTGAGAAGAAAAAGTTAAAAAGAAGGAAGAAAAATAAACAGAGTTTGAGGGAATTATAGGACACTATCAAGCCAACCAATATACCCATTTTGGGCATTCTAGAAAAAGAAAGAGAAAGAAATGGGCATAGAGGTTATTGGAAGAAATATTGGCCCCATGATCCCCAAATTTGAGACAATGCATGGTAATACAAATATGAGAAGCTCAATAAACCTCAAGTAGAATAAATCCAAGGAGGACCAATATCAAGACACATTATAATTAAACTGAAATCAGCAAGAGAAAAGCAACTCATGTACAAGAGATTCTCAATAAGATTATCAGTGGATTTCTCAGTAGAAACCTTGAGGCCAGAAAGAAGTGGATGATATATTTAAAGGGCTTAAAGAAAAAAAAAGCCAACCAAGAATTTTACATCCAGAAAGATTCTTCAAAAGTAAAGGGGAAATTAGGGTATTCCCAGATAAACAAAAGTCAAAGTTCACTATCCCTAGACTTGCCCCTACAAGAAATGCTAAAGGAAGTCCTCAAGGTGAAATAAAAGAATGCTGGAGAGGAACTCAAATATGAAAATGTAAAGTTCTCTTGTAAATATAAATTCATGGACAAATATAAAAATCAATATTATTATAAGTTTGGTTTGTAACTCCACTTGTTATTTGTTACAGTATTTAAAAAACAAATCATAAAAATAATTATAAATATATGTTAACTTATTAACATATATTTAATATGTTAATATATTATATTATATATTAATATATGTTAACATATATTTACAATATCTATGTTAAATAAATGTTAATTAAGCAATATACAAAAATGTTATTGATGACATCAATAACATAAAGTGTGGGGAGGGGCTGGCTGGGATAGAACTGTAAAGGGGAAGGATTTTTACATTTAATTTTCATTATTGGCCTTATAATGTCATGGGAGTAGGGTTTTTGTATGTGATTAAAATTAAGTTGTTATCAGTATTAAATAGATTGCTAGAACTACAAGATATCATATTTAATTCCCATGGTAACCACAAGGCAAATATTTATTGAATATACACAAAAGGAAATGAGAAGAAAATCAAAGTGTGTCACTACAAAAACTCAAGTAAACACAAAAGATGTCAGTAAGAGAGGAAATGAGAGACAGAAAAGCTATAAGACATCAAGAAAACAATTACCAAAATGGCAATAGTAAATCCTTGCCTGTCAGTAGTTACTTTAAATGTAAGTGGACTAAACTCCCCAGTCAAAAGACATAGATTGGCAGAATGGATAAAAAAAAAATCCAACTACATGCTGTCTGCAAAAATTAAGCTACTTCTATGTGATTGAATATGATAAAATCAATGAAAAACTTTTAGAATTGTTTTTATAATAAAATGCTTATAGTTTAATATTAATTTTGAAAAACAAAATTGCATTTATATTACTCAAATTTATATAGTAATGTTCACCCATTCACCTCCTCCTTTTACTTCCTTCCTCTCCAACCCATCTTGTTTCAAAAATTCTCAACCAGATTTCCAGTCTGGGCAATGAAAAAAATGAATTTATACTCTTAAGGCAGAGATATTTTGGCATCATCAGATTGGGAGACTAGGTTAAATAATGGATTGTGAAATCAGACAGCCTGGACCCAAACCCTGCTCTCCCACTTATTAGACATGTGATTTCAGTATATTCATTAAATCCTTGGAACCTCAGTTTCTTCATTAAGGAAATAGAGACAATAACAGTACACATCTAATTAGATGATTAAATGCAAGGTGATTGCCAAGGCACATAACAATGCTCTCTGTAACTGAGGGTTTTATTTTTCTTGAGGTTACTATGCAAATTCAGAGAAAAGAAAAAGAAGGTGGTGGGGAGGAAGATGCCATAAAGGCATGTAGGCTTTGGATAGTAATACATGAATACATATTCATGGAACACTTAAAAATTATATTAACTCTCCAATTCCATCTCAGGGGGATTCTCTCTTCTGTACAAAGACAGTGCTGGGTGACTTTTTACACTACCATATTGGCAGCTGGGAGTTAGTGGCTATAAATACCATCCATTGTCTACCTGACTCCTAATGTCACTACTGCTTCTCTCTTGGTCTGTGTCTTGTGAGAAGACAAACCAAGCACTTGGGGTTTTCTGCAGAAACACATAACCTCTGGAAGACACAGGGCTTGGTTTTTCTTGACATACCTTAAAGCCACAGTCAAGTAGGTAGTTGACAAGGAGGAATCTAATTAGACTTGCCATCCTCATGGGAAGATGGATGGCCTAACATAGGTAAATGTGTCAGACACTCATGTGCACATTCAGGTGGTCTATCCCCTCCTCTGCATGCAGTCTCAAGTCAAGCCCAAGTTTGATGACATGAATACCAGTTAAGACACATTGTCCCATTCACTGAAGATGAGAACTCAGACTAATACGAATTTGCTGACCTTGTGACTAGAACTTTGCACCTGGTCACAATTATAGTACCCTGATTGAATAAAAGATATATTTACCTATTTTCTTGTTTTTAAAGGAGTTAATTCCTCATTTCATAGATGAAACCACTGAGGCTCAATGAAGTAAGGAAATGGCCAGGCTGGGAATAGAACCTTGAAATATAAGCTTCTTCCACAACACTGATAAGTTGAGGCAGAAGTAACTTTGGTTCCATACCTTTCAGCCTAGTAGGAGCAAGATAAGGAAAGTGAGGCCACCCTTGTTCTTATATCGCCATCACGGCAGATCTCTTACCTTCTCCTTTTGAGCCCAGTAGTCCAGTACATAACTTGCAAAGTTAAATTCCTCCGGTACTTCATAGTCATTCCATCTTGGGGCTCCAAATTCTGATAAAGACCGGCAGCGCAGCTGTGAAGGGGCAGGGTGGATGTTGTGGAAGGATTTGTGGATGCCCCAGAGGGTCCGGAACCTCATTAGCCACTGCATGGTGAAACAGTCCTCAGAAACCAGGCACAGAGTTCTCAAGTCACCACCTGCCTTGGGAAGAGATGGCTAATAGATTGGCTGTGTATCCAAAACTTTCTCCCTAAATTGGGTGCATGTTTTTGGTTAATTGCTACAGTTATAGCTTTGTTTCAGGTCACCAGAATTTGGAAGGCACCCCTGATTGATTTTGGTGGGGATTTATCTTCCCAGCTGAGGAACCACATGGCAGAAAACGCTGGGGAGGTTATATAGCTACTATTATGGGTTTGGTGCGCGTTCCTAGGGGTCTTCTCCTTCAACCTGCTAAGATGTCAGCCCAGGATGGAAGCCATATGGTCATCCCTTTTGTGGTAGAGCAACTCGCCTTTTGGAAAGTTCTGTACCTTATAGTGTCTTTACTTTAGAAACTTCCCTTTCTGCCAAGCCAAATCATGTTGTTGCCATGGAAGCTGTGATATCTTTATATGATCCCATCCCATGACTAAAGTTGATTGGTCCAGGGTTGAGCAGTCATTTCTCATGACTTTGTAACCTAAGCTGGGCCAATCATAATACCTCTCCAATGTGTGTGTGTGTGTGTGTGTGTGTGTGTGTGTGTGTGTGTGTGTGTGTGTGTGTTTCTAAACAGATTTAAATATATCAGGCTGTCTCCCTCTGGTGGAATGCACATTTTGTGTGCTGTTTGTGGTTATGATTCCTATCATGTGGAGACAGCCCCCCTACAGGCGAGAATGAAACTGATGTACAGAAACAATGAGATGAGGTGGAGTAAGAATCCTGCAGTCATTCAAGTCCCTGGTTCAAATTGTTCCTCTGCATGTCTGCCCCTGTCTTGTTAATATTCTCTGGATTCTGTAAGCCAAAAGATTCTCCTTTGCCTGAGACTGGGTTTCTGTCACTTGAGACTATAAAGATACTGAAAAATATACACCATCATCCTCAGAGCAGATGCTGCTGTTGACAAAAAGAGTTAAACTCTGTAAAATATTTGAAGAGATTTATTCTGAGCCAAATATGAGTGAACCTGGCCCGTGACACAGCCCTCAGGAAATCCTGAGACTATGTGGCCAAGGTGGTTGGGGTACGGCTTGGTTTTATATACTTTAGGA
This sequence comes from Homo sapiens, assembly GCF_000001405.40. Classification (NCBI taxonomy): domain Eukaryota; kingdom Metazoa; phylum Chordata; class Mammalia; order Primates; family Hominidae; genus Homo; species Homo sapiens. The sequence continues at coordinate 20,692,298 of NC_000016.10, forward strand.
AGGCATGAGACATTAATTAAATACATTTAAGAACTGTGTTGGCTTGGTTCAGAAAGGTGGGAAAACCTAAAGTGGGGGCTTCCAGGCTATAGGTAAATTTAAACATTTTGTGGCTGACAATTGGGTGAGTTTATTTGAAGACCTGGGATTAATGGCAAGGAATGTTCAGGTTAAGGTAAAGCTTTGTGGAGACCAAGTTTTATTGTGCACCGGTATCTCTCAGACACCAGACGTCAGAGAGAGAGCAGGTTGTAAAATATGTCTTAGACCTAAAAGGGTATGTGGCTCTTAGTTGATTGTCTCCTGGATCTGGGAAGGAAGGAAAGAAAACAAAGAGGAAATGGGGTTCTTTATAGAATGTGGATTTTTCCTACAAGAGACTTTGCAGGGCAATTTCAAGGTATGGCAAGGAAATATATTTTTGGGTAAAACATTTTGATTTTCTTCTTGTTATGCCAGAGTCTGATTGGAAAGTAAGTCTTGATATACAGGGTTAAATAAAACCCATCTGATGAGAATTTATGGTTTGTAGGGCATAACTCCCTAAGCCCCTTAGATAGGAATTTCAGCAAGATAAAAAATTAGAGCTTAGGCCAGGCACAGTGGCTCATGCCTATAATCCCAGCCCTTTGGGAGGCTGAGGCAGGTGGATCATGAGGTCAGGAGTTTGAGACCATCCTGGCTAACATGATGAAACCCTGTCTCTACTAAAAATTTGAAAAATTAGCCAGGCATGGAAGTGCCTGCCTGTAGTCCCAGCTACTGGTGAGGCTGAGGCAGGAGAATCACTTGAACCTGGGAGTCGGAGGTTGCAGTGAGCCGAGATCATGCCACTGCACTGAAGCCTGGGCAACAGAGCAAAATTCCGTCTCAAAAAAAAAAAAAAAAATTCAGATCTTAGTCCTCACTGCTAATGTCACTGCACTTTCCAATGGACTGGGATGTGGCATTGAGTTCTTCCCTAGAGTAGCATTCAGGACAGCTGATACCAATGCATCAGAGTTGACACATAAAATTAAACCTCATTGCCCCTTCAGATCCTGAAATATGCTGCCAACATGACAGCAGGAACCTCCTTTATTAGGATCCTTCTTGAAGTTTGATTGGAAAAAATGGCTTAAGCTGGATCCTTTCTTTCCATGTAAATGTTGACTGAAGAAAGCTATTTCTCAAACAGCTTTGAGATTGAAGCACTTTATCATCATGAACATTTAAGTTCCCTCTTGCTCACTTTCAACAATGATAAAATACCGGCTGACAACAGACCCATATAATAGACAATAGAACTAGTAATGGCCAGTGATGCTGGGTCTTTATTTCAACTTGTTGTCAAGTGGCTGGAGCTGAGAATTGTCTGCTTTATTTAAATGAGATGTTCTCCAGTTTGATGCAGTTCCTACCACTTTATTTTGTCCCTCCTGCCTGCTTCTCCACTTATTGTAGCTGTCCAGCCCCTGTGTATATTTGAGCTTAAAATCTCTAACCTAGGCCAACATCCCAGGAGAGGCAGGAATTTCCCCAAAGTCATGATGCAATTTTAATATTGTAAAAAGTAAAATAGAGGTTCCTCTTCAAAGACTTTCCTCCCCATCTAATTAGGAATAAATAGTAACTTCTCTTAAAAGCAAAATTTATTCAAAGTCCTGTGCTAAGATTCTTAAATATCTGCTAACCGTAATAAAGAAATCAATGTACTTTATGTTCTTAGCTCCCACAATTTAGCCTAAATATTTGCCCTGGCATTCTTATACTGGTCCAAGCAAGCATTAGGCCATAGCCTGTTCCTCTTGCTTATTTAAAAGTGTTTTAATCTTTCTCAGCATTTCACGAGTTACTTCCTCTTTCCTTTGTTCTCCTCTACCTTTGCCTCTTTAAAAAAGTTCTAAGTTGCTAGCCAATCGGGACAAATACAGAATGTGAGGTCCCGTTCCAGCCAGTGGAAACCGGACACAGCAGTAGGGTGGATGCGTCAGGTTATAAATGACCCTGTCTCCTTTGTTCTATGTACTCTCCTGGCAAAACTGCTGGCAAGTGTACCATTTCTGCAGGAAGTAAAAATGGCCTTGCTGAGTAAATTAAATTTACATTCAAGTCCTATTTCTTTACGGCACCAAGGAACAAACATTTCAAACAATATTGTAGCCAAGTTGGTTCTAGAAGCCCATCACCTCTGTTACATTTTCCAACACACACCTCCTTCCACAGGCATGAGCTTAGTTTGGGTGAGAATATCAAACTCAGTTGCAATTTTTCTATGCAGGTGTCTATATGACCTCAGGGTCTTCCTTAAAATACAAACTCACCATTTTTCCTGAAGACAGTCCAAACAACCCCTTACTAAGTGACTAAAGACCAAAACAAAAGGGAGAGATATAGTGAGGGAATCCATTAACCAGTTATCATGGTTTGAACTGTGTCCCCCATGAATGTATGTGGTGAAGTACGAACCCCAATATTTCAGAACACCACTGTATTTGGAGATTGGGTCTTTAAAAATGTAATTAAGTTAAAATGAGTTATTAGGGTGGGCCCTAATCCAATATGACTGGTGTCCTTATAAAAAGAGGAGATTAGGACACAGACACACACAGAGGGAGACCATGTGAATATGAAGATAGCCAAGGAAAAAGACCTCAGAGAAAACCACCCTGATCTTGGACCTCCAGCCTTCAGAACTTTGAGAAAATCAATTTCTGTTGTTTAAACCACTCAGTCATTAGTAATTTTCATGGCAGCCCTAGCAAACCAATGTACTCCTCTTGATCAAATAAAGAAGAAATGACTTTGGCATCATCTCACAAATGTGTTTGTGATTCTAATTTAATCTTCGTCACATGAGAGGGCCAAACACAGTGCCCAGCTGTGGAGAACTGTGGTAGCTGAAACAGCATGGCCCTAGAGATCAAACAACACGGGCTCAAATTCCAGCACTTTCATTTCCCACCCACATAACTTGGGGCAATTTATTTAACCTCCCTATAAAAACATAGGCATATTGGCAGCACCTATTGCCTGAAGCCATGGTGATAAATGCACGATATCCTGCAAAAAGCATTCAGCACGGACAAGTATTTTAGAAATAAGAGCTGTTGCTAGTTAACACACTTTATAGGGAAGCTCTTATAGAGTAGTTAAGCCAGAGGAAAAAAATTTCCTTAACTTTTGGAGTTAAGGTCTAAAGAGAAGGAATGGGGATGAATACCTGAACATAGACACCATAGGACTGGTATATGTCCAGCTTTTTCACTGATTATCTGTCTATCTATCTATCTATCTATTACCTATCTATTATCTATCTATCATCTATTTATCTATCTATTACCTATCTATTATGTATCTATCGTCTATCTATCTACCTATTACCTATTTTCTATCTATCTATCATCTATCTATCTATCTATCTATCTAGATATATAAGAACCTGATCTCCAAGTGTTGAGGACTGAAAATCAGATATCTATATGTCTATGTCTGCGTCTATCTCTATCTCTGTATGTATGTTAAGCTTCATTTCTAAATCTATTTCTGTATCTATATACCAATATTTACATTTATACCTATATCACTATCTGTGTATATCTATACATTAATATTAATGTCTATAACAATAACACATGTACACTGTAGTCATGTGCCACAATATGATGTCATTGTCAGTGATGGATCACATATACAGAGTGGCCCATACAATTATAATGACATATTTCTACTGTACCTTTTCTATGTTTCAATACACAAGTACTTACCATCGTGTCATGACTGCCTACAGTATTTAATACAGCAACAAGCTACATAGGTTTGTAGCCTAGAAGCAATGGGCTATAGCATATCGCCTATATGTGTAGAAGACTATGCTTTGTGGGTTTGTGTAAGTACACTCTATGAGTTCCCATAATAACAAAATCACCTAACAATGCATTTCTCAGACGTATCTTGGTTGTTAAGTGATGCATGTCTCTATCTCTATCACTATCTCTGTCTCTATCTCTATCTCCGTCTCTGTCTCTGTTTCGATATCTATTTCCATCCACATCTGTCTTCAGATTTGACTTCACAAAGCTTAGTTTGTCTATTTCTCACCGTGCTGGACATAGTAAGTGCTCAACAAAAAGTTAGATTCTTCCCTTCTTTGTCATAATTCAGAAAACTGAGTGATGAAAGTCAGAAAGAGAAAAGCCAGTGTGCCCACAAATTATCTGAGTTATAGAAAAATGTATTTTTTCTTTCTCAAGTATTTACTATAGATGTACCATGTACAGTTTTAGATACTATTGGAGATTAATTAAACTGAAAGAGTTCCTACCCTGTTAGAGCATATCATTAAAGCACATCCTATGAAATCATTTTAAAGAACAATTTTCTGAACTGCTTAAAGTGCATTCTGAAAGCAATTTGACATGGTAGCTTTGAGAGGCAGCTGGGCTCCCCACTGTATTCCCAGATACATAGTGCCTTGAACAGCTCCTGCAACTAAGCTTTGACTTCACAGGACTTGGGACTGATAAAGCTATTTAATGAAGCAACATACTTACTGTGTTATAGGGTATCCCAGAGTTACAGAGCCAGGGCTAGATGTTTGTCTCTGTTGTCTAGCAGCTGGGTCTTTGGTGCTGTTCATGTCTCTGAACTTAAGCGCACAGTAGTAATACCTTCTTCCCAGCTCCCCATAAGGATTAGTGTGATAATTTACTTGCTGGCACTGAATGAAGTGCACGGTAAGGACTCAATAAATGTTGAGGTACCTTTTAACTCCCAGCAAATTCTGAAGCCAACCCCCTCCCCATTAGATGTTAACCATTTTTTTTGAAACTGTCACCTGGACTGGAGTGCAGTGGTGTGATCATAGCTCACTGCAGCCTCAATCTCCTGGGCTACAGTCATCCTCCTGCCTCAGCCTTTCAAGTACCTGGGACCACAGGCATGTATTACTATGCTTGGATAATTTTTTTTAGAAGGCATTCACTTTATAGAAAGTGAGCCAACTTCTGCATAGATAGAAAAGATTTCCTTCAAACATTCATCTCTGACTTTGTGCCTGTCTCCCACGGCTCACCACATTCAGAGCTGCCTGACACTAAACCAGTCCCCATTTACATGCCAGCCACTGTGCTAAACATATTACATGTACGTTCCTATTTATTCCTCTCACCCAATATCACCATTGTCATTTTGCCTCTAAAATGAAGTGCCAAGAAGTTAAGTGACTTGCCCAAGGTCACTCAACTTAAAAGTAGCATTGCCAGAACTTAAAATTGGATTACACACACACACACACACACACACACACACACACACACACACACACACAGATAGAAGCTGACCTTCACCTCTGTCTTACCTGGTACTGTTTAGGACGTAGCTGAACTAGGTCCCTGGTAGGTATGGAAAAGGAGGTTGAGCTCTCTTTTGTAGGTTCAGTTCTCTCTGATCAGGTGATCCGCAGGATTGTGCACCCAGCAGAACTTGGCTTCTGGCCACAGCGAAGGGGGACCTTGAACAGAGAACTTGTTAGGAATTGGGTAATTCAGTAGGGGGAGGAGATGCTCAGGTAAAATAGGACAGAAACAATTACAGGCCTCCACGGAGAGATAATCACTTAGAAAACAAACCATGTGGGCCGGGCGCAGTGGCTCGCGCCTGTAATCCCAGCACATTGGGAGGCCGAGGCGGGCGGATCACGAGGTCAGGAGATGGAGACCATCCTGGCTAACACGGTGAAACCCCGTCTCTACTAAAAATACAAAAAATTAGCCGGGTGTGGTGGTGGGCGCCTGTAGTCCCAGCTACTCGGGAGGCTGAGGCAGGAGAATGGCGTGAACACGGGAGGCGGAGCTTGCAGTGAGCCGAGATCATGCCACTGCACTCCAGCCTGGGAGACAGAGACTCTGTCTCAAAAAAAAAAAAAAAAAGAAAAACAAACCACGTATACGAAGTCACCTCCAATTCCGGTGGCATGGCTAGGGGTGTGAATGAACTAGATCCAATGGTGCATTTTCACTAGTTCTCTGTGGCTAACCTGCTCCCCCTTCCCAGCCCTACATCACCATAGTCTCCCTTAAATGACAGCTGAGAGTCAGTGTAGCCTAATGGATAAGAGCCTGGGCTCTGGAGGTCTGGAGGCAGAAAGGTCTGAGTTTGAGCCTTAGGTCTGCCACTTAACCTCCATGTCATCTTTGTGGACCTTCTTGCTCTGGGCCTCACCTCCCTTAATTGGTTTTCGGTTGCTTTTGAGACAGAATCTCATGCTGTCACCCAGGCTGGAATGCAATGGCATGGTCTTGGCTCACTGCAACCTCCGCCTCCCAGGTTTAATTGAGTCTCTTGCCTCAGCCTCCCAAGTAGCTGGGATTATAGGTGCCCGCCACCACACCCAGTTAATTTTTGTATTTTTAATAGAGACAGGGTTTCATCATGTTGGCCAGGGTGGTCTTGAGCTCTTGACCTCAGGTGATCTGCCCGCCTCAGCCTCCTAAAGTGCTGGGATTACAGGCATGAGCCACAGCACCCAACACCTACCTTATTTGTAAAATAGGAATGATAACAACAATACCTACCTCCCAGGGTGTTTTCTTTGCTTCTTCATTTGTTTGTTAGAACTAGATGAAATAATTTATAAAAAGCATGTAGCACACGGTGCTGGGCATAGTCGATGTTGGCTCTTTTTATTCACTTGGGATTCTCAGAGGAACAATTTGGTATCCTGGTAAAATGCAGGGTCTTTGGAATCCCAAAGTCTTGAGCTTAATTAAGTCCAACCTCAGGCACTCACAAGAAAGCTCTTGGGTGAACCATTTTCCTTTCAAAGCTTGGTCTTGACATTTGTAAAATGAAGCAGGATTTGTTAATAAGATTTGTTGCATGGGATCATTGAAAGGATTATGTGACACCAAGCCTGTAAAGCACCTGGACCAGGCATTTAGATGGAGGGTTGATAGTGATATTGCATTGGATAAACCAAGGTAGTCATAGGTAGCGGCTTGTACTATGACTTTTCTACTGGAGCCATTTTTGGGGCATTGTTAGAGAATGAGGGATCTCCAGTATTTTCATTGAAGCTGGGAAGAAATTATTTCTGATCAAAGTCATGGCTAAAGATTTCTGGAGACACCCAGGACATTCCTGACAGGACCGTGTGGCAAGCTAGGATAGTTTGGGTTTTTAATATTTAGCTTTCTGTGGCCAGTCACTGGAGAGGTGAGAAGGCAGGGCTAGTTGACTGGCCATGGTAAGCTAAACCTTAAACACCCAAAGCATCAAAGTACCAAAAAACAAAGAAACGAACAAACAAAACAACTAACCAAAAAACCTCTGTTACTAAAGAGAAGGAGCAGCCACTTTTCGGAAAAGAATGGAGACGGGGGAAAAGCCCTTGACACACTCTCTGCATCTGAGTAGTTCTCCCCTGTGGAACTGCAACATGAAGGCATGGACAAGAAGACAGGCTCTGGCACCAGGCAGCCTGGGCTTGAGTCTAGCTTTTACCAGTTACCAGCTCTGTGACATTGAGCAGATTTCTTATCCCTCTTTTCCTCAATTTTCTCATCTTTAACAAGAGGTATACAGCGGACAAAGGAAAACTCTCCAAACATTCTATGTGTGCTCCTCTTTCATTTCCCAACCTCTCTTAAAGCTAAAGTGAGGCCATTAAACTCTAGTTCTGAACAATAAACTCCATGTGGAAGTGTTACAAGTCACTTCTGGCCTAGGGCATTTATTTAAGAGCAGGTATGAGTTTTCTGTACTCTCTTCCCCTGATTCAATGCTCCTGGAAACCATATATGGAGATAGTGACATCGTAAAATGGCAAAGTCTCTATCAGCCTTGTTCTCTGAGTGACTTCATGTAGCTAAATATCCTACCAACCTCAGCTTTTTGAACTTGCTATCGTCTGCTTATTATAGAAAACCTATGATACATTCATTCATTCAGTGGATATTTAAGGAACATTTAGGCGTGCTTTAAACATGTAAGACAAGGTTGGTGCTCTCAAGAGGTTTACATGCCTATGATAGAAAGGCAAAAGCCAATAAGCAAAAAGTCAATTAAATAAGCAAGAGGATTTCAAATGGTGATACTGCCAAAAAGAAAACAGAACAGGGCAATATGATGGAGAGAGTGTGGGGAGGTGGCTAAGGATGTTCTCCCTTAAGAGGTGACATTTTGAGACCTGAAGGAGGAGAAGCAGCCAGCTAGGGAAAAAGAACTCCAGGCAAAAGCCACAGCAAGTGCAAAGCCTGAGGCTGACATTTTCAAGGCATAGGTGGGGGACTGGGATGGCAGATTACTGAGTGAGAAGTATGATAAAGTGTGAGGTCAGAGACACAAGCAGGAGACATGCCATTAAGGATCTTTATGGACATAATAAGGAGTTTGGATTCTATTCTAAGTGCAATGGGTGGGTGCATGGAAGTCTCGTGAAGATTTTAGGAGGAAAGAGACATGATCCTATTAAGTAACTCATTTTCTTGGTGACTTGATTTTGAAATAAAGTAATACAGGAAAGTAAAACATTCAGAAAAAGAGGTCAGATTTGCATTTAGAAAGCCCACTCTGGCAGTTCTGTGGAGAAGATATTTTAAGGAGGCAAGAATGGATGTGGGGATGCCAGTCGGGAGGCTACTGCAATAGACTAAACAAGTAATGACGGTGGCTCAGACAAGAGTTATGGCACTGGAGATGGAGGTAAGCAGACGGATATGGGATAGATCTTTAAGACAACCTTAGGTGGACTTGTTGATGGTTTTGATAGGGAGTGAATAAAAAGAATCAAGGATGAATCTCAGCCTTTGACTTCTTCAATAATATAAATGGTAGGTCATAATTTATATATAAAAAATGCTGAAAAGATTATATAGCACATACAAAGTCACGGAGGCTACAGAAGGCAGGAATAGGACTTGAATCATGATTTTATTTAAGCTAGTTTTTCCTGCTTATAGGCTGTCTCTATCCTATCTGCCATGCTTCTCAATACTCTGGAATTGATGACAATAGAAAATTCCAGTGTGGTTTTATTTTTGTTCAACCATGCCGTATAAATTGACCAATGACTTCCCCACTCATCTCAGATCCAGTATTGCATGGACTTGTATACTGTGGAAGGAGTGATTTGAAATAATGTTCGGAAGACACTTGACAATGTCTACCATACAGCAAGTGCTTTTCAAAGGGTGGCTGTTACAAATTTTTAAAAAGAAACTTCAGAGCCAGATAGACCAAACTGGAATCTTTTTAAAAAAATTTTTACTTTAAATTCTGGGATGCATGTGCAGAACATGCAGATTTGTTACACAGGTATACATGTGCCATGGTGGTTTGCCGCACCTATCAATCCGTCATCTAGGTTTTAAGCCCCATGTGCATTAAGTGTTTATCCTAATGCTCTCCCTCCCTTTCCTCCTCACCCCTTGACAGGCACTGGTGTGTGATGTTCCCCTCCCTGTGTCCATGTGTTATCATTGTTTAACTCCCACTTATCAGTGAGAACATGCAGTGTTTGGTTTTCTGTTCCTGTGTTAGTTTGCTGACAATGATGGCTTCCAGCTTCATCCATGTCCCTGCAAAGGACATGAACTCATTCTTTTTTATGGCTGCATAGTATTCCATGGTGTATATGTGCCACTTTTTCTTCATCCAGTCTAGCATGGATGGGCATTCTGGTTGGTTCCAAGTCTTTGCTACTGTAAATAGTGCTGCAATAAACATACATGTGCATGTATCTTTATAGTAGAATGATTTCTAATCCTTTAGGTATATACCCAGTAATGGGATTGCTGGGTCAAATAGTATTTCTGGTTCTAGGTCCTTGAGAAATCCCCACACTGTCTTCCACAATAACTGAACTAATTTACACTCCCACCAACAGTGTAGAAGTGCTCCCATTTCTCCACAGCTTTGCCAGCATCTGTTGTTTCCTGACTTTTCTTTTTTTATAAGACAGAGTCTTGCCCTGTTGCCCAGGCTGGAGTGCAATGGTGCAATCGTGACTCACTGCAACCTCCACCTCCCAGGTTCAAGCCATTCTCCGGCCTCAGCCTTCTGAATAGCTGGGATTACAGGCATGTGCCACCATGCCCGGCTAATTTTTTGTATCTTTAGTAGAGATGGGGTTTCACCATGTTAGCCAGGCTGGTCTCAAACTCCTGACCTCGTGATCTGCCCATCTTGGCCTCCCAAATGTTTCCTGACTTTTTAATAATCACCATTCTGACTGACGTGAGATGGTATCTCATTGTGATTTTGATTTGCATTTCTCTAATGACCAGGGATGATGAGCTTTTTTTCAAATGTTTGTTGGCTGAATAAATATCTCCTATTGAGAACTATCTGTTCATATCCTTTGCCTATTTTATGATGGGGTTGTTTGTTTTTGTTCTTATCAATTTGTTTCAGTTCCTTGTAGATTCTGGATATTAGCCATTTGTCGGATGGGTAGATTGCAAACATTTTCTCCCATTCTGTAGGTTGCCTGTTCACTGTGATGCTAGTCTCTTTTGCTGTGCAGAGCTCTTTAGTTTAATTAGATCCCATTTGTCAATTTTGGCTTTTGTTGCAATTGCTTTTGGTGTTTTACTCATGAAGTCTTTGCCCACGCCTGTGTCCTGAATGGCATTGCCCAGGTTTTCTTCCAGGGCTTTTATGGTTTTGGGTTTTACATTTAGGTCTTTAATCCATCTTGAGTTAATGTTTGTATCAGGTGTAATGAAGGAGTCCAGTTTTAGTTTTCTGCATATGGCTAGCCAGTTTTCCCAGCACCATTTATTAAATAGGGAATGCTTTTCCCACTGCTTGCTTTTGTCAGGTTTGTCAAAGATCAGATGGCTGTAGATGTATAGTGTTATTTCTGAGGTCTCTGTTCTGTTCCATTGGTCCATATATCTGTTTTGGCACCAGTACCATGCTGTTTTGGTTACAGTAGCCTTGTAGTATAGTTTGAAGTCAGGTAGCATGATGCCTCCAGCTTTGTTCTTTTTGCTTAGGATTGTCTTGGCTATATGGGCTCTTTTTTGTTCCATATGAAATTTAAAGTAGTTTTTTCTAATTCTGCAAAGAAAGTCACTGGTAGCTTGATGGGAATAGCATTGAATCTACAAATTACTTTGGGCAGTATGACCATTTTCACTACATTGATTCTTCCTATCCATGAGCATGAAATGTTTTCCCATTTGTTTGTGTCCTCTCTTATTTTCTTGAGCAGTGGTTTGTAGCTCTCCTTGAAGATGTCCTTCGCAGATTTTTTTTTTTGAGACAGTCTCATTCTGTCACCCAGGCTGGAGTTCAGTGGCATGATCTCAGCTCACTGTCACCCCTGCCTCCTGGGTCTGAAAAATTCTTCTGCCTCAGCCTTCTGAGTAGCTGGGACTACAGAAACATGCCATCATACCTGGCTAATTTTTGTATTCTTAGTAGAGATGAGGTTTCACCATGTTGGCCAGCCTGGTCTTGAACTTCTGATCTGAAGTGATCCACCTGCCTTGGCCTACCAAAGTGCTGGGATTATAGGCATTAGCCACAATGTCTGGCCAGAACTGGAATTATTGTCCTACCAGTTATTAATATTAGGCCACACAAATATTGATAGTTATTGCAATGCTCTTCTTCTATTTCTTCATCTGAAAATGAGAAAAAAATTGTAAAAGTTAAAAGAGATAATATATACAAACTACTTAGAACAGTGCCTGACACTTAGCGAGAGTATTATTATTAGTATTATGTATTAGGACAGGGAAACGAAAAGATAGAAGAAATGACTACTTCTTAAGTACACATTGCTTAGTAAAATTTATAAGCATAACTCCATTTACACATATATTAATGCTGCAAGCTTGATATTTTTATTTTCATTACAAAGATGAAGAAATTGAGACTCTCTGGGTTTAGGCAGCTATATAATATGGACTCAAATTTATTGAATGTTTGTTTCAGGCACTGTTTCCAGGCTTATATATGTATTAATCATGTAATCTAAAACCTTATGTGAAAGGTAGTATTATTACTACGTTTTTACTAATGAGAATATTGACATTCAAGATTTTTAGCTACTGCCCAGCCTCACGAAAGCCAGAAAATGATAGAATGAGCACTTCAACTTAGATGCACCTGGATCTAAATTCTTAGCTTAGTCACCATGTTTAACTACTAGCACAAGTTCTTCCCAGGGCTAACTTAGAACTGAGAGAACACACAGGCCCTTGTAAATCATACTTTGTTTTGATTTCTAGAGTCAACATGTCAGAATTCCAGGAAGTGTAAATGCTCTGAGGCAGAATACAACTTAGCTTAAATCTCGAATACTGATTCCAATCCAAAATGCTCTCCTACATTGTCCTGAGAACTCTTAATATGTCTTATTAAAGACAAAAAAAGAAGAGGCATATAAAAGACATATTAAGAGTTCCCAAGACAATGTAGGAGAGTATAAAAGTATAGCCAAGTTATAAAACAGGATGACTTCATAAAAGAGGATGATTTTGGAGTATAAAAGTATAGAGTATGAAAGTATAGCCAACTAAAGCCAAGTTACCATAAAAGTATAGACAAGTTATCATAAAAGAGGATGATTTGGGAGTAGATTTTTCTAGGTAAGCTAAAATTCACATGCTCACAATGAGTATTGGTGGCACAGATAAATCAAATAATTCATAACTAGAATTTAATTGTAGGGCTTTCACTTCAAGTATCATGATCTTCAAGTATCTTGAAGTGAAATGTACTATGTAGTATTTTCCATAGGATCAACCTTTTGATAGGTACCAACTATAAGCCCTGGACAAAATATAAATAACAACTTCAGGGCCAGGTGCGGTGGCTCACGCCTGTAATCCCAGCACTTTGGGAGGCCGAGGCGGGCAGATCACGAGGTCAGGAGATTGAGAACATCCTGGCTAACACCCTGAAACCCCGTCTCTACTGAAAATACAAACAAATTAGCCAGGCGTAGTGGTGGGCACCTGTAGTCCCAGCTACTCAGGAGGCTGAGGCAGGAGAATGGTGTAAACCCGGGAGGTGGAGCTTGCACTGAGCAGAGAGAGAGCCACTGCACTCCAGCCTGGGCGACAGAGCGAGACTCCGTCTCAGAAAAAAAAAAAAAAACAACTTCAGAATGCATTAGAGATTAGGCAACATAAAAATAAATTAGGAAAAGTCTACCTTTGAAGAAATAAATGGCATTGAGTGAGTTTTCAATTTTTATGGAAAAATTTCAAGAGAGAGAGAGAAGAGGAGCTTCAAATTTTGTGTATAAATTCTGCCCAAATCCATGGCTGATCCCTGAAATACACAGAATCCATGCAGCCTCAGGCTAAAAGAAATGAATAAACAAAACAAAATCCAGATTCTCTACCAAAATCCAGAGTCTCTACAGTATATTAACGACAATGTTCAATATAAAGTCTAAAATTACTAGATACACAAAGACACAGGAACACATACTCATTTGCAAGAGAAAAAGAACATCAATGAAGAAAACTAAAGACTCAGATGTTGGAATTAGTAGAGAAGGATTTCAATAACAGTGCTACAGCTGTAATCATTATGCTCAAGGACTAAAAAATTATGTTCAATATGAACAATAAAAATGTTAGTGGAAAAATAGAAATGATTTTAAAATTGAGACTATTTAAGAATGTATTACTCTAAATTAAAAATGAACTTAATGGACCTTATAGCATATTGGAGATCTAAGAAATTTAGCATACTTGAAATTAGTTCAAAAGGAATTAGCAGTCTTAAGAATAGAGAGAAAAATATTTTTATAAAAAGTGAAGCCTCAGTGAATCGTGGAACAGTGTGTGTGTGTGTGTGTGTGTATACATAAAAATTGGAGTTCTAGAAAAAGACAGAAAAAATATTTTAAGAAATAATGACCAAAAGTTTTCCAGATTTTGGTGAAAGATATAAATTTACAGATCCAAGAATATTAGAAAAATCTAAAATGGGAGAAATACAAAAAAAAACAATACTTAGGCATGTCATAATCAAACTTCTTAAAATCAAAAAGAAGATAAAATTTTGAAAGAAGACAGAGGAAAATGATACATTACACATGTGGGACAATTGTTCAAATTACCACTGACTTCTCTACAGAAACAAAGGAAGCTAGGAAGTGATGTCAGCAAGATGGCAGAGTAGGTAGTCCCCCACTCACATTCCCCAATGGCAACAATAATTTCTCATCTATTCAAGGGCAAAAGTGCCTTTGTGAGAACCTGGGGATTTAGGCAGGAGTTGTAAAACCCCAGTGGAGCCCAAGACCTAGGAGAGTTGTTTTGAGAGGGTAGACCCACACCCAGGTGGTAAACTCATTGATGGTGGTCCTAACCCCAGATTTGGAAATGGCCCCATCTGCCTCATGTTTGTTGAAAGCCCTATTTGGACTTGATCCTGCTACCAAAACCATCTGCCTAGGGCTCTGACAGGAGGCAGTCATGCACAGTAGTACCTCAGAAGACAGGCCCACTGAACTTGCTCTCAACTGAGGCCCTGAAACAACCATCTAACTCAACTCCAGCCCATCTCAGCTGCAGTAAGCAATCAGTCCTGCTTGCATAAGGACCCAGAGAGAGACATGTCCATATGAGTCCCTAGGGCAGGATTTTGGATTTTAGTCCCCAGGCAGATGAGAAAGGGCCCTTAATCTTGCCTCCAAACCCTCTCAGCAGCAACCCAAGAGCAATTTTGCCTGTACATGGAGCTGCTGAGAGACTTGCCCATCTATGCCACTGGGACAGCCTTGCCAACTTCAGTCACATTGCAAATCCTGAAATGACCCTGAATTTCAGCCCAAGGCTCCCTCAGCTGAGGTCTAAGAGCAGTTCTGCCCAGCCAGGGAATAGCTGGGAGACAAGTCCATGTGAGTCCCCAGGGTCATACTTGCCAACCTCAGTCCCCATAGCAGATCCTGAAAAGGCCCTGAATCTCAACTCCAACTTAGCTACAGATCGAGAGCATGGCTGCCTGCCCAGGGACCCACTGTGAGACATGCCCATCAGTGACACCAGAGATAGGCCTGAATATTTCTGTCTCAGTTGTAGACCTTGAAGCAGCCCTGCAACTTGGTTTCCGCCCCTCTCAGCTGCAGACTGGAGCAGTACTGCCTGCCCAAGGTCTCACCCAGTGGTCCAGCAAGAGCCCTCCTGGGGACCTGGAGGAGTCATACCCATTCACAAACCGGACAACAGGCCTATTCCTGTGCACCTGAAGTAGACCATCAGCCCAGTACCAGCCCTTTGGACCAAGGTCCTGGAGACAGTAGAGACCACCCTGGGCCCAGACAGGATCCACGCCTGCTAGAGCCCCTGATAGTAGGCTCACCAACTGTGGACTCCATTGTGGACCCAGCAGCAGTCATGTTACCTGGCTCCAAAAGCATTTGGCTACAATCCCATAGGCAAACTCATTTGCCTGGGAACTTGTACTGCCTGGGAACTGTTAAGGGAACTTAACAGAACACAAACCTGCCAAAACCAGTTTCTAAGGCCTGGAAGAAGTATTTGCTCTTTCAAATGAAAAGGTTACTTGAATAACAAGAAATCAGACAAACATGAAACCACCAAAGAAAATTAACAAAGCCCTAGCAACCTACCACAAAAAATTGGATATCTATGAATTGTCTGAAAAAAATTCAAAATAATTATCTTAAAGAAGGTCAGTGAGATGCAAGAAAACACACCTAAACAACTAAATGAAATTTAAAAAAATAACAACGCATAAAAGTTTTTCTTGCAGGGCATGGTGGTTCATGCCTGTAATCCCAGCACTTTGGGAGGCCAAGGCGGGTGGATCACTTGAGGTTAGGAGTTCGAGACCAAGCTGGCCAACATGGTGAAACCTACACTCTACTAAACATACAAAAATTAGCCAGGTGTGGTGGTACATGCCTGTAATCCCAGCTACTTGGGAGGCTGAGACAGGAGAATTGCTTGAACCCAGGAGGTGGAGGTTGCAGTGAGCTGAGATCACGCCACTGCACTCCAGCCTGGGTGACAGAGTAAAAGCCTGTCTCAAAAACAACAACAACAACAACAACAGCGACACCTTTTGGCAGTGCACAATTATTTTTTAATGGAATCTTTAGAATTTTTCTACTTATAAGATCCTGTCATCTGCAAACAGAACTAATAAACAAATTCAGTAACCTTGCAGGACACAAAACCAACGTACAAAAATTAATAGTGTTTCTATACACTAACAATGAACTATCTAAGAAAGAAATCAAGAAAACAATTCCATTTATAAAACACTCAGAAATAAATTTAACTAAGGAAAGTAAAATACCTGCAGACTGGAAACTATAAAACACTGATGGAAAAAATTGAAGAAGACACAAATAAATGGAAAGATATCCTGTGTTCATGGATTGAAAGAATTAATATTGTTAAGGTGTCCATATTATTCAGCGTGATCTATGGACTCGATGTAATCCTTGTCAAAATTCCAATGATATTTTTAACAAAAATAGAAAAAAACAATTCTAAAATTCATATGGAACCACGAAAGATCTCAAATACTCCAAATATGCTTGAACAAAAAGAGAAAAGCTGGAGGCATCACACTCCCTGACTTCAATGTACTACAATATACTGCAAAACTATAGTAATTAAAACAGCATGTTATTGTCTTAAAAACAGACATATGCATCAATGCAATAGAATAGAGCCCAGAAATAAACCATTGCATTTACAGTCAATTGATTTTTGGCAAACTTCCTCAGATAACATAATGAAGAAAGGACAGTCTTTTTAATAAATGGTGCTAGGCACCAACATGGCACATGTATACATATGTAACAAACCTGCACGTTGTGCACATGTACCCAAAGTATAATTTAAAAAATGGTGCTAGGAAAGCTGGATATCCACATGCTGAATGGCGTCAACCCAGGAGGCGGAGCTTACAGTGAGCTGAGATGGCACCACTGCACTCCAGCCTGGGCACAGAGCGAGACACTATCTCAGAAAAAAAGAAAGAAAAAAATGATATTGCTTAACATAAGTTATGAAATTTATAAAATGATAATGAAAAATGAACACAAAGCTGAAATGGTTAACATAAAACACTCAATTAAATGTAAAACAAGCAGGTTAGATTATGTTTTCTGACTCAGAATTATTGCTATACCTATACATGGCAAAATATTTTGGTTTCTGCTGTAAAGTGTATGCAGTAAAGCCTAAGATATTTGCTATCTGAAAACCACTAGAAGAAAACTGCCCCTAACCCTGAAGCTAGAGGTCAACCTATTGAGTGCATTCATATCACAAATATACCACGGATACTAATTATTTATAAGTCATTAAGAACAGGTGGTTTGTAAAATAAATAATCTTATATTTTTACATTGAATGAATACTCTAAGGTATTTTCTTAACCCACTTCCTTATCCTTATACAGTTATTCACTTTCTCAAGAAGGGATGATATTTAAAAGCTTTTAAAATATATTCATAAATAAAGTCTCCTTCCTAGGAATTCAACTCCACATTTCCCTTTTTAGCTAACTTCAGGGAACTCACCAGGAAATAAGTAGTTTGGCTTATAGCACAAGTCTTGGGAGTCTGGGGAATATACCTTTGAATCCTTTCAGTTCTTTGCCACTTACTGACTTTGTGACCCTTGAATAAGTTATCATGCACTGGGATTAATTTTAAGTGAGATGTCAGGCACATAATAAATGTTCAAGAAACAGTAGTGGTTATCTGTAATACTATATATACACTCCACTTTATTCCCAATAATTCACTTTAGAAAGTACAAACTACCTTCTCTCTTTCATCTAATTAGGACGTGCATGTTCTTTCTGCAATTAACTGGTACTTTAAATTCAGACTTATCTCCAGCCAGTGTTTAGGATGAGATAAACTAAGCATTGCCAAAGTAGTCTAGGCAAGGTTTGATGATGCTAGACCACTAGAATCCATAGAGTGGAGGGCTGGCTCTGCCACTCCCCAGCTATGGCCAAATCTCATATTCCACCAATGGGCACAACCACATGGACCTTCCAGGGTTGCTTAAAACAGTAGTCTCTAGGCATTTTGGGTTGTATAATCTATCAATAAAAATATTTAGAATACACATCTTCCCATCTGAGTGTAGCACTTACATTGTTCTACTGCACTAATATAGTATGCATACTATAAAACATAGATGAAAATGAGATAAAAGCATTAAAAGAATTGTATCTCAGTAATTTTTAATTTTATTAAATTATTAACATTATTTTAAAAATTAAATACAGATGGGGTCTCACTGTGTTACCCAGGCTGGTCTCGAAATACTGGGCTCAAGCGACCCTCCCATCTTGGCCTCCCTATGCACTGGGATTACAGGTGTGAGCCAACATGCCCAGCCGATAATTTTTTAAGTTTCTGTTCTCATTTCTTAGTCCCAGTGGATTGTCCCAAAACTCACTTTGGAGACCATTGGTTTAGAGGATTGAGTGAAATATTGCTCATGAAATGTGTTATAAGCTGTAAAGTGCTATTTAAGTGGTACATAATAATAATTTAGGTCGAGTGCAGTGGCTCACACCTGTAATCCCAGCACTTTGGGAGGCCTAGGCAGGTGGGTCACCTGAGGTCAGGAGTTCGACACCAGCCTGGCCAACATGGTGAAACCCCATCTCTACTAAGAATACAAAAAATTAGCTAGGCATGGTAGTGGGCACCTATAATCCTAGCTACTTGGGAGGCTAAAGCAGGAGAATCTCTTGAACCTGGGAGGCGGAGGTTGCAGTGAGCCAAGATCATGCCACTGCACTCCAGCCTGGGTGACAGACTAAGACTCCCAGACTCTGTCTCAAAAAAAAAAAAGATTCAAATATTACATTAAAATGTTACATAATAATGGCCCACCATAATAATGTCTACTATATTCCAGACACTTATTATTGTTATTCCCATTTTACAGATAAGGAAAAAAAGACACAGAGAGATCAAGGTCACAAAGCTAGTAAGTTGCAAGGCCAGGATTAGGCCCATCGTCTGTCAGACTCCGAAGCCAGTGCTCTAAAAATCTCTCAGGGATCAGAGTCTTGTACAATATCATTGGAGAATCAAGGCAGAGGTAACTGAAGGATGGATTGTAATGCTCCTCCTCACCCAGGCACAAAGCCCAAATCTTCCACCGTCCACAGAGTCTCACTTAAGGGATGGCGGTTCTGTTTAGTGTCCTTCCCAGGGATTGTCTTCATGCCAGGAACAATCCAGCTGACAGCAAAATATATCCTCTACCGGCTGCAAGCATCCAAGGCCAAGTGCATTGTGGCCAGTGAGGAGGTGGTCCCAGTAGTGGAGTCCATTGCACTGGAGTGTCCTGACTTTAAGACCAAACTCCTGGTGTCTCCACAAAGCCGGAACAGGTGGCTCAGTTTCCAGGAGTTATTTCAGTGAGTATTTTTCCCAGCCAATCTACGCTGCCAGCAACAACACAAATTATTGCTACATCTTGGAATATCTTTGCCTCCAAGGACTCAGGAACACTGTGAGTTGATCTGGGCTCCTACTCGGAAAAGAATTACCTAATAACCAGATTTAAGGGCATAAGGAAGGGATGTAGTTCTGCCTCCATCCTCCTGCTTCCTAGTGGTCTATAATGAGTATCCTGCATTATATGGCTCTTGCTTAAATCTGAACCAACCACGTATCCCACCACTCTTCCTTTTCTTCCTCAAACATGCCCTATCTCAGGGCCTTTGCACCTGCTGTTTCTTCTGCCTGGAGTGCTCTTCCTATTCCTTTTCATGAGTGGTTCCTTCTTGTCAAATTTTGGCTCAAATATTTTATCCTAAGTGAACTTCTCCTTGACCACATTACCCCAGCCTCGCAAGTAGCTGGGATTACAGGCATGAGCCACCACACCTGGCCCTGTTTTTGTAAATAAAGTTTTACTGGAATGCATCCACACTCATTTATTTACATGTTGTCTATGTAACAACAGCAGAGTGGAGTAGTTACAACAGAAACCTAGGCCCACAAAGCCTAAGATATTTGCTATCTGGCCCTTTACAGAAAAAGTTTGCCAACTCCTGCCCTAAACCGTAAGTTCTAAGAAAGCAGAGACTTTGATTGATCTTCCTATCCTCAGTTCCTAACACATAGATAGTGCTTAATATTTACTGAATGAATGAGCAAAAGAAATCACAACTACAGTTTTCTTCATATGTAAAATGAGGATAATTATACTGTACATATCTCTTGTTGTTTTGAGGATAAATTAAATGAATATGTGAGAAAGTGTTTCCTAAGATGTAAAAAAAAGAGTAAAATATTAATGGTATTATTCTTCAAAGAGGTGTTGAGTAGCTTATGTTTAAAAAAAAAATTATTCCAGGCCTGGTGCAGTGGCTCACACCTGTAATCCCAGCACTTTGGGAGGCTGAGGTGGGTTGATCACCTGAGGTCAGGAGTTTGAGACCAGCCTGGCCAACATGGTGAAAACCTGTCTCTAAAAAAAAAAAAAAGTACAAAAATTAGCCAGGCGTGGTGGCAGGTGCCTGTAATCATAGCTACTTGGGAGGCTGAGGCAGGAGAATCTCTTGAACCTGGGCAGTGGAGGTTTCAGTGAGCTGAGATGGCACCATTGCACTCCAGCCCAGGCGACAGAGCAAGACTCTGTCTCAAAAAAAAAAAAACAAAAACCAGAGAAGTTTATAGAAAGAGATGACATGTAAACCCTGCTGAATAACAGTTTTATTTGTTAGAATAAAATTTTCTCCCACTGATTAATATATACAAAATACTATTTGTCCAATCCCAAAATTCTTTCCCAAGGGCCACATCAGTGAATATTGCTTGTGTCTTTTATAAGCTGTGTAACCTTGGATAAGTAACATTTGCTGAAACTCTGTATCTTATCCATACAATGGAGATAATGATAGTATCTACCTCATGGGGTTGTAGGAGAATCAAATGTGATAAAACATGAAATTCTTAGCTGAATGCCTGGCATAGAGTAATCACTCCATAAATATTACAGTAATTATAACTGCAATCATTATTATAATTTTCAAGTTAACAAAGTCATTCAACAGTAGTGATTCCTAAGGTAGTGGTATTTATATTATTTGAATATACATCTCCATTAGTAAAATACTTTTTAACATACCCCCCCATACATGTATTTATTTATTTATAAATTATATACATGTACTTTTGTGCATTATACGAATACCAAAAATAAAAATTTTAGAGGATGAGTAAAAAAATACAATTGTGCCACTGCACTCCAGCCTGGGTGACAGAATGGAACCCTGTCTAGAAAACACAAAACACATAATTTTCAATTCTTGTCTCTTCTCTATCCCAGTTGCCTTGCACACTTCCTGAGCAGCAAGCACTTCCACTTCAGAGACTCCTGTCCTAAACAACTTTGCAATATTCTGTAGAGTCCCCAAGAAACCTTAAAGGAGCCACAAAATTTACAAACGATAAAGGACTTTAATTAAACTCATGTGGATCTCAAATTGAAATGTGCATATTTTGGGGGTAGTTTTCAAGATGGAAAAAATCCTCATTTCAAACTTTGAAGTGCCATAACTCCAAAAAGGGCACAGATTGTTTCTCTAAAAACTAGGGAAGGGAAAGCTGTCTCATTGCCAACAGTTGGCTAGTTTTTCAGAAGACTACACACGGCAATAATGTGGGCTAATTTTACACTGTTAGAGTTGATCTTCTATTCAAGGAGTTCATTTTAAGGCTTCTCACCCTCCTTCTGACTCTCAAGTGTATACGTTCATGAACACTTTCCAGAATATTCATAATGGATGAGGGAAAAGGTCAACATTATAAGCCAGAATTATATTTCTCTTTTTCTGTCCTAGTACAGAAGACCCTGTCCGGGACTCTGGATTCTGATCTTGAGGGGGTCAAGATGGTGCTCCAGTTTCAGGAACAGCAAGAGCAAAGATATGGAGGCAAAAAAAAAAAACACCCTAAGGTGTGGAAGGAATAGACTACACACAGTTTGGGCTAGCTAGAGAACAAAATATGGAGATAGAGTGAAGGCTGTAAGAGCAAACAGAGGCCAGATTATGGAAGATCTCATATGCCATGATAAATCTTAAATTGCCCCTGTAAACAAGGGATGCCATTGATGGGTTTAAGAACAGAAGTTCCAGGGCCAGGTTTGGATTAAATTAAATTAAATAGATTTATCTGGCAGCTATGTAGAGGATTAGTTTGAGGAGGACCAAACTGGAATCAGACCATCTTGGAGCCTAATCTAGGAAAGAAATGACAAAAATCTAAACCTGAGCTCTGATGAATAGGATGGAGGGAAAGCAGCAAACTAAAGAACTAGCAGGACTTAGAGAATATTGGATGTGGAAGATGAAGGAAGAAAGAGTCAAGGTTGATCTGCTTTTTGACTTAGGTGATCAGTGGGTGGGTACCATCGGTTGGAGAGAGAGAGAGAGACAGTCGATGTTAGGATAATAAGTTTACAGTTGGACATACAAGATCGAAGGTTCTGTGAACATTCAAATGTCTAGCAGGTGGTGGATATATGAGTCTCAGGAACAAGAGGCAAAGATACAAATCTGGAAGTCATTAGTATATACTTAGCTCTGAAAACCTGGAAAGACATAACTCAGAACTCAGGTATTCAAGGAAAGGAAGACAAGTTGGATAATGGAATCACTGCTTGTCACTCACAGATTGTGATGTCTTTTCTTTTAGATAGACAGACAGATGGATAGACGAAAGATAGATAGATAGGTAGATAGATGGATGGATAGATGAAAGGTAAGTAGGTAAATAGATAGACAGATAGATGCCTCCTACCAAAAGATTTCCATACTGGATTGAGAAGTATTTAAATATGAGGGGTCTCCCTGCAAGGTATCAGATTCTGTGAAGAAATCCCCCTCTCTCTAGCCCAACACATACCAATTTGACTCTATATTTGAATTGAAAAGAAAATCAATATAGCTGAATGAATGATCTTTTTCTATTTTAAGGGGAGGAAGGAAGTTACCAAGAAAACCATGTTAATATTTTCTGAAACTATTTTCAAATAATCTTCACTGTTCGACAGTCATGGTGGCTCACATCTGTAATCCCAGCACTTTTGGATCCTGGGGTGGGTGGATCACCTGAGGTCAGGAGTTTGAGACCAGCCTGGCCGACATGGTGAAACCCCGTCTCCACTAAAAATACAAAAATTAGCCATGTGTGGTGGCACATGCCTGTAGTTCCAGCTACTCAGACAGCTGAGTGAGGAGGATCAGTTGAACCTGGGATGTGGAGGTTGCAGTGAACCGAGATTACACCACTGCACTCCAGCCTGGGTGACAGAGTGAGACTCCATCTCAAAACAAAACAAAACAAAACAAAAAAAAATCCTCACTGTTTTTACAGTTTCAATGACAATCTCATTCATCATCAAGATGAATTAAAACAGCATCCTTAACCCTGTTCCCTTCAACCAGAGAAATTAAGACTACGATACACCAGTTTCAAAAATCCTTAGATATTGTATCAGTTACCCATCACTGAGTAACAAACCATCCCAGCACTTAGTGGTGTAAACAGTAGTATTTTATTTGCTCATGATTCCATGGGTCAGAAATTCACACAGGGCTCAGCAGGGGCAGCTGGTTTCTGCTCCACATCAGCCTGACTGGGGCTCGAGTATCCAAGGCAGGTTCACCCTCAAGTCAGGCTGGCTGCCAGCTGAAGCACCTTGGTTTTCCTGTACATGGCCTCTCTCTCCAGCAGGACAGTCTAAACATCTTTATATGGTGGCTAAGTTACCCCCCAGGGAAAGTGAAATCTATGAACCTTCTTGAGGCCTAGGCTGAGAAGTTCCAGAACCTGTGCCACAGTGCATTAATCGAAGCAAGTCATGGGACCACCCCAGATTCAAAGAGAGAGGACATATGCTCTGCTCTCCAATGAAGCAATGGCATACAGGGGTGGTTTGTTACTCAGTGATGGGTAACTGATAACAATATCTAAGAATTTTTGTATAGGGATTGTTGGCAGAAAAGCTGGGGCAGGACTGGCTTGTCTGTCATAAAATAAAAGAGTCTTGGAAGATGTCTGGGGTCCAGGGTCTAAAACCCCTCGTGGCCTTTGGAACAGCAAGCTCTGTGCCAAAGGGTGGAAGACTGCCCTGCCACACCACAAATCTAAGCCCATGGCATAAAACTCCTCGTGGCTTGGATGGAACCCAGGGTTCAGGGCATAAAACCCCTTGTGGCCCCTGGAATGTGCACAGACTTGTTGGTTGCTCTCCCAGGCTTATAAACATGCTCTCCATTATCGCAAGCAGCAGAGCATATTCTATATGCATCAAAGAAAATGCTAAACCATTACAGCTACACTTGATGCACTGCTACATTTCTACTCCCACATCCTCACACCCTCACCTGTTTACCCTCACGTCCTCACCACGTGCTTCTTTGTTTGATCACCAATAAATAGTGTGGGCTCCTAGAGCTCAGGGCCTTCGCAGCCTGCATACCAGCGTTGGCCCCCTGGACCCAACTTATGTACTCTTAACCTGTCTTTTCTCATTCCTTTGACTCCGCCGGACTTCGTAGCCCCCACGGCCTGGTATTGGGTCTGATCACCCCAACAGGGATAAAAGGAATCATGGAGCTATCTTTGTAGACAATCTTACACAGAGATTGTTATCAGTTAGAATGTCTTTGGATTTAGTAACCCAAATACAAGCGACTAAAACAATACAAACAAGTTTATTATCTGACAAATGAAAATACACAGGTAAGGTGGACTGAAAGTTGGTGAATTCAGTGGTTCAATGAAATTAACAGGGACCCAAATTTATTCATCTTCCTAACGTGCTACCCTTGGTATGAACCCAACATAGCTATGGTAGCTCCAGACATCCTGTACGTGCACAAAACTCAAAGGCCATAAAACAGGATGGGGCAAGGGAAGAAGGCTGCATCTCTTCCTCATGACTCTTTTCAGAACAAAGAAATATTTCCCATTAAAGCCATATATCTCATTGTCCATACTGCATCATGTGCCTAATCTTAAACCAAAGGAATGACTGTGACTTGCTTAGATTAATCAAGCTCCCCCAGGAGCTATACAGGACAGTCTTACCGGAAGCACTTGATTGCCTGATACCTGAACAAAATCAGTTTTATCAGTGAAAGGAAGAAGAAGAGGACAGCTATTTGATAAGCAACTCATTCTGTCTGCTACAGATGTCGAAGATATTGAACAAGAATTATTTATAAGTTTGATTCAAATATCAAAAGGTGCCAGCTGAAGCACCTTGGTTTTCCTGCACATGGCCTCTTTCTCCATCAGGACAGTCTAAATGTCTTTTAATAATACAAGATGTCCTTTAAATAATAAAAACTCCTGAAACATTAACAGCAATTTACAAAGATTCCATGCTGATTTTTAAAAACTCGTAGATTTTTCTAAAAAGCACTTGGAAAAAAAATCTTACAATAGATAAAATGCATGTCCTTTTGTTATTAATATTGAAAGTTATCTTGGCTATTTATTTAGGCTATAGGGAGATGAAGCTTAAAAAAAGAAGAAGAGGAAGGAAGAAGGAAGAAGAAGGAGGAGGAAGAGGAGGAGAAGGAGAAGAAGGAGAAGGAGAAGGGGAAGAAGGAGAAGGAGGAAAAAAAGAAGAAGAAGGAGGAGAAGGAGAAGGAGAAGAGGAAGAGGAAGAGGAAGAAGAAGAAGAAGAAGAAGAAGAAGAAGAAGAAGAAGAAGAAGAAGAAGAAGAAGAAGAAGAAGAAGAAAAGAAAGAAGAAGAAGAACTGGACTGTTAAATTTTTTAGCAGGGACTGATCTTCCAAGTCCCTCAAGGAGAAGGAAAAGGAGAAGAAGAAGAAGAAAAGAAAAGGAGAAGGAGAAGGAGAACTGTAAAATTTTAGCAGAGACTGATCTTCCAAGTCCCTCTAAGATTTCTTGAGAATCCCTCTCAGGAAAGCTTTGGATTAGGTTCAGTTCTGTTAACTATCTTCTGGTAACAAGAGGGCATAAGTAGCTGAGCAGAAGAAATATCAGAGTTAAACTGGCCATCTTACACCACCATCTTGGGGTCCATCCATATTTTGCAGATCCGCCTCTGAAGAGCACAGCTGTGTGGAAACAGGAAGTCAAGAACCAGTGGCCATTTATTTCACCAGTGGGACGACAGGCTCTCCTAAGATGGCCCAGCACTCTCAGAGCAGCTTCAGCATTGGGTTCACCGTCTGTGGAAGGTAGGGAAGAAAACTCTGGTTTTGGGTTTGAACTCCCCAAAGAGCTGCCAATATGTGTATCCAACTAATCGATACTTCTCCTTGAATTGCTATAAGATATTGCCAATTAATTGCTACCAAACAGAACTTGTGCTGGCCGTGCCCAACCTAGCTTAGTAAATGACACAATCTAACCAGCTGATCAAGCAAGAACTTAAGAATCGACCTTAATTCAGTCCCTTAACAACATGTCTGGCTTCCTTTAATCATTGCTAGGTAAATTTACCTACCCAGAAAGGCCTTCCTAAAAGAGAGACTATCCTAAGTTTTCACGTTACCCTATTTTATTTTCCTAATAGCATTTACACTATTTAAAATAATGATATACTTAATTCACTTCATTGTATATGTATTCGCTGTCACCTAAAATAAGAGCAGAGGTCTGGTCTCTTGCTCACTGCTGTAGAACAGTGCTTAGCACATTTTTACTTAACAAGTATTTGTTGCATCAATGGACAAACTCAAAAAATCATGCCAAACCCAGCCTCCCACTCTACTCTCAGACAACCTAGGATTCTGAAAAGGCCTTTAAGAAGAGTAGAGGTAGAATCTGTCAACTTGCCTGGGGCTTCTTTTGACCCTTCTCTGCAGCCCTTAAGGTTTGGGGGCAAGGTCACTCCTGAAAGATACCAGTTGTTTTTAATTTTTGTTTGTTTATTTTTGGTCTGTTTTGTGGCTTCTTCATATCATTTAGATATTGGCTGGATATCTAAGTCCTCAGATAGCATATGGAATGTGTCTGACACAGGCTGGGTCAAGGCCACCTTTGGCAGTATATTTTCTTCCTGGCTTTATGGAGCCTGTGTTTTTATGCATCAGATGGCACAGTTTGACATTGACACCTTCCTAGATGTAAGTCATGTCCTCCAGCTAGATAGATCTTTAGAGCTCTTCCTTGTCTCCCATAAAATCACAAAGAAATGATACCTCAGAATACCAGGCTTCTTGGGCTTCTGGAAATCATTTCTTTATAAGAAGCAAAGTCTCCAGGGCCTTGGCTTTTGAAATGTGTTTAACAGAGTGGGGCGGGGTGGGGGAAACAACTGCAACACTCTCAGGCAGGAAATCCAGACTTCTGCTTCAAATAGTTCAGGATTTGCTAGTGTCACTGAAACTGTAGCTACTTAAGAATCTGGTTCTAAATAACAGATTAGAAGTCTCAAATCTAAACAAATACTTCATTTCTAATTCAGTGAAACCAAGATAATAGCTGATAAACCATGACTCTTGTGCAGAGCAGAGATTAAAAGTGCGGGCACCTTTGCCCAGAGCAGCTCCTCTTACTCTTCCCCAAGTTGTTAATTCTCAGAACGTAATACTCTTCTGGAAATCAGACATGCATGCCCTGCCTTCTCAACCAGGGACAGCTAGATTGAGATATCAGATAATTCTAATTTCTTTAGCCTTTAGAAAAATGTGATTCAGGCCAATTATTTTCAACCATGACAAATCAATTAAGTTTAAGAAAATACATATTATTACATACAAACTACACCTATGTGTGAATAAAAGCTGTTCACCTGTTATTTTGCTAACTGGCCTGACACGGTGGTTTAAGGCAGAAGTCCCCCAGCCTTTTTGGCGCTAGGGACTGGTTTCATGGAAGACCATTTTTCCATGGTCAAGTGGGAGAGGGAGGGATTCGAGCTCATTACATTTATTGTGTGCTTTATTTCTATTACTATTAAATTGTAATGTATAATGAAATAATTATACAACTTACCATAATGTAGAATCAGTGAAAGCCCTGAGTTTGTTTTCCTGCAACTAGACAGTCCCATCTGGGAGTAATGGGAGATAGTGACAGACTATCAGGCATTAGATTCTCATAAGGAGCCTGCAACCTAGATCTCTCGCATGTACAGTTCACAATAGGGTACGCACTCCTATAAGAATCTAATGCCACCACTGACCTGACAGGAGGCGGAGCTCAGGCCATAATGCAAGTGATGGAGAGTGGCTGTAAATACAAATGAAGCTTTGCACACTAGCCTTGCCACTCACTCCTGCTGTGCAGCCCACCTCCTAACAGGCCATGGACAGGAACCGGTCTGTGGCCTGGGTGTTGGGGATCCCTAGTTTAAGGGCCTTAACATAAATGTAGGCTAACATAAGAACGGAGATCTCCACATCAGGTTTACAAAGTGCCCTAAAGTTGGTAAGTTAACTTTGCAGTTTCAAAACCTACATTTGTAAAATAAGAAGATTTTTATTTTACAAAGATCATGTGTGTATTTCAAGTGCTATAAAAACCTTTATAGATGTATACTATTCTTAGATATATACATTACACTTTATAAAAACAATTAGAATCCATGGAGCAGATACACATGGTAAAAATGCTGACTTACAGATTAAACATTTTTCTTTAACTATGACAATCCAGATAGCCCAGACATCCAATTTGAGCCTCCTCACAAATGCTTAAGTTTAATACAAATTACCAATAAGTTGTCCTATTTAGTGCGAAGAAAATAATATGGGTACTATAGACAGCTGTTAAGAAAGTGGTGAAAGAGTAATAAAAAGGGCTCAGGTGCTGGTGTACAATGTGTTTGCAGCTTTGATGATGAGGTCTTTGGAGTAGAAGCCTGTGAGGAAAGGTATACCTGTAAGTGCGAGATTGCCGATCACAAGGGAGGAGGAAGTGAGGGGCGAGGCTTGAATAATCCTCCTATTTTTCGGATGTCTTGTTCATCATTGAGGCTATGGATGATGGACCTAGAACATATGAATAGTATAGCTTTAAAAAAGGCATGTGTGCAGATGTGAATAAATGCTAGGTGTGGTTGATTAATGCCAATTGTGACTATTATAAATTCTAGTTGACTTGAGGTGGAGAATGCTATGATTTTTTTTTGATATCGTTTTGTGTTAGGGTGCAGATTGCTGTAAATAGGGTAGTAATAGCCCTGAGACATAATGTAAGGGTTTAGATTGATAAATTACTTTTTATTAAAGAGTGGAAGAGGATGAGTAGAAAAACTCCTGCTACAACTGTAGTGCTGGAGCAGAGTAGGGCTGAGACTGGGGTTGCACCTTCTATGACAGAGGGAAGTCAGGGGTGGAGGCTCAATTTGGCTGACTTTCCTACTGCCTCTAAGAGAAGGCTAACCAGTGGGAGGGAGTTGGGGGTAGGATTTAGAATAAATATTTGTTGAAATTCTTGTGTTGGAGGACAGGAGGAATCATGCCATAGCTAGAATAAAGTCAGTATCACTGATACGATTGTACAGGACTGCTTGAGGGTTGCTGCATTAGTATCAGCTCAGCTGTATCGTCAGCTGATTAGTAGGAAAGATATAATTCCTACACCCTCTCATTCAATGAAGAGCTGAAAGAGGTTGTTGGCAGTAACCAGAATGAGTACTGTTATTGATAAGGAAAATAACTAAATATTTGAAAAAGTGATTGATGTTACGGTCTGAGTTTATATGTCATATTGAGAATTCTATAATAGATCAGGTAACAAATAGTGCTACTGGGATAAATATTGTAGAAAAGTAGTCTAGTTTAAAGCTTAGTGAGGGTTTAAGGGTCTGGATCCTCATTCAATGTCAGTTTGAGACAATGACTTCTTGGTCTGTACACATAAATGTTGTGGGGATAAGGCTGATGATAAAGGGACATGTGAGAGATGATTTTACATAATTGGGGTATGAGCCTTTTTTAAATGTGCTGGTTAAGGTAACAATAATTGGTAAGATTAAGGGGACTAGGGCTGTTGTGATAGTGGAAGAATGCATGTTTGTTACTTTTATTTGGAGTTGCAACAATGTTTTTGGTTCCTAAGACCAACTGATGACTCTTATCCTTTAAAAGTTGAGAAAGCCATGTTATTAAACATGGTGGCATGAGTTAGCAGTTCTAGCACACTTTTAAGGGACATAGTGGAACTTCTCCAGAAGGAGGAGCTCTAAAACATTAGTATTTCTCTAGATTTAAGATGTCTAGGCCATTATCTTATGGAAGAATAATGAGCCCAGCAAATGTTTAAAAATTAAGAAAAAACCTAAAAAGTGCTGATTTCTGCATTTACTCAACTTACTCAAAAAACTGATATATTTCATAGAAATAGAAGTGGAAAGGTTCCAGTAGTTTAACTTATACATCCATAATCAATACTATACATGAATACGTGGGCAAGAGGTTACAAGATTCCACCATGAAAGGTAACTTGCAGCCCTGAGGAAGAATAAACCAGTTCATACTTTGGGTTGTTCTCAAATTCACTTGCTGAATTCAATTCTGTAGGTTTGTTACTGTAAGATTAATATATATACATTCCTTCCAGCAATTGGAAATTCCCAACAGACATACAGTCATTAGTGACAAGTAATAAATATTTGTTTTCTTTTTATTAGTATTATTATTATACTTTAAGTTTTAGGGTACATGTGCACAACGTGCAGGTTTGTTACATATGTATACATGTGCCATGTTGCTGTGCTGCACCCATTAACTCGTCATTTAGCATTAGGTATGTCTCCTAATGCTATCCCTCCCCCACCCCACAACAGGCCCCAGTGTGTGATGTTCCCCTTCCTGTGTCCAAGTGTTCTCATTGTTCAATTCCCACCTATGAGTAAGAACATGCGGTGTTTGGTTTTTTGTCCTTGCGATAGTTTGCTCAGAATGATGGTTTCCAGCTTCATCTATGTCCCTACAAAGGACATGAACTCATCATTTTTTATGGCTGCATAGCATTCCACGGTGTATATGTGCCACATTTTCTTAATCCAGTCTATCATTGTTGGACATTTGGGTTGGTTCCAAGTCTTTGCTATTGTGAATAGTGCCACAATAAACATACGTGTGCATGTGTCTTTATAGCAGCATGATTTATAATCCTTTGGGTATATACCCAGTAATGGGATGGCTGGGTCAAACAGTATTTCTAGTTCTAGATCCCTGAGGAATCGCCACACTGACTTCCACAATGGTTGAACTAGTTTACAGTCCCACCAACAGTGTAAAAGTGTTCCTATTTCTCCACATCCTCTCCAGCACCTGTTGTTTCCTGACTTTTTAATGATTGCCATTCTAACTGGTGTGAGATGGTATCTCATTGTGGTTTTGATTTGCAGTTCTCTGATGGCCAGTGATGATGAGCATTTTTTCATGTGTTTTTTGGCTGCATAAATGTCTTCTTTTGAGAAGTGTCTGTTCATATCCTTCACCTGCTTTTTGATGGGGTTGTTTTTTTCTTGTAAATTTGTTGGAGTTCACTGTAGATTCTGGATATTAGCCCTTTGTCAAATGAGTAGGTTGCAAAAATTTTCTCCCATTCTGTAGGTTGCCTGTTCACTCTGATGGTGGTTTCTTTTGCTGT
The DNA here is from genome assembly GCF_000001405.40 of Homo sapiens. Classification (NCBI taxonomy): domain Eukaryota; kingdom Metazoa; phylum Chordata; class Mammalia; order Primates; family Hominidae; genus Homo; species Homo sapiens. The sequence continues at coordinate 20,723,865 of NC_000016.10, forward strand.
GCAGAAGCTCTTTAGTTTAATTAGATCCCATTTGTCAATGTTGGCTTTTGTTGCCATTGCTTTTGGTGTTTTAGATATGAAGTCCTTGCCCATGCCTATGTCCTGAATGGTAATGCCTAGGTTTTCTTCTAGGGCTTTTATGGTTTTAGGTCTAACATGTAAGTCTTTAATCCATCTCGAATTAATTTTTGTATAAGGTGTAAGGAAGGGATCCAGTTTCAGCTTTCTACATATGGCTAGCCAGTTTTCCCAGCACCATTTATTAAATAGGGAATCCTTTCCCCATTGCTTGTTTTTGTCAGGTTTGTCAAAGATCAGGTAGTTGTAGATATTCATCCCTGGGATGCAAGGCTGGTTCAACATACGAAAATCAATAAACATAATCCAGCATATAAACAGAACCAATGACAAAAATCACATGATTATCTCAATAGATGCAGAAAAGGCCTTTGACAAAATTCAACACCCTTCATGCTAAAAACTCTCAATAAATTAGGTATTGATGGGACATATCTCAAAATAATAAGAGCTATCTATGACAAACCCACAGCCAATATCATACTGAATGGACAAAAACTGGAAGCATTCCCTTTGAAAACTGGCACAAGACAGGGATGCCCTCTCTTACCACTCCTATTCAACATAGCGTTGGAAGTTCTGGCCAGGGCAATCAGGCAGGAGAAGGAAATAAAGGGCATTCAATTAGGAAAAGAAGAAGTCAAATTGTCCCTGTTTGCAGATGACATGATTGTGTATCTAGAAAACCCCATCGTCTCAGCCCAAAATCTCCTTAAGCTGATAAGCAACTTCAGCAAAGTCTCAGGATACAAAATCAATGTGCAAAAATCACAAGCATTCTTATACACCAATAACAGACAAACAGAGAGCCAAATCATGAGTGAACTCCCATTCACAATTGCTTCAAAGAGAATAAACTTACAAGGGAATCCAACTTACAAGGGATGTGAAGGACCTCTTCAAGGAGAACTACAAACCACTGCTCAAGGAAATAAAAGAGGATACAAACAAATGGAAGAACATTCCATGCTCATGGGTAGGAAGAAACAATATCGTGAAAATGGCCATACTGCCCAAGGTAATGTATAGATTCAATGCCATCCCCATCAAGCTACCAATGACTTTCTTCACAGAATTGGAAAAAACAACTTTAAAGTTTATATGGAACCAAAAAAGAGCCCGCATTGCCAAGTCAATCCTAAGCCAAAAGAACAAAGCTGCAGGCATCACGCTACCTGACTTCAAACTATGCTACAAGGCTACAGTAACCAAAACAGCATGGTACTGGTACCAAAACAGAGATATAGACCAATGGAACAGAACAGAGCCCTCAGAAATAAATATTTGTTTTCTTATTCCTAGTAGTGACCACGGGATGGGCACATGTTAATGGAAGGGAATGACAGGGTGTAGATATCAGCTCCAGTCATAGCCTTTCATTGACCGCTTCTGACTTCTGTGTCTTTCTCCATCATCCAGACACTTACCACTTATCCCATCACAACCCTGTGCAGCCCTCCCACCATGTACTGGATGCTTCTACAAAAAGACCTTAAGAGGTACTTGGGCAGAAATTTCCACTTGAACCACAAATGATAGCTACCATCCAGCATCACAGATCTCCCTTTTTCAGCACAGGGCAGCCCAGACTTTCTGAGTCTTACCACTACTGACATTTTGAACCAATAATTCTGTGTCATCGAGGGGGCTGTCATATGCATTACAGGATATTGAGCAGCATCCCAAGACTCTACTCGATGCCAGTAGCACCTCCTCCCCACCATCTGCGACAATCAAAAATGTCCCTAGGCTGGGCACAGTGGCTCACACCTGTAATCCCGACACTTTGGAAGCTGAGGCGGGCAGATCACCTGAGGTCAGGAGTTCAAGACCAGCCTGGCCAACATGGCAAAACCCTGTCTCTACTAAAAATACAAACATTAGCCAGGCGTGGTGGCACACAACGTGTAATCCCAGCCTCTTTGGAGGCTGAGGCAGGAGAATCGCTTGAACCCGGAAGGTGGAGGTTGCAGTGAGCCAAGATCGCGCCACTGCACTTCCAGCCTGGGCAACAGCGCAAGACTCCATTTCCAAAAAAAAAAAGTCCCTAGACACTGCCTAATGTCTCCTGGGGGGCAAAATTGTCCCCTAGTCTACAAACCACCGGAATATCCTCTAGGACAACTGGACATTTTTCCAGGAACAACCAGAGCTCTATAGTCCCCGAACTCCCCCTCAAAAAATTTATCCTCTAGTACTACTTTTTAGAAACACTGTCATTTAGAACCAGCCCTCAAAAAAGAAAGAAAAGCATATTTATACTGCCTTGAAGAGAAGCTAACAAAGTTTGACTTGAAGGTTATATTCAGTTTAGCCAAACTACATGAACATCCAGTAGAGTTACAATGTATATTTGTTTAATTCAAACTCAATACATGAGGAGAGAAAGGAAGAGAGGAGCAATTTAAGAAGTGCAGGCTTGTCCATCCTCTTTTGCCAACAAAGTGTGGATGCCCAAGAGGGAAAGTGCTATGCAAGACAGAATAATGCAAATACAAATCTTCTCTTTCCCTAGTCAGTGTCAACGCCTTTGGTCCTATGTGAGCATCTTGCTCACATTTCAATAGTAATTCAGGGACTATTCAACGATTATTCTGAATGCATATGATTTGTATTCTACCCACATCCTCTGGTTCATTTGGGGCCTCAGTGTTTGAGAAGCAAGCTGTTCTAGGCTTTCTCACCTGTCTTCAGTAACGCCAGTGGTTAAAAGCTAAGCTCAAAATCAAACAGGCAGGGCCCTACTACTTACTAATAGTGTGGCCTTGGACACTCAAGATATCCTTACTAAGCCTCCATCAACTCCATCTATAAGAGAGGATTAAGAGCCACCTCACAAGGCTGTGGTGAGAATTTAATGTAAGTGACTTGCTTGGTGAGATCACCTTGACAAGTGGGAGGTGCCTGGTACAGAGTATCATGAGTATCAACTCAGCCCTTTATTATTTGGAAGGCCTTGGGCAAGTTCTTTAAACTCTCTGAGCCTCAATGTCCTCATGTGTAAAGTAGGGGTTGAGAGGAGTCTAAGAATGCTTCTAAAGCCCTTATAACCTAGCAACTGCTCAATCAGTATTAGCTGTTATATCATGTGGCTTGTAATAAGCACTTAGTATCATTAATAGCATTTTCTCCCACCTTTTAACATCTTTAATAGCTAAGTTCTCCTCCATCTGCTAAAATGTAAGCTGTCAGAAATTTTTGTTATAATCACTAATGTGCCCCATATGCCTAGAACAATGTCTAACAATACAGTAGGTGTTCAACAAGTTTTTGTTGAATGAACTTTCCTAAGACTTGCCTCTCCTAGCTTCTATGCTTGCTGCTTGAATGTCCTAATTATCTTGCAGGGAAAGCACTCAGGTTCCTCTCAAAAAGGCCCCATGCAACTCTGTCTCTCCAGATATAAATTCAAGAGGCTGCGGCACTGCTTGACAGGAGGGGAGGCCCTCACCCCGGAGGTGCTGGAGCAGTGGAGGGCACAAACTGGGCTGGAGCTACATGAGAGCTATGGACAGACGGAAGTGGTATATTTAAAGGGCAACATTTATGTTTAGTATATTTGGGGGCCTTTCTGCCCCAGGATTTTCAACCTGAGCCCCTGAAGTGCCTCCATCCCACTCTAAATTTTTACAGTTTCCCAGTATACCTCATCTTGCCAGTAGTTACCAAAACTTGCAAACTGCTCAGTTAGGTTTTGCTAAAGGGGTGATGATTATTATTCCATCATTCCTGCCTCCCCCTCATGCAGGAGAAATCTCAGGGGCTTTAGCAGGTGGGTGAGGCTCAGAACTGAGCAGCTCATCTCTCCAACTGTGCTGGGAAGAATCATCTGAGAGCCTCTGTGGGGAATTTATTCCAGGGTGCACTTAATGGAGTCTAAGGAGTAGTTTTCAAAGTGACCAGTGGTCCCCAAACCAGCAACATCAGCATCATCTGGGAATTTGGTAGAAATGCAAATTCTTGGACTCCACTCCACACCTAATGCATTAGAAACTCTGGGATGAGGCCCATAAATCTGTGTTTCAACAATGCTCCAGAATCTCCAATTTGATTCTAAAGCACACCCATGTTTGAGAACTACTGGTCTCAAATAGTATATTTCAGAAGGTGTGCTTAAATACTGGGAAAATCAGTCCAAACTGAATCTTAAGTTTCATTGTCATGATATAGTTTCAGAAAATGAATTTTTGTCTACTTATGCAAAGTTTGTCCTCTCAATGGGAATAATTTGTGCCAATCAGAAAGGACAAAAAATTAAACCAGGCTCAATGGGGAAAGAATGCTTCACTATGATGTCCAGGTAGGTTGAGAAAATATCTGACCGGTTCAATAAAGCAGAAAGAACGTTTTACAGTTTTCTGCTATTCACTGTACAACTATTTACAACCTGCTTTCATTTTGTGAAAAGAAAATTTTAAGAAAATCAATTGTTTCTTTCATTCTAGATTATAGATGAAAATGGCAATGTTCTACCACCTGGCAAAGAAGGGGAAATTGCCCTCAGACTAAAGTCTACACAGCCCTTCTGTTTCTTCTCTGAATATGTGATATGAGGATAGAAAGTGCTAGTCATGTCTTAATACAGACTTTGGTCCAAATTTCATTTCCACCATGTCTTGCTATGTAACCTCAGGCAAGCAACAAAATCTATTTCATCAGCAGTAAAATGCAGAGACTATCACCTATCACCTGAGTACTATAAAGATGAAATTCCAAATGTAACAAACTGGTTGCAGTGGTTATCCTCAGAAAGGAAAACTGGACAGGGTAGGATGGGGGTGCAGTTGGGGGGTGCTAGAGGTGGAAGAGGGGCTTTTTATTATACTATTTGGGACCTTTTATATCTTATACTAGGAACTACCTTTTTTAAAAAATTAATTTCCAGCCAGGGACAGTGGCTCATACTGTAATTGCAACATTTTGGGAGGCTGAGGTGGGAGGGTGGCTTGGGCCCAAGAGTTCAAGACCAGCCTGGGAAACATAGTGAGACCCCGTCTCTACAAAAACATAAAACAATTAGCCAGGTGTGGTGGCACATGCCTGTGGTCCCAGCTATCCAGAAGGCTGAGGCGACAGGATTGCTACAGCCTGGGAGGTCAAGGCTGCAGTGAGCTATGATCAAGCCAATGCAGTCCAGCATGGGCAACAGAAAGAGACTCTGTCTCAAAATATAAAATAAATAATTTCCTTTAGAAGTACAATTTGTAATGTACTTGTCACTTAATGAGTGTTATACCCATTTCTGTTCTGACCAAACTAATCCCCAAATGTCATCTTTGATTCCTAGGACAGTCCAGAGAAAACTGCTGCCACGGTAAGGGGAGATTTTTATGTCACTGGAGACAGAGGAATGATGGACAGTGATGGGTATTTCTGGTTTGTCGGCAGAGCTGATGATGTCATTATTTCCTCTGGGTTTGTAGATTTGCCACTCTTAAGAGGCAAGGATTGACAGGGGGGGAGCTCTCCTACTGGAGGATGTGGTGGTCAAAGGCTTCTTTTCCTTTTCAGGTACCGTATTGGGCCATTTGAAGTGGAGAGTGTGCTTGCTGAGCATCCAGCAGTTGTCAAATCAGCTGTTGTCAGTAGTCCATATCCAATTTGTGGAGAGGTAGATGAATATCATTAATTAAAGTAGCAACTTTATATTTTTGAGTTCTGTCCATTTGACCATGGTAAAGGCTGAACCAAAAGTGGTCATTTAATTCTCACTATGAGGCATGCATTTGGCCAAAATATAAACCAGGCAACCAACTTTACAATAAGTCGTGTCCCAAAGGGGAGCTATTAGGATTCTTTTGAAGGCAAGTGACAGAAACTCAACTCAAACTGCCTTAAGTTAAAAAAAAAAAAAAGACATTTGGCTCATATAAATGACAAGTATTCAAGTACAGCCACATCCAAGGGTTCATGTAAGGTTGGCAAGTCTTAGTCTCTCTCCATTTTTGGCTCTGCTGTTCTTTATGCTGGCTCCATTTGAGCAGGTTCTTCCTATTTGATAGCAATCAACTCCAGACTTACACAGGTTAACAATCCTCCACCCCTCCAGGAAAGGACAGAGCTCTCTTTTCAGTCATTTCAAGTAACTCTCAGGACTGCATTTGCCTACCTTAGATCACATCTCTCACCAATGTGGTTCAGGGAATGATATATGCTGATCGGCCAGACTTGGATCATATGTCTATCATTGGAGGTAGGGGTTGGTGTCAATCCCACCAGAGAGGATAGGGTAATACTCTATAGGAAAAACTACAGTAGCTACTAAAAAGGGGGAACAGATACTGCATAAGCATATGCAGATTTCACTGAATAGGCAGCAGATTTCACTGAATGGACAACTGTCATGGAACTCAGAATACATTTTCTCACAGAAACAAGGCAGATAGAAAATTGTGGCCAGTTTCCCAAACAAGTCTCATGAGCCTGTTTAGGACCAATGGGAAGGAAACTCTGGCAATGACAATAATAGTCTTAATTCTAGGAAGAAGCCCAATTTTCCTAATTTCCTTTCCTCATGGAAGTTTCCTACAGACACAGCAAGTGACAAAATTTCAAAAGTTTGTCTCTCAGCATCCTCCCACATCTGTACCTCCCTCTCACACACCAGTGAGCCTCTGCAGTGACACTATGGGTCCCCTACTCTTACCTCTTATACCCCCTCCACTCCCATTTATTCCATTCTCAGAAATAGTTTCCTCCTGCTGCCATGTTCTCATCCTCTCAATATAAATGATTTCAGCTGAAGAGCAGAAGTAACCACCAATTAGAATCAATGAATAATATAAATTATGCTTACTAACCTCAGTAATTATCTAATTGGTAGGTTTTAAACAGTATTACAAAGAGAAGCAAACAATATGAGGCAAAAAACGACCTTATAGAGATAGATCAATCTTTCCTGAGAGTTTTTTGTTTCATTTTGTTTTGTTTTGAGATGGAGACTTGCTGTCACCCAGGCAAAAAGCAGGAGTGCAGTGGTGCAGTTATAGCTCACTGCAACCTCAAACTGCTGGGTTCAAGCATCCTCCCGCCTCAGCCTCCTGAGTCGCTAGGACTACACATGTGCATTATCGTGCCCTGGCTAATTTTTTCTTTTTAGTCTTTATAGAGATGGGGTCTCACTATGTTGACCAGGCTGGTTTCAAACTCCTGAGCTTAAACTATCCTTCTACCTTGGCCTCCCAATGTTGTGGGATTATAGGTGTAAGCCACTACACTCAGCCCCTTCCTGAGATTTGATCTCCCAGGATACACAGTCCTTCCTCCATTGAGACTCTTCAAACTCCCTTGAAACCACATATTCTCTGGGAGCTCCATTTGTCCCCCTGGTACATGCTTCTAGTGGTATAGATTCGAAGGAGTAAGTGGTCATCTATAAAGCAAAGACTGCCTGTGAAATAAATGGGATCACTCTGAAATGTTAAATACATGTGTGACCTGTAAATAGAACTTAGCTTTCTTGAACCGCTGCACTCCTCATACTCACAAACCATTTACCTGGAATTATTCTCAAAACCTCACTTTGTAATTGTATCCAAGCTTTGTTCAGAAGCAATCTCTGGCATTTGCAGTCATCACTCAAACTGCTATTAACAAACAGTAAGTACCTATGTTCAGCATTGGTTGCAGATCCTTGATGTGTCTGAAAAACAGAGCAAGATAAATTATCTGTTGCAGGTGGTGAAAGCTTTTGTTGTCTTAGCTCCATCCTGTAAGTCCTACAGCCTAGAGAAATTAACTCTTGAGCTTCAGGATCATGTGAAAAAAATCAACTGCACCTTACAAATATCCAAGAAAGTAAGTATTTTGTCCAAAAGTTAAGTTTGGATGTTACCAAACTAAGACCTAAGCTAAAATGTAGATTTTACTGGATTTTGACTTTATAGTAGCTCATTATATAGGTAGAGGGCACCTTTGTTTAGCCCTAAGAACTTGAAAATGTTTTGTTAGAACAGTATAAATGCATTATAAACTAGAGCCTTTAATCAACTCTGCAATACTGAATCACTACTAAGATTCTTTCTAGAAATAATTTGTCCCATTCTGTATAAGAAAAGCACAGTGGCCAAGAATGGCCAACTGCCTTGTTTTTAGGGACAGCACTTGACTCATCTATCCTAGGACTCTTGGCCCTAATACCCATATAAATTCAAAGAACATACCTGTATGTATCAAGGGACCCCATTAATATTCAGAAAGAATACCCAAAGAAACCATGAAATCTTTCCTGAAACTTTCATCAAATAAGGATTTAAGAAAAATACTATATAAAGACATGAAGATGGCCCTGTAGTTTCCTTCTAACCATGGAATTGGTTGATACTGACTGATCCTCTGCATGAAATTTCTGTTTTAGTTAGCATCATTTCAGTCAAAAGGTAGTAAATTTCAACCTAAGAACTATTCAACAATTTCTCCATTACATTCACTAAATTAATGAACTTTTGACTTTCAGAAAGGCTATTTGAGGACATTTTAAAATACAGTAGTCGTCTTATTTTGACAGAAGAGAATAAAAAGAGGATTTTTATGGTCAAGTCAGGGCAGAAAACTGTATATATTCCAAATTATGCCTAAAAAATCTTCTCCAATCTCCAGGGTCCAGCTCTGCAAAGACAAGAACTAAGTGTTCTTTTTGCATTTAGGTGAAGTCTCCACTTTCTAGAACAGTAGAGACCTAGGACTAGTTTGAACTAGGGGAAAGCAATGGGGTAAAGGGATTATTACTTTCTTGTGGCAAAGCATTTAAGTGAATTTGCACTAAAAACCCCCAAGATGGAGCTACACTGTCACCCTTCCTGTACAAACAGAACAGTTTCTGGTGTCTATGAGATTCAATAAGCTTAGGCTAAGATAATCTAGACTTTAAAATTCAGTCTCAGAGTTTCATGCAAGCTCTCTCCTATTGCACTGACAATTGGAAAAACGGAATCAAATGTCTCATAACGTTTTTCCGTCAATTAGGTGGAATTTGTTCAAGAACTCCCAAAGACAATCATTGGGAGAATCAAACACGTTTTAAGAGACCAAGAATAGGGACGAACATAGCTTGATAAAAAAGCTGAAGGGTTAAGTAGTAATATGATTGCTTTCTCGATTTGTTCCTGATAATTCAGTGACTACTCTCTTAAAATGTTTAAGATCCTTCCTGGTTTAAGTTTTTGTTTTCTACTTAGCTAAAAAATTAAAAAGTAAATAAAAGTCTAAAAATATATGGATGAAAATTGTTTCAATAACCAAACTGACAAAGGTAATGATGGTTTCTAGTGTTTAAAATTGCAGGAGTCAAATGATTACTTAGAAAAAGAAAGTGCACAATGAATCTGTATTTCATCTATCTTGTGCCTGATTAATTCAAAATAAAGATATATCCTAAATGTTCAAGACAATTTCTTCTACTTAACAACTTTATGAGACCAAACTTCAATATATTAAAATACTGTTAAAATGAGTATAAATAATTCAAAAATCAGTAAGTGAATTTAATGAAAGTAAGTACTGTATTACTATGGCTCATTTTGAAGCAAATTAACTGTAAAATATCTGAAACTTGGATTTAGAAGTATTAATTATTCAAGGGTAATAATTTTTTAATGTTTTTTAGGCTCATGTCCATGGCATTTTATAATTTGACATATAAACATATTTTATGATATATATATACTATAAAGCAAGAGATTTACTAAGAGTCAGAAAGAAAGAAAAAATATTAGAACACCAATTTTTAGGGAACAAATTTATTTTGATTTTTCTGAAAATATCAGGAACTATGAAAAAACAAGCTCGATTTCTGGCCGTACCAAAAGCAAAATACAAGTAAAAATAACATTTGAAAACCAAGTTTAACCTCAGAGAATCATGTTTTAAAATACAAAGTTTAACATTCTTTCCTCTATGGAGCTAAACAAGTTTTCTAAACCATAAGACTGCAGTTTTTTTATTTTTTTAACTGACGTAATTTTTTAAAAGAAAAAACAAAAGGGGAATAAAAAGCACTTCCTACCCTGGAATCCCGTCATTTATAAAATAACATGCTCAAATGTCAGTGAAAATAAACAGTTGATAAACCTGAAAACAAGTCTTTTAATGAGTTCAGGTTACAACCGAACACAGGATTTTGTAACTGGGAAAGAACAGCTTGTGTAACAACCGATTCTTACCAAATACAAATAAATATAAAAGACAATTTAAAAACAAACTGTATAATCAAAATCTTTCCGTAAAATAGCAGCTTTCACAAAGTAAAAACAATTTAGTTCCACAGAGTTGTATGCTCTGTAGGCATATGGCCAATTTTCTTCCGAGTCCTTTTGTCTTGCACTATCAAAATAGAATCTTTGTCTTGGAGCAAGTCTGCTGAAGAAGGCACCAAAATCCTATCCTCCCTATTCCCCTAACTGATATTAATAATCCTCTTATCAATCATTGCAAGGTAACTTCAATGTCATTAAGTATTAACATTCTAAATATGTAAAGCTATAGAAGGAAGGTCCTGCCTATTCTCTTTGCCCCTCTCAAATCATTCTAGTCTGGTTTACCAAACAGAACCACCAGCTAGGAGGATAAAAATACATTCCCATGTTCACTAGCCATTAAATGAACATAGCCACTTGTGCAGGAAGCCTAACATTTTTAGGATTTCCTAACTTTTTAAAACTTAAGGATAAGTCCATTTCTACAAGCTAATTTTACAGCTCCTTAATATTCTTAATCTGGACAGTTAATTTTGCAGACTTTGTTGGTGTCTGCCTTTTCAATTGTTTTACCCAAAAAGAGGCCTTGAAAAAACTTTCAAATTCAGGAAACCCCTAAACCCCTGCAGAGAACCCTCATGGTATGTGAGTGTGAGCACTAAGTTGAAGAATACTCTTATTTCACAGAAATCTAGGACTGTCAGACTAGGGCTGAGTTCATTCTCTTCCTTCAGAGACAAAATTTCAAGCTGAGCAGATTCAGAGACAAGGGTTCCTCATAGGTTATATACTAGTGCTGGGAAAAGGAGAGAAAATGCTATTTCATTGGGTCTTGTGGTTCCTCCAGCCGGGTTAGAACAAGATTTGAGAGTTGCACCCTTTATTTTCAAGGCCAAGTGGCTGCAGAAACATTTCAAGAATTCCTCTGGCAAGGTGGCAAGTCAGTTTCCTTTTAGATCTAAGAGTCTTGTCGCTTTAAGAAAAATTTTTTTCCCCAGAACCTTTCAGAGACTTGTCCATTTGTTCATGTGATGAAAAACGTCTGCAAAATAGGCTACTTTCTGTAGTCATTTTTCATTTCCAAAGCACTCAGCAAAAGCTGGCTGTTTTATTGTAAGTACTCTGGCAATTCACCTTTCAATTCAAATATCCTGTAGAGAACGCTTCCTCTGAGAAGCCACTGGATGTCTGTATGGTGCAGGAGGTTTATGTGCTGTCTGTCCAGGTTTTTGTTTTGGGTGTTTTTTTTTTTTTTTAACATTTTTGCATAAATGGGTCTTTGATACAGGTAACCAGTTTTGTAACATTATTCAGAACTTCACTGTATCTTCAAGTTTTTGATATCAGCATCTCTGTGGAGAAAGCAGTGTGCTATAATGTCAACATCAGGATTTCTTTTTTTTTTTTTAATAACGCAAAATGACTTATGGAGACAACCACTGATGGGGCACCAGGAGTGTAGATACCAGACCTCTGGTTATCAGATATGATGTCACAACATTATATATTGGCCTTTGTTCTGGCAGGCTCCTAGCAATAGAAAAAGTTTTCTTTGAATTTCATCATTTACAAATCTTACAAATGCTACAGCATGACAAATATTAGTGAAACCTGTTGACTCATCATCCTGGATAGAGAAGCTGCTACTTTTCAGTTAATGACACAAAACCTTTTTTGCATCATATGACATATCATCAGTAAATCAACTTATTGAGAATAAAGTCTCTTCAACTTTGTACTGCATCTTGCCCCAGCATTTTAATGTTATTAGATTCTCACCAACCATGCATATTTTCCTTTCCTGAGATAAGTTCTGCTACTAAATAATTTGCTTCTTAAACCTTTTGACTAAAGGTGATTTCTGAACAAAAGCCTTACTGTTTTTGATAGTCCAAAAGCCATTTGAAAATAATGAATATCCTTTCTTGTCAAGTGGCTGTGATTTATTGTTACAATTGCTAGTTTTGTAAGTTGCATGTCACAGACAATGCACAATGGGACAGGAGAGCTTGGACTGAGTCCACATAATACCCTTGAGAAGTAGCTTTCTTTATTAAGACAGAATTTCTTTGTGTCCCTTGTTGCACTAGTATACTGAAGTATACTCAGAAGACTGAAGTTCTTCATCACCAACCTTTTCAGAAATGTCTGTAGTTCTATGCCTAAAATGGTTCTCGTCTCTCTCACATCTTGCCTTCCAAAATTGCGACACTGGACTGTCAGCTATATTACACACAAATGTTAAAAAAAAAAAAAAAAAACAGACATAAACAAGAAAATCACAAAAGTACAAAAACTTCACTAAACAATTCACTTCTAACCTACATGATCCACATTTTTGCAATGTTTACAACAAAGTGGCAGGCAGACAGCTGAGCTGTGGCATGTAAAAACTCCTTCCTTAGAATGAAAACTTCCCTCTGATTTTCTACTTCACAGGTAGTTCACTCCCTTAAGTCAGCTGGCACTGCAGAAGAGGAGCCTGGGAGAGGCCAACATCCCCCTCCTATCCTCCCCTCTTTGCAACAGCAGCACATGGGTCTGCCTCTACGTAATACCATAAAGGCTGAAAGATCCCTAAAAAAACTGTTAACAGGGCTGCGCAATCATTGCTCACTACTGTGAGAACAGCATAATGCAGCACACAAATAAAAAACTGTTTTTAGTCACAATTTAAGGTGGAGCCCCAGCAACATCTCGTAGAGCCCCAGGTGAGAAACCCACCTCCAACACCAAATGACTTCCTATGAGAAGTCATTTTCATTTGACTTGGATCCTTCTGTGGCTTGACTTGCAAGTTCAGGTTTGGCTCCTCCCTCATTTACCACCTGTGGATTAGACGTTGGTTTTGTCTGCCCCAGCTCCTCAGTATTCTCTGGTACCTGCTGGTTATTTTTTCCTTCTGCTGTGTTGTTTTGGTCTGATTTGTCCGCAGATTCCAGTTTAGCTTCTTTCCCATTTCCCTGCTTTGAGTTAAGCTGTGACGGATCCTTAGGGCTCTTCACCACCTCCTGGAGATTGTATTTTCTAAACAACATGTAATCTTTCACAACACTCAGGCAACAGACAGCTTTGATGATTTCTACTACCACTGTGTACTGTGGATTGGTGAGATCCACTTTATTTTCTGAATTGAGGGTGCACACTATTCCTGTAACAAAAACAGAAAAACACATAGCTGAGGAGGATACCATTACATCTGATAGATACAAAAAATCTTTTGTCTCTGTTTCTTGTTAAAACAAGACATACAGTAATCCACTCTTCTATGTGGACTTCAAATAATCTGAACCCTTACAATAAATAAACACAAATGAAACCCTACAACATTTAATAAGAATTTTTTTCCAAACAAAATTCAATTTCGAGTTAAAAAAGACTTTTATCTAACTACCAGAAAATCTCATATCCGACATATTGAAATCAGTTGATTTAATACTATTTTAAGAACATTTTAATATATTTGTTCTACACTCAAAAATGTAAGCCTTAAATCTTTAAAAAGAAAAAAATCCTTAAAAAACAAGTATTTACCATTGAATGCCTATGGAAAATCACTAAGAGAAACATACCTGCCAATTCTCTGATAACTTCTTCTCTATTCACATGACTGTTATTTCGAGATTTGTACACAATCTGAAATGTCCCTTTGTTTGGAGCTTTAAACCAGGGTTCCAAAAATGTTTCTGCATATTTTTTCATATCTTCTAAAAAAGCCTTGCATGTGCCTGAGATGGGTAACATTCGCAAAATAACTCGAGTCTTCTTTTTCTTGGTTTTGTACATATCCTGGAGAATATGATGCACCAATTTCTCAGGCTCTTAAGAAAAAAAAAAAGTTAAGAAGATAATTTCTCAGACATCTTAAAGATCGAACTCTAAAATGAATTTTCACTGGCAATGACATAAGTTGACAGAAGAAATTCTCATAATGAATTTTAAATGAATCTACCTAGTCATTCTTTCCAAACAGTATTTCTTCAGTGCCTAATACGTACTATAATGTATCTAATATATTTTAACTTTTCATCATTATTACTGCTTGCACTAGAAATGACTGTTTAGGTAGACACCGTTGTTAACATTTTTGTGATGTCCTGAGTTATCCAACCGTAACACCATGCTGTTGTTTTCCTGTAACAACAGAGTACATTAAACAGTACACACTTTTTTACAAAAAAAAAAAAAAAAAATTCTGTGAGTCACTTTAAAAGATGTAATTAATCCATTAGCTAAGTTAGCACACAAGTCTAAATCTCAGACCCAAGAGGAATCCCAGAACCATGCTGGGCACAACATCATGAAAGGGAGGTCCTCAGGCTGCAACTTGCCTACATACAAGTATATTTGGGGCTGCTCCGAAAATTTGTAAATTAGTTGACCACACTGAAAAACAAAAAAACTCCAGATTTCAAACTTCTTTTGAGAAATTCAAATACCTGGCCCTGCATTCCCAAAGAGCAACAACTGGCTGGAGCTGAGTAGCAGCTGCCCCTTATTTACACAGAACTGGCACTCTAGTTCTGCCTTAAGTTATATACGAAGGAAGCAGCAAAGCCAGGTTTCCACTCATAAGCCAATGCTACGTCCACCACCCCATTCTACCTCTCCACAGGCCAACTGCTAATACAGTGTACAGAAGCTGCCATCAAATGATTAACTGAGTCATGCCCAAGAAGCCATTTTGTAAGCAGTATTCCCTGAGACAGGAAGATACCCAGATGTTATGAGATCGATAATCTTAGCAAGTATTTGTCACACCTATCCCAAGTGTCCTGATGAAGACAACGTTATTTGCTCCACTTTCCACTGACTGGAATCTTCTTAACCTCATCTCTGTAGATGCCTTAATGTCACCAACTTCTTTCTTCAAGGCAGCCTCCGCATCATCATCCTCTCCCTCACTTCCAGAGGGCTGCTGATCCTTGTCTGTAAACTGTTTGCATAAAACTAATGAGCAGAAATGACACAACAGCTCACATTTAAACACTATAAGTAATTATTTATGTGAAGTCCCTGGCGGCAGGTGGCTCAGTATTGATTTTTTTTTTTTTTCTAAAGATGGAGTCTCGCTTTGCCTCCCAGGCTGGAGTGCAGTGGTGCGATCTTGACTTGCTGCAACCTCCGCCTCCTGGGTTCAACCAATTTTCCTGCCTCAGCCTCCCAAGTAGCTGTGATTACAGGCGCATGCCACTACACACAGCTAATTTTTGTATTTTTAGTAGAGATGGGGTTTCGCCATGTTGGTCAGGCTGGTCTTAAACTCCTCAGGTGATCCACTCGCCTCAGCCTCCCAAAGTGCTGGGATTACAGGTGTGAGCTACCATGCCCAGCTGACTCAGTATTGATAATAAAGCTTTTTTTACGAAGCTGGGACACCACACCCTTCAAAACGTGGAGCAAGGCCGGAAGTGGTGGCTCATGCCCATAATCCCAGCACTCTGGGAGGCAGAGGCAAGCAGATCACCTGAGGTCAGAAGTTCGAGACCAGCCTAGCCAACATGGTGAAACCTTGTCTCTACTAAAAATACAAAAATTAGCCCGATGTGGTGGCAGACGCCTGTAATCCCAGCTACTCAGGAGGCTGAGGCAGGAGAATCGCTTGAACCCAGAAGGCAGATATTGCAGTGAGCTGAGATTGCACCACTGCACTCCAGCCTGGGTGACAGAGCAAGACTCTGTCTCAAAAAAATTAAAAAAAAAAAAAAAATGTGGAGGAAGAGGGAATTCCCGCAGACTATAGAATGTAAAATTTGAAAATGTTTTCAAAAGCATCCTGACAGTTTGAGGCAGAGAGAAACGTGCTGACCAGATCAATCATTTTAGGGTGGACCTTAACACGTTGACCAGGTATCTGTGTGCCTCACACGACACTGTCCTTTTGGTGAGATTAGACCAAATACCTGTGGAATTAAAAACCCTTACTCTTGTTCTATTAAGGAACAAGGCACAGAAATACATTGTTCAATAATTTTGGCCAAGCATGGTGGCTCATGCCTGTAATCCCAGTACTTTAGGGGGCAGAGGTGGGCGGATCCCTTGAGCCTAGGAATTTGACACCAGCCTGGACAACATGGCCTGAGAACCCGTCTCTACAAAAAATACAAAAAATTAGTCGGGCATGGTGGCACATGCCTGCAGTCCCTGCTACTCGGGGACTGAGGCAGGAGGACTGCTTCAGCCCCGGAGGTGGAAGTTGCAGTGAGCAAGAGCATGCCACTGTACTCCAACCTCCACCTTGGGTGACAGAGCAAGACCGCTTCCAAAAAAAGAATTTGCTTAAAGTACAGGAGTAGACAGGATATGTGCTTGTTGCCCAGCTCTCTGCCCCCTAGTGCCCAACGAAATTGCCAGTCAGGCACAATAATAATTGTATACATTTACAGAAACTTTATTACATACCAGTATGTATTTTATGTACATAAGCAACTCACTAGCCAGTCTTAAAGTATTCTCTTTTTTATCTAGCTCAGCAGCATCAAATAATGTGCCCATGTCCGAGTCCCCAAGCTAGTAGAGGATGAGCCGTGAATTTAAATTCCCTCTGTATTACCCTTCTTCATTTAATCCCTCAGTGTGCGTGTGTGTATTGGTCCAGATTCTAAGCCAGTAATATGATTTCCAAACACTAAGACTTTAGGTGATATTGGTAAAAGTTTTTACGTTCTAAAATGTATTTTAAGTGCAGTAACTAGCATTAGTAGTAAACCTATTATTTCAGAAATATTATTGCTTCAGGTAAACACATTATTACTCCAACTTCACGAGGCTGTCATGAAAAATGTGTTTCTGAAAGAGCTTCAGCACACCGCCTGGCCCTCAATGAGCAATCCTTAAGTGGGAGGTAGGCCGGGCTCAGTGGCTCGCGCCTGTAATCTCAGCACCTTGAGAGGCAGAGACGGGAGGATCGCTTGAGTGTAGGGTTTAGGACTACCCTGGGCCAAACAGTGAGACCCCTTATCTACAATTTACAAAACTTAGCCGAGAGTGGTGGCGCGCACTCATAGTCCCAGCTACTCTGGAGGCTGAGACAGGAGAAGTCGAGGCTTCCCTGAGCTATCATCACGCCACTGCACTCCAGCCTCGGCAACAGAGCGAGACCCTGTCTCACAAAAATAAAAATAAAAGTAATGGGAGCTACCGTGGTTACTGATGGCAAGAAAAGGTGCAAGCACTTCAAGCACAAAACCGATAGCACCGAAGTCTGCGAGCGTCTCAGGACTAGGGACGGAAACGCCGGCGAGGCCACGCCCCTACAGCCGTCACGCCGACGACCCGAGGCGCGCATGCCCATACCAGCAGCCATCCCTCCACCCTTCCCTCCTCCCGCAAGGCCTGGCAGCCGGCCCGCCCGCCCACCCCGGGACCGGTACCTTTTCTGGCCCATACATGTCGTCGCCGTATTCGTTGAGGAGGCTGTAGGCCTCCTCCACGCACTTGCGCTCGTTCATATTGCAGGTGATGAGGATGCCCTGTAGCCCGGGCTCTAGCTGACGGGGCCCGCCAGCGTCGCAGCGCCGAGCGCGCTTGGCCAGCACATACTGAGCCTTGCCTTTGCGCTTCCCGCCGCCAGGCTGAGTAGTCTGCTGGGCAGGGGCCGCCATGGTGTGCGCAAACTGAGAGGAAAGAGAAACGTTTCTCCGCTGCTGTTGGCGTCCTCGTCTATCGCCGGCGCGAACTGGTGACGTCGGATATGAGCGACGGCCTCCCCTAGCCGGCCTCGAAGCCTCATTCCGTGCTGCGCCAGGTCCTAAGGCCGGTCTGCAATCGTGAAAGGGGTGGAGTGATACCCGCCCAAGCCCCGCCTCCTGCCCCGCCTCCCGACTGCAACCTGAATCCAGTAGAGGCAGCATAGCAGCCATTCTGGAAGTGGTGTCGGTGGCTCCTCAAGCCCTTGAAGCTGGCTCCAGCCATATAGCTTCTTCCACCCAACCTTGGTACCTGTTCCTCCAGCCTTCCCTATAATTCTGCCAGCTACTGTGGAGGAAAAGTTAAATATTAAATTTGAACTCAATTGAACGTGGACACAATGGTCAAGTCCCGTAACAGGTTGCATGAGCCCCTTGAGGCATTCATTCATCCAGCACTGTTACAGATAACTCTGTACCTGTACTTGAGTTATTGAAAAACAGACAATCACAGAAACAAGTTGACCTTTATGTGTTCCTTGAGCCCAGTCGAGAAGGGCCCTCGTGACTGGGCCTCATGCCAATCAACGCATTACAAAAAGAGCCAGGGTCGGCCGGGCACGGTGGCTCACGCCTGTAATCCCAGCACTTTGGGAGGCCAAGGCAGGCAGATCACGAGGTCAGGAGATGGAGACCATCCTGACCAACATCTCTACTAAAATGCAAAAAATTAGCCAGGCGTGGTGGCGCGCACCTGTAGTCCCAACTACTCGGGAGGCTGAGGCAGGGGAATCACTCGAACTCGGGAAGCGGCGGTTGCAGTAAGCCGAGATCGTGCCATTGCACTCCAGCCTGGCAACAAAGCGAGGCTCTGTCTCAAAAAAAAAAAAAAAATGAGCCAGGGTCCCAGGCCACACGGAAGCTTCTTGAGACCCCTCCTCCTCTGTGCACGGACAAGTGGCTGACTCTGGAGCCCAGGCTGTTGCTTCCCGGTCTGGTGATGAATCCAACATAGTCTGGTGCGTGTAAATATATATATATATATATATATTTTTTTTTTTTCCCTTCTCCCCTTCCCATTGCAATTTGCTTACTATATCATTTGCTTATTATATCTGCATTGCCATTTACGTGGGATAAAGGTTGTTTACCCCCAAAGGTATTGTATGTTTGTCTATTTTTTTTTTTTTTTTTTGAGATGGAGTCTCGCTCTGTCGCCCAGGCTGGAGTGCAGTGGTGCGATCTGGGCTCACTGCAAGCTCCGCCTCCCAGGTTCACCCCATTCTCCTGCCTCCCTCCCGAGTAGCTGGGACTACAGGCGCCCGCCACCACGCCCGGCTAATATTTTTTATTTTTAGTAGAGACGGGGTTTTACCGTGTCAGTCAGGATGGTCTCAATCTCCTGACCTCGTGATCCACCCGCCTCGGCCTCCCAAAGTGCTGAGATTACAGGCGTGAGCCACCGCGCCTGGCCGTATTTTGTCTTGTTTTTTCCCCTCGCGCATTTCCCACATAGAACAGTTACTCAAAAGGCTTCCAGTAAATTCCATTTCAGCCTCAATTTTCCAGGCTATGTTTCTATTTCACTTAAAACCAAGGATGTTGGCTGGTGTTGTTTCATGCTGCTTTCGTTGCGGCCTTTTATCCATAGTCTTGGCAACTTATCATGTTACTGTCTTTTTAAAAATCATTGAAGATGCCACTTTTGAAGAATGTGTTTAAAAAACAAGTGCTTCTCATACTACTCTTCAGGTACAAACCTCTTAGCAGATTTGAGTTCCTACAAAGCCCTAAAAGATGTAATCTGATATTTTGAAAGGGACACCGAATTCACAGTCAATAAACCCTAGGTTCTAACCCCAGATCTACCACTATGTCCAAAAATTTTATCATCTTATTGTTTGCTTTTACCTGTGTATTCAATACAGCATTTAATTTTCAGAATTTCTTTGGTGGACACTGCACAGCAGAGATTTCTAGAAGTCCTCAGTTGTTTGTGAAGAGCAGTGTCATGACACTGGCATTGGCCTTCCCCCAAATCTCTCTCTCTTCTGCTGGCTGGGTTTCAGTTGCCCACACTCTGCCACCTGTCCTTAGGATATCAAATATTAGCATACAGATAACAAGTTAAAATATATATATTTCAAGTCCCAAGCATATTTGAGTACTATATGGAGGCAAACTTGAAAAACAAAAACTCAGTTTTGTTAAAATATGTGAGGAGGCAGCTTTAGGCTAAATTTAAGTTTGGCCTAAATCAAGCTTGTCCAACCTGTTGGCCCACAGTCAACATGTGGCCCAGGACAGCTTTGAAATTCAACCGGCCCAACACAAATTAATAAACTTTCTTAAAACACTCTGAGGTTTTTCTGCAATTAAAAAAAATTCATCTGCTATTGTTAGCATTAGTATATTTTATGGGTGGCCCAAGAGGATTCTTCTTCCAAGGAAGCCAAAAGATTGGACATCCCTGGCCTACAGGTTTCTCCATACATAGTGAACTATAACCTAATTGGATGTGTAAACAGACTGTAATGGCTGTTGTAACAAGTAGCCAAATCTCAGCCAAGCACAGAAGCCATGCTCAACCACTCACAGGTGGCTGATTGTTCAAACCATGTTTTTTATTTTTATGTTTTTTGAGACGGAGTCTTGCTGTCGCACAGGATGGAGTGCACTGGTGCAGTCTCGGCTCACTGCAACGTCCACTTACTGGGTTCAAGCGATTCTCCTGCCTCAGCCTCCCAAGTAGCTGGGATTACCTGTGCATGCCACCACGGCCAACTAATTTTTGTATTTTTAGTAGATATGGGGTTTCACCATGTTGGCCAGGCTGATCTTGAACTCCTGACCTCAAGAGATCTGCCCACTTCGCCTCCCAAAGTGCTGGGATTACAGGCATGAGCCACTGCGCCCAGCCAAACCACGTTTAAATAAGGCAAATACTGAGTTGTAACCTATTGGGCTGTTTCTGTACCTTACTTCCATTTCCTGCACCTCACTTTTCTTTTTATGTCCATAAATCATCTCTGACCATGTGGCAGCACCAGGATGTCTCTAAACCTATTCCGGTTAGTGGGTCAGGGGCCTGCCTGATTTGAGAATCCTTCCTTGTGCAATTTAATTCTGTTAAATTTAATTTGTCTAAAGTTTTTTAACAGTTTATTGTATTTCATGGTTGCTGACTGTGCAGAGAATATCCAATGAAGTGAGAAAAATATGCAACCCTGTAGCTCTCAGTCTAGACGTTAGTTATCTAAATCACACACTCATCCTGTGGCAGCTGCCGGGGCTGCGTCCACTTACTTCCTCTTCTGAAACAGGCCCTCGTCCAGCTCTAAATAACTCAGCCTTCATTTATTCCTTATTATTCTTCTTTGTTCTTTTTTGCTTATTCTTTAGACTACATCTATTATTTCATGGCTGTGTGAACTTTCACCTCCTTAGGTTACCTCCCAGACATGGACAATGGCCCAGTGTCTATCCTTAGACACCAGGGACTCTGTCGCTTGAAAACCTCTCTTAGAAGGGACCACTTGGGGCCAGGCACGGTGGCTCACGCTTGTAATCCCAGCACTTTGGGAGGCCAAGGAGGGTAGATCACTTGAGGCCAGTTCAAGACCAGACTGGGTAACATGGCAAAACCCCATCTCTACTAAAAATAAAAAAATTAGTTGGGCATGGTGGTGCATGCCTGTAATCCCAGCTATTTGGGAGGCTAGACACGAGAGTTGCTTGAACCTGGGAGGCAGAGGTTGCAGTGAGCTGAAATCGTGCCACTGCACTCCAGCCTGGGCAAAATAGACTCTGTCTCAAAATAAATAAATAAATAAATAAATAAATAAATAGAGACCACTTGGCACCTTGTGGCACCATCTAGAGTAGATTAAGGTGATCTGAGGATGTTACCTTTTGTTTTAATTAACCTATTTGCTTCAGATATTCAGAAGGCCTCACAGCCAAGCAAGGGGGGAATGGTGTGACACATTCTAGATTCCCTTTCTGTTTCTCTTCCTAACCTTCAAAGTTACTGTCCCTGAAGTTCTACTTGTATGTTCAGTACAGAACCCAGGTAGGAGATGCTCTTAGACACTCCTCGTGTTCTGACCTTGCTCCCCATCCACACTTCCTGCCTTAGTCTCTTGTTACCCAGCATCTTCAGGGAATGGATATCCTGGCTGTGAATCCCAGTCTCCTTCTGACTTGATTCCCAATATCTGCTGCCTTCAGAGTAGGTATCAAGTACGATTAAAAGCCCAGGTTCTAAAGCCAAACCAAGTTCAAATTCTGCTTTGGCCATGACCTGGCTGTGAAACTCTGAGTAAGTTACCCAAGCCAAGGTTTAGATTCCCTGTTAGATTTAAAAATAATAATAATGGAAATAATAATACTCACATCATGGGTTATTAGGAAAATCCAGTAAGATCAGTCATGACAAGTGCTTAGCTCTCAGCCACTGTTCAGTCAACATGTGCTTAAAAACAGCTGCTTTCAGACTCAGTCGTGAATCATGGAAGCCTGTTTTTTTCTTTTTGATGTAAGTATCCATCCCTCAGTCTGATCACCTAACCTCATTATTTGTCTATTATTCTCTAATTTAATGGTTCTTTTATATTTTTGGTTTACTAAAAGCTGTTGAATCCTTTTACTTAGGAGACTAAAAGGGGTTTTATTTTATTGTTCTATAGACCTCCTCTGTGGAAAAGGGGAATTTAAAAGTATATATAGCGTAAAGTAAAATAACATAAAATGCGTAAGACTGGCATGCCTTACCTCTGCCAGCTGGTTTCTGCCTCACATTTGATTGAATGACATCCCACCTTTCACTAGCTTTGTAGCCTCACTGGCAGCACTTGTCACATTTGTGCTTTCATTACACCCAGACGCTGTGTGAGAAACTCACCCAACAGCCTGATCACCCAGGCTGGAACCCAATTTTAAACCAATGTGAACTTGAGTCTGCCCCTAGAGGAGTCAAATTTGGCCTGGCCTTTGTACCTACTCAGCCCTGCTGAGTGTCCTATACTGATCCCCATCACCTCTAATTCATTTCATTCCACCAGTGCCTGGGTCCCAGTTTTGACAGATATGTTTCTCTATGGCAAACTTGGCACTTTGAGGGCCTATGTTCTTAAGGGCAAAAGTCATTAAATCTCTTTCCCTCCAATTTTATCTTTCAATTTTATACTCTAAACATACAAGTCTTTCTTCTTAAACTTTTCCTGGTGTTTTGTGGGTACTTCCTTCCCACTCCTTTGAGATTTGGTTGAATAATCTATGTTCCAAAGTAATTGTTTTGAAGCAGGAGATATAAAAAAAAAAACAAGTTTTCTTGGAGGCTGACTCACTGCAAGGCCCAGCGATAGACAGGGCTCTGGAAGGGCTTTGATAACACTATCTGCAGAGCCAGGGCCCTCAAGGGATGGGTTCCAGAGCCTCTCCCTGCCATCCCAGAGCAGGGATGAGAAAAACAAGTTTTTCTTCTCTTTCAGCTTCCGCCTTCCCCCTTATCATTCTCATAATTATTTTGCAAAGTTTTATAAGTTCCTGTTTTTCCCTTCTGTACAGCATGGCAAGGTCACAAGATATGCTTCAGTTGCAAAACCTGTCACTGTTTAACAAACTGCCTTTGTTCTGCTTCTGTAAGCTGCTTACCCACCCTACAGGTTTCACACCATCAAACTGGCCAACCCCCTTTCAAATTCATGTATAAAAGTCAAGCCCTGTCTTTGTTCAGGGCTCAGCCTTTGGGTGTTAATCCGCTGGGCTGGTGCTCACCTAATAAAATCCTCCTGTCCCACCCATTGGTCTCTCCTGTCCCTTAATTCCTGCAACAGTTTTATTATTTAGTTTTACTTCTTTGAGCACTTCTAGATCATCCGCCTGCTTCTTACTTTCACTTCAGTCAATGCTCCAAAGAATGAATCACCAATGGTGGCATCTCAGTTTAATAAGTTACAGAAAGATAATTCCATTTACCACTCAAATCATGCTATGGACTGCATATTCCACCAATGCAGAACACTAGTCTTGAGTAAAACACTGATATAAGAAATATAAATTTCAGGGTAGGTATAGTGTACATGTAAGAGTCTAGCTGGGCATGATGGCTCACGCCTGTAATCCTAGCATTTTGGGCAGCCAAGGCAGGTGGATCGCTTGAGCTCAGGAGTTCCAGACCAACCTGGGCAACATGGTGAAGCCCCATCTTTACAAAAACTACAAAACTTAGGTGTGGTGGTGCACACCTGTGGTCCCAGCTACTTGGGGGGCTGAGGTGGGAGGATCGTTTGAGCCCAGGAGGTCAAGGCTGCAGTGAGCCATGATCTGACCACTGTACTCCAGCCTGGGGGGACAAAATGAGACCATGTCTCAAAAAATAAATAAATAAATAAATAGATAGATAAATAAATAAATAAACAAAGAGTCTAGGGTAACTGGAGTTTAGAGGTTCTTTCAGTACAAATAAGGCCTAAATAAGAATTATCTACATGAATACTCAGGTTGAATAATTTATATTTAAATGAAAAATTGAAGGGAAGCCACATCCTCAGTAAGAGTACAGCATTCAATGTATAGATGAACAAAGACAAATTGATTAAGAATATATTTTAGGGGTCACACCATCCTGAGTTTAAATACTGAGTCCACCACATTGCTAGTTCTGTGACCTTGGGGAAGTTAATTGTTCTAATCCTCATGTTCCTCATCAGTAAAATGAGAATAGCCACAGCATCTATCTTAAAAGTCATTGTGAGTATTGAATAAAATATTCATGTCAGTTGCACATACAAATATTCAATAAGTGTTCACTGCTGCTGTTTTGTTGTAGCTGTTGCTAACTGGAACGTTTGGTAGAGATAATTTTTACCAAAAAAGTTGAGGTTGAGACTCAGGCTTTTTGTGTTGGTCAGTTTGCTTTGATGTGTTTCCAGCCACTTCTTGCTGGTTCTCAGTACCCCAGAGATAACCTATTATATCTAAACATGTTAATATGAAAAGCTCTGGCTGGAGGCAGTGGCTCACACTTGTAATCCCAGCACTTTGGGAGGCCGAGGCAGACAGATCACTTGAGGTCAGGAGTTCGAGACTAGCCTGGCCAACATGGTGAAACCCCATCTCTACTAAAAATACAAAAATCAGCCATGTGTGGTTGTGGGCACTTGTAACCCCAGCTACTCGGGAGGCTGAAGTAGAAGAATCATTTGAACCCAGGAAATGGAGGTTCAATGAGCCATAATCGCACTCTATGAGCCATTGCACTCTAGCCTGGGTGACAAGAGCGAAACTCCGTCTCCACAAAAAAAGAAAAAAGAAAAGATTTTCAAAGTGAGATATGTGTAATATGAACTAACTTATGTTTTAAAGGGGAATATCTATATATCTATGTGCACATAGATATACACATATGTATATATATGTGTGTTATATTTTAATCCTATATATATATGAAAATGATGGTTAATAAGACCTACTGTTTTTCCACATTTCCCAACTAAAGCCCAAAGATAAGAATGAAGAGACACTAAACCTCTGATTTTTGCATTCTAAAGAGAATTGTCAACAAGGACTAAGTGAAGCATCTCTCTCCAGGTTTGTGAAAAGGTAACTCTACTGGCTCTGCTACCTCTGACCAATTTCCCAGCCTCACCATCCTGCTTCTCAGCTTATGTTAGAAGCCTGGGAAAGGGGAGAAGAGTATTTTCACCCCCTTTGCTGTCAGGGTTACCAAGGGAATCCCCTGTGAAGGTGAGAGGTGGTTCTAAGAAGAGACTGGCATCACATTCCTTGGTTGATATTCCCCTCTGCCTGGCTGAGTGAGAAACTGAGCCAGAAAGAGAAGTAGAGACAGATGGCAAGGCAGAGACAGTAGAGCAGGGGTG
This sequence comes from Homo sapiens, assembly GCF_000001405.40. NCBI lineage: Eukaryota > Metazoa > Chordata > Mammalia > Primates > Hominidae > Homo > Homo sapiens. The sequence continues at coordinate 20,749,647 of NC_000016.10, forward strand.
GAGGACAGCAGAGGAGAAGCCTGAAGCATAAGATAGGGTGTTGCAAGTATATGTGCATATCTGGTACATCAAATGGATCTTCAGAAGTTGCCTGGGCTTGACCAGGTAGACCCAACAGACAGAGGATGAAAGTCACACCCAGCATAGTAAGCCCTCTAACTCCAATCTTGTTTCCTCGCCCTCAACAATGGAGGCTCCAGAGTGTAAAAGAAGGAGAAGGGAAAGGTGTCAGTGACAAATAAGGCCATGTGTCTCTATTCCAGGTGTCAGAGCCAGAGGAGAAGAGTGGACAACCCAACTGCCCACCACAGGTCCCTAGAAGTACAGGTCAAGCCTATGCTGGGGAGAGGCAAACAGGTACAACATACACTGGGTTTGAGATTTAAATTTCTGAGTGGACCAACTTTTAAAAACTGAAAGTGATTGTGAAATTGTGGAATCATTCCAAAAGGTCATTACATTAAGGGATAATAAAGGGGGAAAACAAAAATTGGGGGAAAAAGTGTTAAGACTTGATTGGAAAACTAGTTACATATATCTATCCCACTTACTCCCTTGAGACTACTCTTTATTTTATATCAATCTGTATCTTTTATTATAACCATATGCGTGTATTATTTTTATATGTTAAAATAGTGTTATTTCTTGATGTAGATGCTTACCAAAGTATTTCTCTTTTCTTCTGGGTCCTCAGATTGGCTAATTTCTCAGGTCCCTGGAAGTGAGGGTGAGGCTATTGAAATGTGGGCAGAAGTGATACATGCTACTTCTAGGCCTAAATTCATGAGATCCTTCATAAATGCATTTCTCTTCCCCTAAACACCCCCCTCTCTCTCGTTTCTTGTCAGCTATCTGATTTCAGAGGATCCAACCAGGACTCAGGCTTAGGGGAGAGCGGGGCCTCTGAATATAAGGATCCTGAGTCTACTACTTAAAGTGACAGCCACCTAGGAAAATCCATTAAGCAAAAAATTCTGCATCAGACTTAAGCCTCTGAGCTTTAGATTTGTTTATTTCTGCAGCCTAGCCTAGCACACCTTGACTAATACACTGGGAATCCAGAGTTTGTTCAGAATGTCTTCACTATTCTTGTTACAACTTTATTGTCCATAGAGATTATAAACACTGTGCTTCAGACAAATTAAGAGAGCAAGAGGCCTCATAATGTAGTAGAGAGAATATAAGTTTTGGAGTCAGGTTTTTTTTTTTTTTTTTTGAAACGGAGTCTTACTCTGTTGCCCAGACTGGAGTGCAGTGGTGCAATCTTGGCTCACTGCAACCTCTGCCTCACAGGTTCAAGCAATTCTCCTACATTAGCCACCCAAGTAGCTGGGATTACAGGCTCACACCACCATGACTGGCTAATTTTTGTATTTTTAGAATCAGGGTTTCACTATGGTGGCCAGGTTGGTCTCAAAATCCGTCTGCCTCAGTCTCCCAAAGTGCTGGGATTACAGGCGTGAGCCACTGTGCCCAGTTGGTGTCAGATTTTGGTAGAAAGCCTAGATCTGTTATTTTCTTGGTAGAATCAGTGGAAAATCCTGAACCAGTGGCCAGCCTTCTGTATTTCTGCTAGAACACCATGAAAAACCTCTTCCCCCTTCCTTACAAAATGTACATGAAACAGAATTCAAGGTCTTCTATCTGTATGTAACTTACAAAATAGTTGACAGTTCTATAAAGCTTTGTCCTTTTTCCTGTTTCTTGTTTCCCTGTAGAACTATTTATAAAAATGTTTTTCTTTTTAAAGGATTTTTTATTGTTGTTTAAAGTATTTGAAAAAAAATTCATAACTTCAAGCTATTTTACATTTAAGAAAAGATGTAGTCAAACTTGGCTGATGAGAGATAGAAACCCAGGAGAAACTGGGAAAATATTCCAGGTGCCTTTTTTCCCCATTTTGACTGACTTATGCCAATTCTATAAAACACTGCTCATCATCCCCCTGCCAAGTGATAGTAGAGCTCAGTGGGGCTCGGAGAAGCCCTGCCATTCTTCCTCTGCTTAGCTGTACCAGAGCTGGTCTATGTGGGAGCCAGGGTCTCTTGGGAAGAAAAGGAATGGAAAGATGGGGTTTCATTACACATCGGTTATGTCACCTTGGCTTCTCCATTCTTCTTCCCTTGGGGGTTTTATGAGAAGGCAAAAATCACATTTAAGGGATATATTGACATGTTCATTGTCAAAATCTTTGCTCCAGCCAAACTGATTCTAGGTATAGTCAAACAACTTGGCATTAAAACAAAAGGACATTAACCTTCTGTCAGAATCACTTTCAAGCTGTGACTTATTTCAAGGTTGTTTTCTCTCTACTAGACTTCGTTTCCTCACATTAAAAAAAATGGATATATAGTACTACTTAGCTTACAGAGCTGCTATGAGAAATAAATGATATGAGCTATCTAAAACACTTGGCATACAGAAAACATTCAACAAGTGAGGCTGAGGCAGGAGAATGGTGTGAACCCGGGAGGCAGAGCTTGCAGTTAGCCGAGACTGCACCACTACTCTCCAGCCTGGGCGACAGAGCGAGACTCTGTCTCACAAAAAAAAAAAGTGGTCATTCTCTTCTACTCAGCCAGGCATGGTAGCTCACACCTGTAATCTCAGCATTCTGGGAGGCCAAGGCCAGAGGATCACTTGAGCCCAGGGTTTTAAGACCAACCTGGGCAACATAGTGAGACTCTGTCTCTCAAAAAAAAAAATTCACTTCTGCTCCGTATAAGGAATGGTCCCAACCCTAGTTGCTGTTCCTTGCCATTGTTTTTCTTGTGGTTGTCTCATGATAAAAGAAAACAGTTGATGGAAAATGATATGTTAGAAGACTCTCTCAAAAGCCTGGTCTTGGCTGGGAACTACATTTATTTATTAGAGTTTTTCTTAAGACAGTTGAATATAAGAATTATTCCAATCACTTATGTCGGAATCCTTCTTAGATAAAGCCTCAGTGGCACTAGGTTACTCCCTAGGATTAAAACTGGGTAGGGGTCGAGGGAGATTAGATTTCAGTTGAGTGCTAGAGAAGAAAACCTGATCTATTTTTAGAGAAAATGGAGATCCCTATGAAATAATAGATATAGATAACAATTATCAATAGCTGCATTAGGTGAAAAGCTGCTGGAAACATAATGAATGGATCAGGTGATGCCTTAACATCACAAAAGGAGAGCCAACACAACATTATGATTCTCCAGATGTGATGCAATAGAATTCTGCAAAGATATTTATGCAATCTTTTTGCTATAAATGGATCTATCCTCTAGATTTAACTATTAGTTTATAGAAACTACACGGGACAGAAAAATATGTTAAACTCAACCACATTGAATTAGCAAAATCAACACTGAATTTGGGAAACTTTAGAGGACAATGCCGTATGTTCTACAATGAATTACAAAGAAAAAGAAGAGAGAGATGGAATTTATAGATTAAAAACTTAAGATATATATCAATAAAATGCAATGTGTTGCCCTTGTTTGGACACTGAGTTGAAAAAAAAAAACAAATGTAAAACAAAATTGAATCTGGAAAAGGCTGGCTGGGTGGGGTGGCTCATACCTGTAATCCCAGCACTTTGGGAGCCGAGGTGGGCAGATCACCTGAGATCAGGAGTTTGAGACCAGCCCGGCCAACATGGTGAAACCCCGTCTCTACTAAAAATACAAAAATTAGCCAGGCATGGTGGCACATGCCTGTAATCCCAGCTACTTGGGAGGCTAAGGCACAGAAATTGCTTGAACCTGGGAGGCAGAGGTTGCAATGAGCTGAGATTGCACCACTGCACTCCAGCCTGGGTGACAGAACGAGACTGTCTCCAAAAAAAAAAAAAAAAAAGAGTGAATCTGGAAACATGAAATTTGAAAAATTATATTAATAGAGGATTATTATGGCTTTTTCAGGTATTAAATGGTATTGTGATTAGGTTTTAAAAGAGTCCTTATCTTTTAGAGATACATAAGGATTTTCCACAATAAGGAAGAAAAAGAGAGACCAAGAGAAGAGGTACAGATATACAGACAGAGAATAAAGAAGTAAAAGCTGCAGATACAGACAACTATTTTTGAGAAATTTTGCTGTAAAAAGGAGACAAGTAATGAAGAGGTGGAGGGAGACAAATGGCCCAAGAAATTTTATTTTCACATGGGAAATATTACCATGTATTTGTGCCTGACTTTGTTTCCCTATTACAACTCTTAAGAAAGAAATGAAAAGAAGAAAGAGAAAGAAAAGAGAGAGAGAGAAAGAAAGAAAGAAAAGAATGAAAGAAAGAAAAAAAAGACAGAGAAAGAAAGAAATTGATGATGCAAGAGAGAGGAAGAATAACTGAGGGAGTAATATCCTGGAGTAAGGGAGAGGGAATGGTGTCAAGTCCACAGTGGAAAAGGTGACCCACGCTAGGACCTTGGACAATTTTTCCATGGTCATTGGAAGGAATGCAGAAAGTATGGGCAGAGTTGTAAGAGTACTGGTTGGTTAACTGGTTAGGGGGAATAAGGACATTCTCTTCTGGCTTTTCTCACTTATAAATCTCAGTGAAATAAGAGGGGAGAAGGAGAGGTACTAGTTTAGAGAAACAGGGGAAGGAGTGAAACAGTTATCTCCAAGTGTAGAAATGTAGTGGGGTTGTCAGAGAGTGAGAACGGCCCACATGAATATTTTGCAGTCAGGAAGTTAAAGTGTGCTAACATAATTAAATAGGAGGCCATTAGACTGAGGTGGCTCTAACACTCAGGGTTCCCACATAAGCAAACTGAAGCCTAACTCAGAATTTAAAATAAAATGAAATATAAGCTCAGCCAGTCACAGGCAGCCAACTGGGCTTTAGTATATTGTCTTGAACTTCCCACCAGAACAGTGCAAATAAGGCAATTGTTCAAACCTTTACCAATCAAGTAATTTCTTTGCTCAGCTTCCACATTCACCCTATAAACACCCTCCCTTTGTGCCCTGCAATAGAGCCCTGAATTACTTCCCATTTGGAGCTGCCTGATTCATGGATCAGTTTGCTCACATGTATGCTTTAAAATTTTAATGTGCCTTAGTCTATCTTGTAACAAGTGTAACCATTGAGTTTAGGACCACCAACAAATACCATGTGCAATTCTCCAGAGCCATATTAAGCTTCTCAAGTGTCACAAATAAGTAGAATTATCTGGAGTTTTGCATAGAGCTGGGTTTTCCCACATGAGTATGGTGGAGGGAGAGCAGTACAAAGAATCTGAATGGCACAGAGAATCCAAGCTGGGCAGAAGATAAGTGAAGGCATGAAGGAGGTGTGCTTAAGTCAATGGACTTAAGATTTTAGAGGGGCAGAGGAATTATTGTGACGAAGGCTGGGGATGGTGTGAGAGAAGGCCAAGCAGGGAACAGGCCAGTGTCCATAGAGACCATGTCGGGAGCTGGAACTCTAGTCCCCACCCAACAATAAGAAGAAGCTCCTTGCAACTCAGGTGTCATCCAAAGCTGGGTAAAGAACCTAGATGTCTATATTCACCTGGCAATAATGAGGTGGTGCCCCTTCCCTGTCCCCTACCTGGGCAGTGTCAAAGCCAGCTAAAATATAAAGTTTAAATAAGGTGCAGAGTCTTATTACAAGAATGTCTGTGTTTGAATTGAAAATCACTCCTCATACCAAAACCAGGAAGAGTTCAAATGAATGAAGAAAGATGATGGATAGATGCTAACACTGAGATGACAGAAATGTTAGAATCATCTGACAAAGATTTTAAAGTAGCCTTGATAAAAATGCTTCAGTGAACAATTAGGTATGCTTGAAATAAATGAAAAAAATATATATCAGCAAAAAATAGAAGATATCAAGAACAACTAAATGAAAATAAATATTAGAACTAAAAAATTCAATGAGAAATCAAAAGCTTGGTGGATGGTATGATACTATAAAATATATATTTCATCTTCATTCCAGTTTCCTGGTACATAGCCGCTAAAACCCCTGGAATTTCTGAAGTGGTAAGTGCTTTTTATTATTATTATTATTATTATTATACTTTAAGTTTTAGGGTACATGTGCACAATGTGCAGGTTAGTTACATATGTATACATGTGCCATGCTGGTGTGTTGCACCCATTAACTCATCATTTAGCATTAGGTATATCTCCTAATGCTATCCCTCCCCCCCCCCCACCCCACAGCAGTCCCCAGAGTGTGATGTTCCCCTTCCTGTGTCCATGTGTTCTCATTGTTCAATTCCCACCTATGAGTGAGAACATGCGGTGTTTGGTTTTTTGTCCTTGCGATAGTTTACTGAGAATGATGACTTCCAATTTCATCCGTGTCCCTACAAAGGACATGAACTCATCATTTTTTATGGCTGCATAGTATTCCATGGTATATATGTACCACATTTTCTTAATCCAGTCTGTCATTGTTGGACATTTGGATTGGTTCCAAGTCTTTGCTATTGTGAATAGTGCCGCAGTAAACATACGTGTGCATGTGTCTTTATAGCAGCATGATTTATGGTCCTTTGGGTATATACCCAGTAATGGGATGGCTGGGTCAAATGGTATTTCTAGTTCTAGATCCCTGAGGAATCGCCACACTGACTTCCACAATGGTTGAACTAGTTTACAGTCCCACCAACAGTGTAAAAGTGTTCCTATTTCTCCACATCCTCTCCAGCACCTGTTATTTCCTGACTTTTTAATGATTGCCATTCTAACTGGTGTGAGATGGTATCTCATTGTGGTTTTGATTTGCATTTCTCTGATGGCCAGTGATGATGAGCATTTTTTCATGTGTCTTTTGGCTGCATAAATGTCTTCTTTTGAGAAGTGTCTGTTCATATCCTTTGCCCACTTTTTGATGGGGTTGTTTGTTTTTTTCTTGTAAATCTGTTTGAGTTCATTGTAGATTCTGGATATTAGCCCTTTGTCAGATGAGTAGGTTGCGAAAATTTTCTCCCATTTTGTAAGTTGCCTTTTCACTCTGATGGTAGTTTCTTTTGCTGTGCAGAAGCTCTTTAGTTTAATTAGATCCCATTTGTCAATGTTGGCTTTTGTTGCCATTGCTTTTGGTGTTTTAGACATGAAATCCTTGCCCATGCCTATGTCCTGAATGGTAATGCCTAGGTTTTCTTCTAGGGTTTTTATGGGTTTAGGTCTAACGTTTAAGTCTTTAATCCAACTTGAATTAATTTTTGTATAATGTGTAAGGAAGGGATCCAGTTTCAGCTTTCTACATATGGCTAGCCAGTTTTCCCAGCACCATTTATTAAATAGGGAATCCTTTCCCCATTGCTTGTTTTTCTCAGGTTTGTCAAAGATCAGATAGTTGTACATATGCGGCGTTATTTCTGAGGGCTCTGTTCTGTTCCATTGATCTATATCTCTGTTTTGGTACCAGTACCATGCTGTTTTGGTTACTGTAGCCTTGTAGTATAGTTTGAAGTCAGGTAGCGTGATGCCTCCAGCTTTGTTCTTTTGGCTTAGGATTGACTTGGTGATGCGGGCTCTTTTTTGGTTCCATATGAACTTTAAAGTAGTTTTTTCCAATTCTGTGCAGAAAGTCACTGGTAGCTTGATGGGGATGGCATTGAATCTATACATTACCTTGGGCAGTATGGCCATTTTCACAATATTGATTCTTCCTACCCATGAGCATGGAATGTTCTTCCATTTGTTTGTATCCTCTTTTATTTCCTTGAGCAGTGGTTTGTAGTTCTCCTTGAAGAGGTCCTTCACGTCCCTTGTAAGTTGGATTCCTAAGTATTTTATTCTCTTTGAAGCAATTGTGAATGGGAGTTCACTCATGATTTGGCTCTCTGTTTGTCTATTATTGGTGTATAAGAATGCTTGTGATTTTTGCACATTGATTTTGTATCCTGAGACTTTGCTGAAGTTGCTTATCAGCTTAAGGAGATTTTGGGCTGAGACAGTGGGGTTTTCTAGATATACAATCATGTCGTCTGCAAACAGGGACAATTTGACTTCCTCTTTTCCTAATTGAATACCCTTTATTTCCTTCTCCTGCCTAATTGCCCTGGCCAGAACTTCCAACACTATGTTGAATAGGAGTGGTGAGAGAGGGCATCCCTGTCTTGTGCCAGTTTTCAAAGGGAATGCTTCCAGTTTTTGCCCATTCAGTATGATACTGGCTGTGGGTTTGTCATAGATAGCTCTTATTATTTTGAGATACGTCCCATCAATACCTAATTTATTGAGAGTTTTTAGCATGAAGGTTGTTGAATTTTGTCAAAGGCCTTTTCTGCATCTATTGAGATAATCATGTGGTTTTTGTCTTTGGTTCTGTTTATATGCTGGATTATATTTATTGATTTGCATATACTGAACCATCCTTGCATCCCAGGGATGAAGCCCACTTGATCATGGTGGATAAGCTTTTTGATGTGCTGCTGGATTCGGTTTGCCAGTATTTTATTGAGGATTTTTGCATCAATGTTCATCAAGGATATTGGTCTAAAATTCTCTTTTTTGGTTGTGTCTCTGCCCGGCTTTGGTATCAGGATGATGTTGGCCTCATAAAATGAGTTAGGGAGGATTCCCTCTTTTTCTATTGTTGGAATAGTTTCAGAAGGAATGGTACCAGTTCCTCCTTGTACCTCTGGTAGAATTCGGCTGTGAATCCATCTGGTCCTGGATTCTTTTTGGTTGGTAAGCTATTGATTATTGCCACAATTTCAGATCCTGTTATTGGTCTATTCAGAGATTCAACTTCTTCCTGGTTTAGCCTTCGGAGAGTGTATGTGTCGAGGAATTTCTCCATTTCTTCTAGATTTTCTAGTTTATTTGCGTAGAGGTGTTTGTAGTATTCTCTGATGGTAGTTTGTATTTCTGTGGGATCGGTGGTGATATCCCCTTTATCATTTTTTATTGTGTCTATTTGATTCTTCTCTCTTTTTTTATTAGTCTTGCTAGCGGTCTATCAATTTTGTTGATCCTTTCAAAAAACCAGCTCCTGGATTCATTAATTTTTTGAAGGGTCTTTTGTGTCTCTATTTCCTTCAGTTCTGCTCGATTTTAGTTATTTCTTGCCTTCTGCTAGCTTTTGAATGTGTTTGCTCTTGCTTTTCTAGTTCTTTTAATTGTGATGTTAGGGTGTCAATTTTGGATCTTTCCTGCTTTCTCTTGTGGGCATTTAGTGCTATAAATTTCCCTCTACACACTGCTTTGAATGTGTCCCAGAGATTCTGGTATGTTGTGTTTTTGTTCTCGTTGGTTTCAAAGAACATCTTTATTTCTGCCTTCATTTCATTATGTACCCAGTAGTCATTCAGGAGCAGGTTGTTCAGTTTCCATGTAGTTGAGCGGTTTTGAGTGAGTTTCTTAATCCTGAGTTCTAGTTTGATTGCACTGTGGTCTGAGAGACAGTTTGTTATAATTTCTGTTCTTTTACATTTGCTGAAGAGAGCTTTTTTGTATGCTAGTGAGATGACTAGGGGTTAGGGGTTCAGGATGAGGGCTGGTTGCCAGGAGAACCAACCTTGTGATTAGAGGGTTAGAACTTTCTCTCCCACCCCACCACCACGCCACTTCCCATCCCCCTACCTCTTGGGAGGAAAGAAGGGCTGAAGGTTGAGTTAATTACCAATGACCAATGATTTAATCAGTCAGGCCTGTGTAATGAAGCCTCTAAGAAACCCAAAAGGGGCTGGGTGTGGTGGCTCACGCCTGTAATCCCAGCACTTTGGGAGGCTGAGGTGGGCGGATCATGAGGTCAGGAGATCGAGACCATCTTGGCTAACACACGGTGAAACCCCGTCTCTACTAAAAATACAAAAAAATTAGCCAAGTGTGGTGGTGGGCACCTGTAGTCCCAGCTACTCAGGAGGCTGAGGCAGGAGAATGGTGTAAACCTGGGAGGTGGAGCTTGCAGTGAGCCGAGATCACGCCACTGCACTCCAGCCTGGGTGACACAGCAAGACTCCATCTCAAAAAAAAAAAAAAAAAAAGGGCTGGGTTCAGGGAGCTTCTGGGTAGATGAGCATGAGGAAGTTCTAGGAGGGTAGAACATCTGGTGAGGACATGGAAGCTCTGTACCCCTTCTCCCACACCTCGCCCTATGCATCTCTTTAATCTGGCTGTTCATCTGTATCCTTTGTAATATCCTTTATAATAAATGGGTTGATGTAAGTGTTGCCCTTTGTTCTATGAATAGTTCTAGCAAATTAATTGAACTCAAGGAGAGGGGTTAGAAGTACAGATTACAACCTTGAATCTTATGACACTTGAAGTGGGGGGCAGTCTTGTGGGACTTGTAAATCAAAAATAAAATTCTAAGCCCCCAAACTGACTGAATTGACCCTCCTTTTGACCAAGAGGACCCAAGGAAATCTGAAAAATTAGGCCATGATGGAAAGCCAGTAGGGGCAGCTACAGGGGGTGGCGGGGACAGACATGCCTCATTATACTCTTCCCTTTTGGAGTTCAAGCACAACTGACCAACATTAACATTGAAACAGTGATCTTAAAACTGACAAAACAGACTCTTTGTAGCAATAAGATCCAAATTCTAAAATGACTCTAGTACAGCATCATATAACAGATAGCAGGCCCTGAAGAAAATCAAAGTCTTTTACCCCAAAATATATTTCTTTGACACATTTTGAAATGGCCCTGCAAAGCTGTCTCTTGTGGGGAAAAGCTGCATTCTGTAGGAAAATCTCCTTCCTTTGTTGCGGGACAATCAAAGACTGGAGAGACTGAAAAAGGTTCAGGAGAGTTTATTAAGGTGATCACAGGCTCAGCCAGACATACATCCAGAAAGTCTGAGCCCCAAACTAAAGGCTTTCCTACTTTTAAACATCTTAAGGCAGGAACCATGTGAGGCAGGAAGTAAGTTACGGAAGAGAGAAACAAAGGCAGTTAATCAAGCATTACAACATTTCTTACATCTTGAGAAAAACATGTCTTCCAACCTAAACTTATCGGTCTTGTGACCCTGAAGCCATGCTAGGGAGGTAAGCAGGAACTCACTGAGCCTGTAATAAACTTTGATGAATGTGGAGTTGGGGAATATAGATAAGGTCCACTGACCACAGAGAGAAGACAGGCTGTTAATATTCTCTTTTAACTTAAGTATAACTCAAGTTAAAGTTGCAGCAACTTTAAGAGGATTTAAAAATTTCTGTTACCACTACTATTAGGTTATAGTTGATTTCATTAATTCCTTCTTCATCTTTACTATGTATTTCCAGAGAGTGTGATACCTTTTAACGTCTAATAAGAGACATTCACAAGTGTTCTCTTTGAGGCCTGCTACCTGGAGGCTTCATCTACTTGAAAAGAACCTTGGCTTCCGCAACCCCCCACCCTTTACCTTAACTCAAGCTGATTTCAATTCTTCAGCCAGAGTTTAGCCCTTTCAACCAATTGCCAATCAGGAGATCTTTAAATCCACCTATTACCTGAAAGCCCAGCCTCTTCCTCCTTTGAGATGTCCCAACTTTCCAGGCTGAACCAATGTATACACATTTTTTTTTTTTTGAGACGGAGTCTCACTCTGTCGCCCAGGCTGGAGTGCCCAGGCTGGAGTGCAGTGGCATGATCTCAGCTCACTGCAACCTCCACCTCCCAGGTTTGAGCAATTTTTCTGCCTCAGCCTCCTCAGCATGTATTGATTTATGTCTTTGCCTATAACTTCTTTGTCCCTAAAATGTATCAAATCAAACTGTAACCCAATCACCTTGGGCACATGTTCTCAGGACCTCCTAAAGCTGTGTCATGGGTCATGATCCTTAACCATGGCAAAATAAACCTCTAAATTAATTGAGACCTGTCTCAGATACTTTTTAGTTTACAGATTGAGACCTTAACCTGTAGGATCTGACACTATTTCCAGGTAGACAGTGTTGAACTAAGTAGGACATGACACCCAAGCTGGTGTCCACTGGAGAATTGCTTGGTATAGTGAAAACCCCCCACACGTCTAGTGTCAGAAGTGTTATTGTTAGAGTAGGTAGTCAGGCAGATATGGGCAAGGCAGGAAAGGCAGGAATGTCAGGCGACAATCAGGTGATGGTCAGGCGGTTATTAAACTGTCACTCTAAAATAATTGGTTGCAGTAGGTGCCAGGGAAAGGCAGTCTCCTAAGAGATAGAAAACACCTAAAGCTGGTGATCAGCAGCTTTCCAATAAGATCTCAGGAACTGGGCAAGTGTGCTCAAGCATGCGTACTAAGAGGCAAAATGGCAGATTTTAACTGGTATACAACCTTCCTCTAGGAACACTTGACTGGTAAGGGAAAAACGCCTCAAATGAGAATGTGCACAACTTCAGTAAAGACATTGCACATGTGGCCCCTCCCAAGTGCTGACAGGCCACTGCACGTGCAGACAGCCCATGCCAAGGAAAAAATCAAAGGAGATACAAAACCTCGGAAGCATGCCAATGTATAAAACGCAAAGTCAAAAGTCAAACAGGGCACCTGGATCTCTCAAGTTGCCTGCTTGCCCCTCTTCCTTTGGTTCCTGCTCTAAAACTTTCTAATAAACTCTCACTCCTGCTCAAAAACTTGCCTCAGTCTCTCACTCTGCCTTATGCCTCTTGGATGAATTCTTTCCTTTGAAGAGGCAAGAATCAAGTTATTGTAGATCCGTATGGATTCACCACTGCTAACATTATGCTGAATGGTATGTGAGAGTAGAAAAAAAAACACTGTTTTTTCCCTGTCTCTAATAATGAGCTTAACATCAGAATAGAAATAATAGAAGAAAAAAATCAAAGAACTGGAAGCCAGAATTTACTCAACCTGAACAAAAGAAAGAAACTAGAATGGGAAAAAAAAGAAAAAAAAGAACAGAGCCTCAGGGACCTGTGAAACTATCATAAAAGATCTAACATGGGGGCTAAAAATTTACTCCAAGAAATAATAGCTGAAAAGTTCTCAAATTTGTCAAGAGACATAACTATAGAATTCAGCAATACAGAAAAAGAAATATACAACAGGACCAAGCAAGGTTTATTCCAGGGAGGCAAGGCTGGTTCAATATTAGAAGATCAGTGTAATCTATCTTATTAACAGGCTAAAGAAGAAAAACACCACATGCTTATAGTAACTGATGCAGAAAAAACACTTGCCAAAATTCAACACCTATTCATGATAAAAACACTCAGAAAAAAATAGAAATAGAGGAGAATTTCCTCAACTTGATAAAGGGCATCTACACAAAACCTACTACTAATATTGTACCTAACCATGAAAGACTGAATGTTTTCCCTCTAAGATCAAAAGCAAGGCAAGGATGTCTGCTCTCATCACTCTTATTCAACGTAGAGCTAGACACTCTAGCCTGCGCAATAAGGCAAGAAAAGGAAATAAAACGCATATAGATCTGAAAGAAAGAAGTAAGATCTGTTTACTTATTTACAGGTAATGTGATTACACAGAAAATCCCAAGGAATCAACAACAAAAGACTCCTAGAACTCAAAAGTGACCAACAAATTCCTCTTTAAGTAAAGTTGGGTCTCTCACATGTAATTGAAAGAGTCCTTTATTTATTCACATATCCATCAACTATTTATTGAATGCCTAAAATTTGCCAGTAGCTATTCCAGGCAATAGATACACCATCAAACAAAAAGAGTTCTTACCCTCAAGGGTGATAGTAAGAGATGTAAAAAGTTAAAAAATGGTAAAAGAGAAAAAATGAAGAGTGCTACTTTAGAAAATGAGGTAAGGGAAGAGTTATTTAATAAGACACCTCAGAAAATGAGGAATTTGGCCAGGGGGATATCTGAGGAAAGAGTTCCAGTCAGTGGAAACTGTGAATTCAGAAAGCCTGAGGCTGAAACAGGCAAGTGTGTTTGAGAAAAAGCAAGGAGGCCGGTGGCTGTGCAGAGTGAGGCAGAGGAAGGAGAATGGGCTGTGGATCAGAGGACCCTGTGCCAGATCATACAACTCCTTGCAGTTCATGTAAGGACTCGGATTTTACCTGGAGTGGAAAAAGAAGCACTGAAAGATTTGAGCAGGGGAGTAACCTGATAGCGTTTATGTTTAGTCCTGCCACTTCGACAGATAAACGCACCAATGGGCTTGATGAGATTTAGGCCAACCCATAACCGCCCCTCAACTTCTTTCCTTTCAATTTCAAAACTCCTCTATGGCTTCCTCCATCTGTTCTTCCTTCTGAGAAGTGCTCTCTCTGCCCCTTTACAGAACTAACCACTTCGGCAACTCCTTGGACACTTTCCTTCTTGTTAATAATTTGCTTTCTCCGCCCCTCAAAAGCTTGCTGTTTCTGTAAATCATTACCTGTAAGAGGAACCGCTGGGAGTCCTGTAAACTTTAGCCCAGAGCTTGGCTCCTCCTCCAGAATGTCTCCACCAATCAAGGAAAGTGTTTTGGGCCAGTCTTGCTCCTCCGGATTGTCAGACTGCTCCTCCCTCTTCTTTAGACTGCCACGAGGAAAAAGCAGATGTGAGAACTCAAGGTTCAGGGCTGCTCTTCTAAGAAACAAGTCTGCCATAATCTCCATCTGTGTTGGAATCTGTTAACTAGTGAGTACCTCATCTCCCCTCCTGTGTAAGATTTCCTGAACTGGCACATCTGTTTTTTGAGCAAAGATAACAAACAGATGAACAAAACCAACAATCAAAAATGCTGTCATTAAAGTCTTGGGCAGCCAAAGTTTCTCTCAGAATTTCTCAGTTGTGTGATACTATCTATTAAGTGATGAGGAGTATGCACACACAAAAGGCTATAAATGTAGCAGCTGAGTTTTCATGTTGAGCCTTTTGGTGCTATTTGATTTTTTGAAAAACTATGTACATGTATTAAGTTGATAAATTTTTTTTTTAATTTTAATTGAACCAGATGCGGTGGCTCAAGCCTGTAATCCCACCACTTTAGGAGGCTATGGTGGGCAGATGCAGATCACTTGAGGCCAGGAGTTCGAGACCAGCTTGGCCAACATGGTGAAACCCTATCTCTACTGAAAATAAAAAATTAGCCAGGTGTGGTGGCAGGTGCCTGTAACCCCAGCTACTTGGGAGCCTGAGGCAGTAGAGTCACTTGAACCTGGGAGGTGGAGTTTGCAGTAAGCTGAGATTGCATCACTGCACTCCAGCCTGGGTGACAGAACAAGACTCCATCTCAAAAAAAAGACCAGGTAGTGGCTGAGATTTTCATTGTACTGTCTGCTTAGCTCCCCACCTTGCTCAGTGACAGATGGGAATCCATCTTCTGCATCATCCAGAAAGTATGTAAATTACTTCCAGGAAACTTTGGGAAACACAGATGCAAACCTAAGAGCAGCCAGTTTTCTCCTTTAGGTGGTCAAGGGCAGCTGCAAAAGTTCTGTATAGGAGGGGCTTCAGGCAGGGTCTGGTTGGGTTTGGAGACAACAGCAGTGAATTTACCTTGCGTTGAGGCTGTATATGTTAAACTACTGTTATTACTTGGATACTTAGAGGGAGGGATGTTTAGGGAGCTGTGGGGAGGCTAAAGCCCCCTTGGCTGTAGGGACAAAGAGCTTGCATTTCAGATGAGACCTTAAATACTTTCAGAAGCCTATCTGACCAGGGGTGGTACTGTCTTTCTTAGAAGAGTTTTCCTTACCAATGTTTCTGTGGCTCAGTATAAAAATCTGGAGTCACCCTGGGAAAGTTATCTCAGCAATTTTACCTACAAATAATTTTATAAACCTGGGAAATAGAAGTTGTAAAATGCTAAGATCGATGAAAAGGGAGGAAAAGAACTTTGTTGAGGAGAAGGTAATCTTATGGTTTTGATGAAGAGGATGTCGATATTTGCTTTTTGGTAGAACAGAATGGTTAGGTTCATTTTAAGCTCCAAATGACTGATCAATTTTCTTTTCAACATACGTTTGAAGGATTCTGAATGTGGTGTAGAGTATTGTATGGGAGCTAGGGAACAAATCATACTAAACTCTGATTCTATTCAGAATCAGCAAGCTAAGTATGATATATTTATCTCCAATCATATTAATATTTACATAATTATTTAATGTCTTCCTTAATAGTCTATAAGCTTCATGGGAGCAAGACCAGCCGTGTCTTGTTCACAGCTATATTTTCAGCATTTAGTACAGGTCTGGCATATACCAAGTGTTCAATAAATACACGGGTAATGAATAAATGCGTTGTCCAATTTAAATATGTGTGTCTGTTTGTGTATACTTCCTTGTCTGTAAAATGAAAATACTAATAAATAACTGCAAAATGCTTAACAGTACAACCACTTGCCAGATCTCAGCAAAAATGTTACGTCCCTAGAGAGACCTCCTAAAAGGTCCCTTTTCTCCCATTACTCTCTTTGTTTTCTTGCGTAACATCACATTTATTTATTCCCTTGTTTACTATATGTGTCTTTCTATGAGAGCAAGGAGGACCTTGTCTCTTGCATTCCCTCCTGTATCCTCTATGTCTGAAATAATTCATGGCAAGTGATTAATAATTGTTGAATAAATAAATGAATCATGCCAACCTACCAAGAATGAAGCTCAAGACCTTAAGATATTTGTCCAAATTCCTGCCTTTTATTTAATAGAATCAGAAATTGTTTCTAATACTTCACAACCACTTAAAAATACTATTCATTTTTACATCCAAGTAATGAAAGAATCAGGACGTTCCTTTTGGAAGACATAGTTTCAACATTTTATCTAAATTGCAAAATTATACAAAAACTCAAGTGACCATTGATAGGGGACCGGTTTAAGAAATGACAGTGCAGTTCTTCACTAGAATGTCATACAACTGTTAAAAGAAAAAAATCAGAACAGGGCTGAGTGTGGTGGCTCCCACCTGTAATCCTAGTGCTTTGGGAGGCCGTGTGCGTGTTTGTGTATATTTCCTTGTCTGTAAAATGGAAATAATAATAAATAACTGCAAAGTGCTTAGCACAGGAGGATTGCTTGAGGTCAGGAGTTTGAGACCAGCCTGGGCAACATAGTGAGACCCCCATCTCTAAAAAATTTTTTAAAACACTTAGCTGGGTGTGGTGGCACACACCTGTAATTCCAGGTACTCTGGAGGCTGAGGCAGGAGGATCGCTTCATCCCAGAAGTTCAAGCTGCAGTGAGGGGTGGTCGTGCCACTACACTCCAGTCTGGGTGACAGAGTGAGATCCATCCTGTCTTTAGGCAGGGAAAAAAAGGAAAGAATAAATGAATAAATACTTCATTTAAAAAAATAGAATGAAGATCTCTGCGCACTGGTATGGAAAGCCCTTAAAAGGTACATTGTTAAAAATGTTTTTAGTGGGCAGAATAGTGTGTATTCTGTGCTACCTGTTGTGTAAAATTGGTGGAGAAATAAGAATCTATACTCATAATTTGCTTGAATGCACATAAAGAAACCCTGAAAAGATAAGTAGAAATAATAATAGTGGTTTCCTGGGAGTGAGAGCAAAGTGGGCAGCTTTGAGACTAGAGGTGGGAGGCAGATATTTTTTTTTCCCTCTGTACCTTTTACAGTTTTTTTGAGCCATTTGAAGATATTATGCGAAAAAAAATTAAAAACAGAGAGAGACAAGTAGTGTTGATTACTTAACTTCTTTCAGTTGAAGGAAACCTGATGCTAATTCTGTTAAGAGGAGAGCAGCCAAAAGCATAGGTTGTGACTTGCCAGCAAAAAACAGGGACCGGGGCCGGGCGCGGTGGCTCACGCCTGTAATCCCAGCACTTTGGGAGGCCGAGGCGGGCGGATCACGAGGTCAGGAGATCGAGACCATCCTGGCTAACACGGTGAAACCCCGTCTCTACTAAAAATACAAAAAATTAGCCGGGCGTAGTGGCGGGCGCCTGTAGTCCCAGCTACTCGGGAGGCTGAGGCAGGAGAATGGCGTGAACCCGGGAGGCGGAGCTTGCAGTGAGCCGAGATCGCGCCACTGCACTCCAGCCTGGGCGACAGAGCGAGACTCCGTCTCAAAAAAAAAAAAAAAAAAAAAAAAAAAAACAGGGACCGGTAGTTCCCTCTGTACCCAATCCCCAATGCCAAACAGAATGACATTGTTAGACTTAAGGTCTTAACCTGCAGGGCAACTGGGATTCAGAGTGATTTTAGTTCTGTTCTTAAGAGCAGCCTTTTCTCCTAAAGCCTGCCAAGAAATTTTTGTTAATTCTTCCCAGGAACATAACAGACAAGGCCCCTGCTCTGGTAGAACTTACATCACAGTGCAAAGATCAGCAAACTGTAGCCCATGGGTCAAATCCAGCCCTCTGCCTGTTTTTGTATAGCCTTTGAACCAAGAATGGTTTTTAAATTTTTTAATGGTTGAAAAAATAACTAAAAGAGGAACACTAATTCATGACACATGAAAATTAAATGAAATTCTAGTGTCAGTACCATAAATAAGGTTTTATTAGAACACAGCCATGCCAAAATTTATTTATGTATTGTCAATGGCTGCTCTCTCAATGGCAGAGTTAAATACCTGCAGCAGAGACCATATGGCCCACAAAGCCTCAAATATTTAGTGTCTGGCCCTTCACAGAAAAAGTTTGCTGACCCCTATTCTAGTAGAGAGTAATATGCTTGGCACCATGATAAGCATTTTGCATACAGTATCCCATTCAGTCTTCAGGACAAATCTCTGATGGAGGTTCTATTAGTCGCTCCATTGGTAAAATGTGAAACTGAGGTTCAGAGTGATTAATAATTCAAATAAGGTCATGCAGTTCATAAGAGGCAAAACTGGGAGACCATATCACATGACCATATGACTCAGTAGCCAGTGTATTTAACCATCATGCCATAGACTGGTGCTTTTCACACTTGAATGTACATACCAGTCACCTGGGATCTTGTTAAAATGTCAACATCTACCAATTCAGTAGATCTAGAGTGGGGCCTGAGAATGTGCATTTCTAACAAGCTTCTAGGTGATAAAGATGATGATGGTGGTTCACAAATCACAGCCTCTAAATCAGTGATTCTCAACCATGGCTGCTGCACATTAAAATCTGAGGACATTTTAAAAAATATAAATGGGCCCAGAGCCCACTCTGAAATATTCTGATTTAATTGATCCAAGACCTAGGCATCAGAGTATTTTTTTTTAATGCTTTCTTGGTGATTCAAATGTACAGCTGGACTGCAAACCACTGCTCTATTGAAATCCTGTCGAATGACAGTAAAAACATTTAATCCAAAGACCAGAGTTCTAGTTCTAACTCTGGTATGACAGAATGAAGCAGGCTGTTTCCCCTCTCTGGGTCTCCAGTTTTCTTTGCAGGTGAAAAAGGAAAAAGCTGAAACCAGATGGTGTCAGAGGGCTCAAGATCACTGACTTGTCAGGTCTTCACACACATAAATGGGAAGGACAGAAGTACCCAGGTTTCCTGATGCATCGGTTATATCAACATGATGCCCAAACACCAGGTCTGCTTAGGGTAAAACTGCAATAACTGTAGATGTCAGCTAAACTGTCCATTTAGCTGACATCTGCAATTATGTATTGTTTTGGCAATGTATCAATACAGAAATGCTTCCACATAGCCAGACTGCCTTACATGGCACACAGCTAGAATTGTAGTTAGAATGATGATTTAATGATTATGAGAGTAATATATATTGCATTGTAGGAAATTTGGAAAATTACAGGAAGTATAATGAGGAGAATCTCAAACACTCATAATCCCTAGAACTGTATTTTTAACAGCCTCAACCAAGTAAATGACATTGTGATCAAATGATTTCCCACAGAAGCAGGCGATGGCCCAGAGGGGCCTCCCCGACAAAAGTCCTAAATGTTAAAGCCCCATTATTACATCTCTATTAAATGCAGCTCCAAGCCTGGACTTAAAAGTAGTATGGGCCCCTATTGAGAGCATGGGAACTGCAACCTATCAACTAGACAGTTCATAAACTGTGACAGTGCTTTCATGTCTAATTGTTATTGGGCTACTCTCGATTTCTTCATCTACAGATTATCCACTGTGAAAAATGCTCCTTAACATTTCTACCCTACTTTGAAATCTGCAGGTGAAAGATATTAGACAAGAAGCCTTAGCCCTTTGCTTTCAGTGAGATTAAGTGGGTGACCCAGATCTTTACTTCTTTAGAAATGCATATGGGTGTCAATAGTGCACAGTATTCTGGAGAATGGGCTAGGACCTGATAGTTCTGGGTTCAAATCCAGCCAATGCCTCTTACTAGTCATTTTCTCAATCTGTAAACAGAGATGATAATAGTACCCACTTCACAGGGTTTCTCTGAGGATTTAATAAGAAAGTGTCTATAAAACACTGAGCACTGTGTTTGGAACACAGAGTGTACGCAGCAAATGGTACTATCATGATGATTATCAATACTAATAACAAAACTTAGCCACTTTGGGGTATGGCTACCTTCAGGACAGAAACAAATATATGTCCTTTTTGCTTGTCTTTTAGATGAACTGGTCTCTGTGCAAATCCTGAGTGCTAAAGCTTCCAACAAGACTGATGCTAGCTCGTGTCACCAGGAAGATGCTACGTCATGCCAAGTGTTTTCAGCGCCTAGCAATTTTTGGTTCTGTGAGGGCACTGCATAAAGATAATAGAACAGCAACCCCTCAGAATTTCTCCAACTATGAATCCATGAAACAGGACTTCAAACTGGGGATTCCAGAGTATTTCAACTTTGCTAAAGATGTCCTGGACCAATGGACTGATAAGGAAAAGGTATGGGGGGAGGGCCAGTCAGACCACAATTTCTCAACTGGGAGTGATTTTACCCCTAGGTAACATCTCTAATGTCTAGAAATATTTTTGTTGCCATGATAGGGGCAGAGGCAGTTGCTACTGGCATCTAACAGGTAAAAGCCAGGGATTCTGCTAAATATCCCATAATGCACAGGGCAGCCTCCAGAACAAAGAATTATTTGACCCGAAATGTCAATAGTTCCATGGTTAGTTGAGAGACCCTGTATTACATAAATGTAGAATTCTAGGTTGACTTAAAAAAAAAAAAGGAGAAGAGTGAAAAGTAATTCCAAGAGTCAGAAATGGTAGAAAAGGAGGCACAGATAAATCTTTGGGGAAAATGTAAAGGATGCAAGAATTCTCACTTATTGGAAAGAAAAATGATCAGGCTAAATGGGAAATGATTTGGGCCAAAAGAAATGACATGGCTTCCAACGTCTAGAAATAAGGACCCCAAAGTTATTATTTTTCCTGTTATGTTTAGTTATGTAATAACTATACATAGTTATGGGGTACAAAGATATTTTTGATACATGTATAAAATGTGTAGTGATCAAATGAGGGTAATTAGGCTACCCATCATCCCAAACATGCATCATTTCTTTGTGCTGGGAGCATTCAAAATCCTCTCTCCTAGCTTTTTGAACATACTCAATATATTATTCTTAACTGTTTTCACTCTACAGTGCTATAGAACACTAGAACTTATTCCATCCATCTAGCTATAATTTTGCATCCATTAACCAACCTCTTTCTATGCTCCTCTCCCCACTACCGTTCCTAGCCTCTAATAGCCACAATTCCACTCCCTACTTCTATGAGCTCTTTTCAGGCTGGAGTGCGGTGGTGTGATCTCAGCCCACTGCAACCTCCGCCTCATGAGTTCAAGCAATTCTTGTGCCTCAGCCTCCCGAGTAGCCGGGACTACAGGCACCTGCCACCATGCCGGCTAATTTTTGTATTTTTAGTAGAGACAGGGTTTTGCCATGTTGGCCAGGCTGACCTTGAACTCCTGGTCTCAAGTGATCCGCCCACCTTGGCCTCCCAAAGCACTGGGATTACAGGCGTGAGCCACCCACCACGCCAGGCCGAGCTCCTTTTTTTTTTTTTTTTTTTTTTTTTTAAGAGACAGGGTCTTACTTTGTTGCCCAGGCTGAAGTTCAGTGAAGCTCATTTTTTTAAGCTCCCACATATGAGTAAGAACATGTGGCATTTATCTTTCCGTGTCTGACTTATTTCACTTAACATAATGTCCTCCAAGTTCATACATGTTGCCACAAATAACAGAATTTCATTCTTTTTTATGGCTGAATAGTATTGCACTGTGTATATATACCACATTTTCTTTATCCATTCATCTCTTGATAGACATTTAGGTTGATTCCATATCTTGGCTATTATGTACAGTGCTGCAATAAACATGGCAGTGCAGATATCTCTTCAATAGACTGATTTCCTTTCCTTTGAAAAAATACCCAGTGGTGAGACTGCTAAATCATATGGTAGTTTTATTTTTAGTTTTTTGAGAGGCCCTTATATTGTTTTCTGCAATGGCTGTACTAATTTATATTCTCACCAATAGTGTTTCAGAGTTCCCTTTTCTCCACATCCTCTCAAGCATTTGTTATCTTTTGTCTTTTTGACAATAGCCATTCTAACTGGGGTAAGATCATATCTCATCATGGTTTTGATTTGAATTATCCTGATGATTAATGATGTTGAGCATTTTTTCATATACTTGCTGCCAATTAGTATGTCTTTTGAGAAATGTCTATTCAGATTCTATGTCCATTTTTTAATTGAATTATTTGTTTTGTTTTGTTTTGTTTTGCTGTTGGGTTATTTGCATTCCCTGTATATTCTGGATATTAATTCCTTGTCAGGTGAATAGTTCACAAATATTTTCTCCCATTCTACATCTTGTCTCTTCTCTCTGTTGATTGCTTCCTTTACTGTCCAGAAGCTTTTTAGCTTTGTATAGTCCCATTTGTCTGTTTTTGGTTTTGTTGCCTGTGTTTTCATATCCTTATCCCTAAAATATTTGCCTAGGGGAGTCTCAGAGCCTACTCTGGCTCAGGATCTGCCCAATTTTATTAAATTTATTATAAAATTTAAAAAATTTTAAAAATTAAAATTAAAATAAAAAATAAAACATTTGCCTTGATCAATGACTTGAAGCATTTACACTATATTTTCTTCGGTTGTTTTATAGTTTTGAGTCTTACATTTAAGTCTATAATCCAGTTCGAGTTGATTTTTGTATATGGTGAGAGAGAGGGCTCTAGTCTTAGTCTACCACATATGATTACCACTTTTCCTCGGACCATGTACTGAAGAGGATATCCTTTCCTCAGTGTATGTTCTTGGCACCTTTGTTGAAAATCTGTTGAATGTAAATGTGTGGGTTTAGTTCTGGGTTATCTATTCTGTTTCATTGGTCTATGCATCTGTTTTTATGCCAATACCATGCTGTTTTGGTTACTATAGCTCTGTAGTATGATTTGAAGTTAGGAAGTGTGGTGTCTCTACTAAAAATACAAAAATTAGCCGGGCATGGTGGTGCATGCCTGTAATCCCAGCTACTAGGGAGGCTAAGGGAGGAGAATCACTTTAATCTGGGAGGTGGAGGTTGCAGTGAACTGAGATCACACCATTGCACTCCAGCCTAGGTGACAAGAGTGAGACTCCCTCTCAAAAAAAAAAAAAAAAGATTTAGTGTTAGTTCTTATGGTAGAATTCAGCAGTAAAACCATCCAATTCTGGGCTTTTTTTATTACTGATTCAATCTCATTACATATTATTGGTCTATTCAGGTTTTCTATCTTGGTAGGTTATGTGTGTCCAGGAATTTATCCATTTCCTCTATGTTTTCCAATTTGTTGGCATATAGTTGTTCATAAGAGTCTTTAATGATCTTTTGTATTTCTGTGGTACAGTTGTAATGTCTCCTTTTTCATTTCTGATTTTATTTATTTGGGTCTTCTCTTTTTTTCTTAATCTAGCTAAAGATTTGTCTATTTTGTTTTTCCTCAAAAAATTTTGTTTTGTTGATCTTTTATAATTTTGCCTCAATTTCATTTATTTCTGCTCTGATCTTTATTATTTCTTTCTTTCTACTAATTTTGGATTTAGTTTGTTCTTGCTTTTCTGGTTCCTTGAGGTGCATTCTTAGATTGTTTATTTGAAATCTTTCTGCTTGTTTGATATAGGTGTTTATGGCTATAAACTTCCCTTCTTAACACTGTGTTTGCTTTATTTCATTGATTTTGATATATTATGCTTCCATTTTCATTATTTTCAAGACATTTTTTGCTTTCCTTCTCAATTTCATCATTGACTCACTGGTCATTCAGGAGCATGTTGTTTAATTTCCATGTATTTGTACAGTTTTCCAAAGTTCCTCTTGTTACTGATTTCTAGTTTTATTCCATTGTGGTCTAAGAACATACCTGGTATGATTTCAATTTTTAAGAATTTGTTGAAATTTGTTTTGTGCCCTAACATATGGTCTATTCTGGAGAATGTGCCATGTGCTGATGAGAAGAAGAATGTGTATTCTGTAGCTGTTGGATAAAATGTTGTGTAAATATCTGCGAGGTCCATTTGGTCCAAAGTGCAGTATAAATCCAATGTTTCTTTGTTAATTTTCTGTCTAGATGATCCGTCTAATGCTGAGGGTAGAGTGTTAAAGTCCTGAACATTGTTGTATTGGAGTCTATCTGTTTACATCTAATGATATTTGCTTTATATATCCAGGTGCACTGATGTTGGGTGCGTATATATTTACAATTGTTATATCCTCTTGCTGAATTGATCTATTTATCATTATATAATGACCTTCTTTGCCTCTTTTTATGTTTTCTGACTTAAAGTCTATTTCATGTGATATAAGCATAGCTATTCCTGCACACTTTTGGTTTCTATTTGTTTGAAATATTATTTTCCATCTCTTCATTTTCTGTGTCTTTTTTTTTTTTTTTTTTTTTGAGACAGCGTCTCACTCTGTCACCAGGCTGGAGTGCAGTGGCACGATCTCAGCTCACTGCAACCTCCGCCTCCCGGGTTCAAGCGATTCTCCTGCCTCAGCCTCCCAAGTAGCTGGGACTACAAGGTGCACGCTATCATGCCCAGCTAATGTTTGTATTTTTTATAGAGACGGGGTTTCCCCATGTTGGCCAGGATGGTCTCGATTTCTTGACTTCGTGATCCGCCCGCCTTGGCCTCCCAAAGTGCTGGGATTACAGGCATGAGCCACTGCGCCTGGCCCTATCTATGTGTATCTTTACAGGTGAAGTGAGTTTCTTGTAGGCAGCCTATAGTTGGGTCTTGTTTTTTATCCATTTAGTCAGTCCATACAGTCCATATCTTTTAACTGGGGAATTTAAACTGTTTACATTCAAGATTGTTATTGATAGGTGTTATTTTGTTCATCATAAGGGTGCCAGCAGTGGCTCCAGTGGGTCCCAGGCAGGCTGATCCTCAGGCTCCCAGGAAGTGTGCATGGGCACTGGCAGTAGCAGTGGTAAGCCTCAAGTGAGTCAGACCTCAGGTCCTTTGGCAGTGCACATGGGTACTTGTAGTAGTGGCAGCCTGAATGGGCCAGTCCTTGGGTCCGCAGATGGCAATGCAGGCACAAAGCGGCTCTGCCACTAGAGGGGGCAAGATCATGTTCATGGCAGCAGGCTCAGGAAGGCAGCTCTCAGGCTCTGGGGAGTGTGCTTTAGTGCCTTATGTCCTGGGGCAGCCTCTCTTGATGTGCTGGACTCCCTGTTACCTGGGGTGTAGAGTGCTGTGTGTAGGCTCGGGTGCCAGTGGCCTGGCTCTATCACTGGATCCACCTGGTGTTGGAATGCTGCAGCCCTCTACGGGAACGTGTGGGGATGTCAGCAAGGCCCCAGGGATGTGGAGATGCAGGGGCAATTGGCCCCAGGGCAAGATGTAGTATGGTAGTAGCTCTGTTCCTAAAATGATGCCATGCTATAGCAGCTCGGGTCCTGGGGTTTGTTGCAGGAGGACCTAGTATGAACTTCCTCTCTGGAACAATGTTATACTATACTAGTATACTATACTATACAGCGTTTACTAGGCTCAGGGCATGTGAGGGCTGAGGGGCTCTCCTGTAGGTGGGACTTCAGGCATCTGTGATGGGAATGTGTACTGCTGAGGATCTTCCACTTACATTTTCCTCAAAATAGGGAGTCCCTCTGGGCTCTGTGCTGATCCTGGCCAGCTGCTCTTCTTCCCTCTCTATGCTTTCATCTCTAGTTTTCAGGTCTCAGAGAGTTTTGTCACTTCCTTGCTAAATTCCAGTGTTCTCCCTTTGACACTCTATTTGTCATGTTATCTGCTTACTGTCTTGGTACTTCTGGTAGGAGGTGAGTACTGGGCATCTCTAGTCATCCATCTTGATGATGTCTCCCCCAGAGTTATTTCCAAATTCTCCATCCATGTTCTAACTAATGACTTGCGAACTTTCTTCAGCTAATCTATTCCATTGAGTCAGTTGGCCCAGAATTTAGCTGTATAACAACCTTTAAATCAATGACTGGTTTTTCTTTCCTCAGGCTGGAAAGAAACCTTCAAATCCAGCCTTCTGGTGGATCAACAGAAATGGAGAAGAGATGCGATGGAGTTTTGAGGAACTGGGATCTCTGTCCAGAAAATTTGCCAATATACTTTCAGAAGCCTGTTCCCTACAAAGAGGAGATCGGGTAATTCTGATTCTGCCCAGGGTCCCAGAGTGGTGGCTTGCAAATGTGGCCTGTCTGCGAACAGGTTAGTAATGTTTGCTTTCCGATCATATTTATTACTAAGCTGGAGGGGAGATTTTCCAGAACACCTAAGTAATCATGATACATTTATTTTGTTGTGGGCTTATTGTCAAAGAGTGCCTTTAAATTATATAAAAGTTAGGCCGTGGTAGGCTAATTCCTTATCCCTAGGTGGAACATCTTTAAAAGATAATCTTAGAGTTACAGCCTCACAAAAATTGTTGTGTTGCCCTGATTAGAAAGAAAAGATATTCTAAAGAACCTGTGTTCTGGTCCTGGTTGTTGGTTTCTTGAAGAACCCTGATGGAGAGGCCTGGTCCTTCCCAAAGTGAAAGGATGAGCCAGTGTCAAGAGTCCAGGAATGCCAGACATGTGTTCCCCAATCTTCTTGCCTACTGTGTCGCCTGGGAAGAGTAAAACCTATTGTGAAGTGAATGCTTTCCATCCCTGTCTTAAGGGTCTGGGACTTAAGGGTGGTGGGGCCCAGGAGGAAGATCTATATATTTTTGAGAGTCCATTTATCCTTTGAGAAAATAATACCCAAAGCTTACTGAGCACTGTTCTAAGTTCTTTACATATTTTAACTCATTTAATCCCCTAATTATCCTATAAAAGAAGTAGTATTATTACAATATCACTTTACAGATGCAGAACCTGAAGCTCACAGAGGTGAAGTGGCTTGTCCCAAGTCCCAGCTATAAGAGTGTCTGGCTCCAGGACACTCTTAATCATTATACTTCATCTTACAGTGTAATATATAACCAGCAGGAATAGAACCACAGAAAAGATGAATGCCTCCACACTTCCTTTTGGAAATAAATCATAAAGCAATCATGTACATTTTAAGAGGCACTCAGCTGATGTGGTGAAGTGTACAGTTCTGGAGTCAGGCTACAGGGTTCAATCCCTGCACTGTCACTTACTACTTAAGTGATACCTTGGGCAAGTTATTCATAGCTTTTATGTTTTGGGGTTTTTTTGGTGGGGACTGAATAAGTTAAAACATATAATCAAATACTCAATAAATATTGGTTAATATTACTTTTCAATCAAAACCTTCTTCAAGCTCAATGTTAGGGATGGTCTTCAAATAAAGAATAATTATCCAGTATTTAACATGCTTTCATGTTAAGCCAAAAGGGTCATAGACTCTGAAATCCCTTGAAAGGCAAAAGCAGATAAGTGAAAGCAAGATAAATAGATATCTTCCTGGTAAACTGACTAACTCACTCTGAGAAATACAGAATGTATAGATGGTATCTACACTACTCTAACATAATGAAGAATAACATTTCTTCTAAACACTGTTTCTTTTCTGCCCCTTTAGGGACAGTTTTAATTCCAGGAACCACTCAGCTGACCCAGAAAGACATTCTCTACAGACTACAATCTTCAAAAGCAAACTGCATTATCACCAATGATGTTTTAGCCCCAGCAGTAGACGCTGTTGCATCCAAATGTGAAAATCTGCACTCCAAGCTGATTGTATCAGAGAACTCCAGAGAGGGGTGGGGGAACCTCAAGGAGTTGATGAAGTGAGTAGCCACACTTGTTGTAAAACAGCTTCCCAAAAGGAAAGGCAACAATAAAAAGATATTAAACCCAGCAGTGATTAGAAAAATGCAAATTAAAACAACAGGCAAAGGGAACAGTTGGTAGTTATTGCTGCACTAATAGTGCTAAACTCTGAAGTAGGAAGGAGCTTGGAGTGCTTTTTGTAGGTTGGGATCCCCTGAGATTGGAGATTGGTGTATAGGAAGTTTATTAAGGAGTTCTTTTGGGATTAACACCTGTGAGGAATGAGTAAGAATGTCGGACTGGGCAGAGAAAGAAATTTATTTGCGATGTATTCCCTACAAAGCTTTCAGTCAACCCACTGGGACCTCTGAAGGACCTCCTCAAAGCTGTTCCCAGCTAAAGCAAGAGGTCCTGGCCTTTATATACCCACATTGATCAGTAATTGGATGGGGTTGTCCCTAGGAGTCAAGACCTTTAACAAAGCCACTGTCTTCAGTCAAGGCAATCTCTAGAGAGTGCTCCCAGCACCTGTCACTGAAGGATCACAGTCAGTCCTTCAGTGTTGGCTATCCCATTCCCTTGCTGACAGCAACACTGGTATCAGGTTAAAAGAAAAAATGCTTAATGTTAATGGATGCAATTATAAAAGTGAATTTCACTGATGTTGAAGCCTAGCATGGGGTGTTTCCATGGGTTACTTGGAACTCTTGCCAGGTACTGGTTATGCCTTAGAATTGGGCTGGCAGCAAAGTCCTTCTCTAGAATGAGCTTCCTACCTTTACTCAAGGATTTGGGAGCATGCTTGCAACTATGGACTTTTCCTACCACATTTAAAATTCCTAATATTGAGTTCTTGCCAAAGGCCAAGTACGGTTCTAATAAAAATAATGTTATAATTGCAATCATAGCTTATATTGATACGGTTATGTGCCAGAAACTATTCTAAGGACTTCAGATATATTACCTCATTTAAACCTCACAGCAACCTAGGTACTATAATTACACAGCTGAATAAGGTCAAATGCTAGTATCTGGCAGAGCTAAGTTTCAAACCCAGGCAGTATGGGTGCTGAGCCTACACTCCTCACTTCTGTATGTACTGCCTCTAGTAAGAGATCAGTACAACAACCCTTCCTCAGGTTTTGAGGGCAACCGTATTGGTGATGGAAGTGATAGGAACACAGCTATAGATACTTTTTTTTTTTTAGACGGAGTCTCACTCTGTCACCCAGGCTGGAGTGTAGTGGCGCAATCTCGGCTCACTGCAACCTCCACCTCCCGAGTTCAAGCGATTCTCCTGCCTCAGCCTTCCAAGTAGTTGGGATTACAGGCACATGCCACTATGCCCACCTAATCTTTTTGTATTTTTAGCAGATATGGGGTTTCGTCATGTTAGCCAGGATGGTCTCAATCTCCTGACTTCATGATCTGCCCGTCTCAGCCTCCCAAAGTGCTGGGATTACAGGCGTGAGCCACTGCGCCCGGCCTATAGATAGTATTTTTAATTAATTAAGATAATTATGAAATCATAGACTGAACACTTGGTGTAGCTTTGTCAGATTTTGAAAACAGCTTTTTAGCCAGGCGCAGTGGCTGATGCCTATAAATCATCACTTTAGGAGGCTGAGGTGGGATGATGGTTTGAGTCCAGGAGTTCAAGACCAGCTTGGGAAACACAGTGAAACCTCTTCTCTATATAAATAAAAATAATTAGCCAGGCATGGTGATGCATACCTGTAGTCCCAGCCTACTCGGGAGGCTGAGGTAGGAAGATCGCTTGAACCCAGGAGGTCATGGCTGCAATGAGCCATGACTGAGCCACTGCACTCCAGCCTGGGTGAGAGAGAGAGAAACCCTGTCTCAAAAAAAAAAAAAAGAAAAGAAAAGAAAAGAAAGAAAAGAAAATAGCTTTTCTATATTTCTCATGAATGGCCTGGTTGTTTCTACTCATTCTCAACCCCACATGCCTGGATAAGTCTGTGTGCATCTTAGACACTTGATATGTATGTGTGCAGCTGCCCTAATGTGTGACTTGTATAGAAGTCTGATTATCCTTTGGAACTAAAAGGTTTTCTTTCTCTTTAACTGGAACTCTTTCTTCCCTGGATGGATGCTTAGATCCTGTTCAATCTTATTGTCTGCTATATCCAGAACTATGTAGACTCTCTTGTGGGAAACAGAAAAGCCAACCTTTCACGGTCAGCAAACTTTTTTTTTTTTTTTTTTGAGACAGAGTCTTTCTCTGTCACCCAGGCTGGAGTACGGTGGCTCGATCTTGGCTCACTGCAACCTCCACCTCCCTGGTTCAAGCGATTCTCAGCCTCCTGAGTAGCTGGGATTACAGGTATGTGCCACTGTGCCTGGCTAATTTTTGTATTTTCAGTAGAGACAGAGTTTCGCCATGTTGGCCAGGCTGGTCTCGAACTCCTGACCTCAGGTGATTCACCCGCTTCAGCTTCCCAAAGTGCTGGGATTACAGGCGTGAGCCACCATGCCCAGCCTCAGCAAACATTTTCTGTAAAAGGGACAGAGAATAAATACTTAAGGCTTGCAGGCCGTATAGTCAGTCTCATCACAACTACTCAACTCTGCCACTGTAGTGTGAAAGCAACCACAGGTACTACCTCAATGAATGGGCAATAACATTTTATTTACAGAAACAAGAGGCAAGTCAGATTTTGCCAGTAGGCTGTAGTGTGTTGGCCCATCAGTACCCATGGCTTTTACTAACATGTATTGTATTAACATACTCATTTTTAAAAAATCACATTTTAAAGCATCCATAGGGGAGGGAAGGGGAAAATTCTTCCTTATCCATGATTGCAAGATCACACAGACTCCTTACTCTGCTGGAGGTATGATAAAAATCTCAAGTTTTAAAAATGCTTCAATCCTTCTTTATCATAGAATAAAAAGCTAGGAAAGCAGCTATTATAAATGGGCCTTTGATGACAAAGTTTAGTTTTGATTCTAGAAAGCACCTAAAAGGATAGAGAAAGTGATGGCTTTTACCCTGTAATTCAAGCTAAGCCACTGGCACCTGATTCATGACATGAAGAGGTTCAAGTGGAGAGCTTCTCAAAATTTTTCAGTGGTAACAGTCTGTGATGCTGTGTTTAACATGCAGTCATTGTAGTTTTTCCTTTGCAGACATGCCAGTGACAGCCACACCTGTGTGAAGACAAAACACAATGAGATCATGGCCATATTCTTTACCAGTGGAACAAGTGGATATCCGAAAATGACTGCACACACCCACAGCAGTTTTGGTTTAGGATTATCTGTAAATGGAAGGTATACTTTCACAAAAGTGCAGCTTGAAGTGTCAAAACTGCAAAGATGATGACTTATGTACTGGTCTTTTATATTTATTTTCCTATGTACATCAGGGCTACTCTTTGTTTTCCCAGGTTCTGGCTAGATTTGACACCCTCAGATGTGATGTGGAATACCTCAGATACGGGCTGGGCAAAGTCTGCATGGAGTAGTGTTTTTTCTCCGTGGATCCAGGGAGCATGTGTATTCACACACCATTTACCCCGTTTTGAGCCGACTTCTATCTTGCAAGTAAGCCAAAGCACAAAGAGGTCAATATTTAGAAATGCATTAAGCAGTATGGCTGACAGAACTGGTGAATAAAGCAACTTGCAGAGATCAGAGTAGACAATATGATTTAAGATATGTCACATCCAGAAAGTCAATAAGCCTGAAAAGATACACTCGGCCCCCTCTGTATCCACAGGTTCTGCAGCCTCTGATTCTGCCAGGCACATATTGAAAATATTTGGGGAGAAAAACCAAAAACAAAATACAACAATTAAAAAAATGCAAATAAAAAATACCATGTAACAAATATATACATAGCATTTACATTGTTTTAGGCAGTATAAATAATCTAGAGATGATTTAAAGTATACGGGAGGATATGCATAGGTTATATGCAAATACCATACAATTTTATATAAGGGACTTAAGCATTCCTGGAACCAATCCTGCAGACACTGAGGGATGATTCTACAAGAAAAGGTAAGAATGTATTTACATTAACATAAACAATGTTTAAATTGTGCTGCGTCAACCAAAGACATTTAAGCACTTATTTAAGTTGTAGTAAGACCAAGAGTTTGCTTTTTCTAAATTGCAGACACTCTCCAAGTACCCCATCACAGTCTTCTGTTCAGCACCAACTGTATACCGAATGCTTGTACAGAATGATATAACCAGGTAAGAAATGTTAGTAAATAGGCATCTAGTGGGGAGAGGGGAGAAGAGGAAGCTATAAAATAAAAGATCTTTCTGCCTGAAACATAGCTCCAAGCCAGTAGACACAGGATTTAGCAATCTCTCCTCTTCCTCTTTCTCCTTCTTGCCTGCATTCTGTAAATGATAATTACTGTGACCAGGGCAAGATCCCCCAAACAAGAAGAAAGTGAGGGTTCAGCTATGTTTATAGCTCTAAGCCCAGTGGTTATGGGTAAGAAGATGGTAAATCTTTTGGATGATGGCTTTCTCTGAGCTGAGAAAGTAGAGAACTTGTTTCTATTTGGAACCTTATCCCAGCAGATAGAAAAGAGGATGCATATCTTTTATTCTATTGCTGATTCCATTTGAAAGGGTTCATTGGTAATCCAAAAAGAAAAACAACCCCCGTTTCTCTTTGTTTTGTTTTTGTTTTTGTTTTGTTTTGTTTTGTTTCAATAGGGTTTTGGGAAACAGGTGGTGTTTGGTTACATGAATAAGTTCTTTAGTGGTGACTTCTGAGATTTTGGTGCTCCCATCACCCAAGCAGTATACACTGTACTCAATGTATAGTCTTTTATCCCTCACCCACCTCCCACCCTTTCCCCAGAGTCCCCAAAGTCCATTATATCATTCTTACGCTATTGCATCCTCATAACTCAACTCCCAGCAACCACTATTTTACTATATTCACAACACTCAATACTCTGGGTCTCCAGATGTAAGGGATCTTTTCCCCCACATTGACCAATTCTCCAACATCAGTTGAGTATCCTATGATTTAATTCAGTCTGACATTATCTCCGTGGAGGCAGCATCATATCCCACAGGTTAATGACTCAGTCCCACAAGACTCTTTCCCATCTCAAATGCTAATCACAAGTCCAGGCTGTCACCTGCGCATATGACCAAATGGCTACAAATCAGAGGTTCCCATGACCCTTCCTTGGGTTTAGTAATTTGCTATGATGGCTCACAGAGTGCAAGAAAACACTTACTTACATTTCCCAGCTTATTATAAAAGATATGATAAAAGTTACAGATGAATAGCTAGCCAGATGAAGAGGTACATAGGGTGAGGTCCACAAGGTCCCAAGTGCAGCAGCTTCTATCCCTGTGGAGTGGGGGTGCACTACCTTTCCGGCACGTGGTGCTCTCCAAACCTCATACTTCAGGGATTTTTTTGGAGGCTCCATTATGTAGGCATGATTGATTATTAAGTCAATCTCCAGCTCCTCTCCTTTCCCTGAAGGATGGAGGTGAGGCTGAAAGTGCCAAGCTTCTGTTCCTGGCTTAGTCTTTCTTGTGACCAACCCCTATACGGGAGCCCCATTGAGAGTCGCCTCATGAGAACAAAAGACAATTCTATTACCCAGGAAATTCCATGGAATTTAGAAGCTCTGTATCAGAAACTAGAGTCAAAGGCAAAATATTAGAACAAAAGATACTCCTAGCACACCCATCACTTGGGAAATTACAAAGGTTTTAGAAGCTCTGGGCCAGGAACCCAGGATGAAGACTCAGTACAGGTTGAGTATCCCTTATCCAAAATGCTTGAGACCAGAAGTCTTTTGGATTTCAGATTGTTTTGGATTTTGGAATATTTGCATTATACTGGTTGGGCTGCCCTAATCCAAAAACATGAAACCTGAAATCCTCCAATGAGCATTTCCTTTGAGCATCATGTTGGTACTAAAAAAGTTTCAGATTTTGGAGCACTTTGGATTTTGAATTTTCAGATTAAGGATACTCAACATCTATGTATTTCTTGTTATAGCTCATATCACAGGTAAATATATTTAAACTGATGTTATTTAATTATCGAATAGGAAATAATTCACCTGCCATAAAATTCAAAAGGTATATAAAAATACATAGTGAAAAGTCTTGCTTCAAACCTTGTCCCCAGTGACCCAGTCCTCTTCCATGGAGGCAAACTGAGTTTCCAGTTTCTTGTCTATTCTCCCTGAAAATACACAAACTGATACACATGTGTTCTCCCCGTCTCAATTTTTTTTTTTTTGAGACGGAGTCTTGCTCTGTTGCCCAGGCTGGAGTGCAGTGGCACAATCTCGGCTCACTGCAACCTCCGCCTCCTGTTCAAGCAATTCTCCTGCCTCAGCCTCCTGAGCATGTAGGATTACAGGTGTGCACCACCATGCCTGGCTACTTTTTGTATTTTTAGTGGAGATGGGGTTCTGCCACGTTGGCCAGGCAGGTCTCGAACTCCTGATGTCAGGTGATCCGCCCACCTCTAACTCCCAAAGTGCTGGGATTACAGGTGTAAGCCACCACACCTGGCCTTTCCTTCTCTATTATAAACATAAATGGTATCACAAGATTCACACAGTTCTGCACCTTGCTTTTTTCCTCTAACAATACATTCTGGCACTGTGTTGTGCAATATGGTAGCCACTAACCACAGCTAGTTATTTCAATATAAATATTAAGTAAAATTAAAAATTCAATTCCTCAGTTATACTAGTCCTGTTTCTAGTGTTCAATATCCATATAGGGCTAGCATATACTGTAGTGGGTACAGCAGATTACAGAGTACTTCCATATAACAGAAAGTTCTACTGGGCAGCACTGTCCAAGAGCTTCCTCATTTTTCATAGCTGTATAGTATTCCATTGTATAAATATCCCACCATCAGTTTTACCAAACAATTGGTACTTTTCATTGCTGATTTAAAGTGTTATTATGGTGCTCACTTCAGCAGTACATACACTAAAATTGGAATGATACAGAGCAGATTAGCATGGCCCCTGCACAAGGATGACATGCAAATTTTTGAAGCATTCCATGAAAACATAAAAATAAAAACAAAATAAAATAAAATGTTATTATGGGGTACCTTCCCTAAGAACAGAATGACCTTCTTTGTAATAAATTATACCTCCACCACAAAAAGGGGGGTAAAGAAAAACTAGTATTTGGGGTATTCTAGTATCATTCTATGATATTAGAATGATTTATCTTTTTAATATCTTTATTTTTAATTTGTGTAGGTACTTAGTAGTTGTATATGTTTATGGGGTAAAATGGTTTGTTTTGTGCTAGGGAGAGGAATTAAAAAGCGACTAAAACATTTTATATTGAAGTTCATAAGAAATAATCCTTAATCTTCACTTCTCTCCATTTTTCCTCCTAAATCTAACTTATCTGGTTTTCTGAGAAGCTATAAGTTTAAAAGCTTAAAGCACTGTGTGAGTGCTGGGGAACCAATTACCCCTGACGTGACTGAAAAATGGAGAAACAAGACGGGCCTGGATATCTACGAAGGATATGGACAGACTGAAACGGTACCTGACCTCACTGAAAAGACATAGCTGGATTCCATTTAGTCAGATGAATAAAAACCAAAGTGTCCACAGTCTCCTTATGATTATTTGAGGGATAGGAGTTGAGTGGTTAGAAAATGTTTAAAAAAACAATGCTTGCAAGAACCTAATTGCAAAAAAGCTCTGTTAACAGATAGTTGTTTAAATAGCCATTCATTGACAAACACCACTGTTAATGGATCAGAGTAAGGGCATTACAATATTTTTTTAAATGAAATAATACTGGATCTACTGAAAGAAAGAATTCCTCCCAGTGTGATAGGGAAGTATCTTATTTAGGGCTGCCTCAAAATGGAAAATGCTGAGATCCTTGCTGCCTGAAATATTAAGAGTTTGCTGGACAACTCCTTAGCAACCATACTCTAAAAAGGATTTTTTAAAGAGCTCATAGAGATAAGGAATAAGAAATTCTAGAGGAAATGAATGAAATAAGAACAAAAAATGAAATAAGAACAAAAAATGAAATAAGAAAAAAGAACAACAGTGGTTATTTTGTAGAAGAGGGAGGAGTAAGATGAAATAGATAAGGGAAAAGTTGAAAAAACTTTTCACAATGTGTCTTTATAATGCTTCAATTTATGAACCATGAGAATGTATCACCTGGTAAAAAATGAAAATATCAAAAATAAAAATCAAAAATTGAAAAATTCATTAACTAGAAATAGCATAACAAGTATGCTAATATAAATGCAAATGTTAATATACTCATGTTTTGATAAATATGGATATATGAGTAATTATTGTTATAACTATATTTTATACATATGCATGTATTTATATGTTATCACTACATTCCATGAGAGTATAGCATTCATTTTGAGCCTAGTTCATAGTAAGTTTTCAATAAATAATTTGTTGAATGAATGCATGATAGATGAATAAATTTTAAGTGACTTGTAATGTTATCTTACTTTTTCTTCTTCTTAACTAGGTGCTAATCTGTGGAAATTTTAAGGGAATGAAAATTAAACCTGGCTCAATGGGAAAACCTTCTCCTGCTTTCGATGTTAAGGTTTGCACATCCCCTTCCAGGAGAATGTTTAACAACCCAATCTGTACACTACCTACCTACCGCTTACCCCCATATAAACTTTCTTTGTTATGATGGTGATTCCATTTTACTTCCATGATACTTTAATTTTTATAAATATGTGAAAATGATTAGAAATGTTAGCTTCTTGGTCTCCATTATTTTGCAAATACCCATATTGTACCATACAGTTCTAAGCATTTAATAAACGTTAACCCATTAGGCTGGATGCAGTGGCTCACGCCTGTAATCCCAACACTTTGGGAGGCCAAGGCGGGAGCATCACTTGAGCCCAGGAGTTCAAGACCAGCCTGGGCAACAACGTGAGACTTTGTCTCTACAAAAAAATATAAAAAACTAGCCAGGCATGGTGGTACGTGCCTGTGGTCCCAGCTACTCAGAAGGCTGAGATGGGAGGATTGCTTGAGCCTGGGAGCTTGGGGCTGCAGTGAGCCATGATCACACCACTGCACTCTAACCTGGGCCACAGAGCAAGACCCTGTCTCTAAATAAATAAATATTAACCCATTGAATTTCCAGAAGAAACCCTATGAGAAGCATACTAATATTAGAACCATTTTACAAACAAGGCACAAAGAGGTAAAAGAACTCACCAGAAGTCACACAGCTAATAGCTGCTAGAGTTGGGATTCAATCCCAAGCAGTCTGGCTCCAATATCTGCACTCTTAACCACAACACAACACTGGTCCTCTCAGGCAAGGGAGGTCAAGACCTTCTGAGCGGGTCAACTAGGCCCGAAGAGGCTTCAGTTTACAGTGGCTGCAGCACTTTCCCTCTCTGCTCCCAAGCCTGCCTGGCCATTTCCAGCCTCTCTGTATCCACTGCCACTACTACCACCTGATGCCTAGGGGGAATTCCAGTTCCCCATCAGCAAGCTTTATATAGGGTTAAAATTGTTCTCAGATCAACCGAGCTTCAAAGCTGGGTGTAGCCAAAGGAACTTAACACTAATTTGGACACTCCTCAACTTATGATAGGGTTATGTCCCAAAATAATAAGTCATCATAAGTTGAAAACATCCTAAGTCACAAATGCATGGCTGACTGGGAGCTGTGACTTACTGTTGCTGCCCAGCATCTAGAGAGAAAGATGGTTTCAACTGAATGGTTATCTTTTTCACCCATTGTAAAGTTGGGAAATAGTAAGTTCGAACCATTTTAATTCAGAGACCCATCTGTACGTTAAGAGACAGCAAAAGCAGCAAAAATATGGATGAATTAACAGAGTACAGCTCTTAGATAAATGTTTCCCAAGCTTGTTTGATCATAAACATCATATGGATATCTGTTAAAAATACTAATTCTCAGGCCCCTGGAGAGACCAATTCAATAGATTTGGAGTGGAACTCTGAAATTTGAAATCTTGTGATTTTAACAAGCACCCCCCAAGTAGTTTTTAGGATCAAATAAGTTTGAGAGAGTTTAGATGAGCTTGATTGCTGCTGTAACTCTTTATAGAATAAACCAGATCCTGGGTCCTTTCTCTCACTTTAACCTTGCTGTGGAAACCTGGTCTCAAGATAGGATAGCCTAGTGGTTCAACTATATCTCTGCTATTCACTGTCTGAGTGTCTGTGGGTACACTGTTAAAGCTCTGTAAGTTCCAGTTTCCTAATTTGTAAAGTTGGGACTAGAGTGACCAACCTGTCTGTTTGCCTGGGACTTATCTGGTTTTAGCACTTAAGGCAATACATCCTGAAGAACCACCCCCCGACAACCCCTCACCACTTCAGTCTCAGATGGTTGGTAAACCAAATAATAACAGAACTGATTTCATAGGTTTCTTGTGGTGATTAAAGGAGACAATATGTTTAAAGAGCATATCAGAATGCTTAGTACATAATAAAGGTCCAAAAGATGGGTACTGTTATTTACTTCTCCCTCACATTCCTCTTTTTATTTATTTATTTATTTTTTTATTTTTTCACATTCCTCTTTGAAAAGCTTATCTAAGAAAAAATGGTAGGAGAGCCCAAACAGGCTTAACAATAGTTTGTTGGTTAACAGGCTACCTTAGGTTGAAGAAAGAAATATTGATAATTAAGCACACTCATGTCTGCATTACAGGGAAGTTGATATGTAACACAGCTATGTTCTTTTTCTTCCTTCCTTAATAGCAATTCCCAACATGCATGGCTATCAGGGTCTTACAGGCACAGCTGTATTCACAGTGATCCCAACTGCAAGGTACCCCCACCTGCTCCCCATTAATTTGAGCCCAGTGGTTTTCTAGAGCAGCTATCTTTGAATGCAAATATGATGAGGCTGAGAGGAAAACAGTACTTTTTCTGCATCCCCAGTCATTTTTAACTCTTTTCCACGGGCCGTTATTATGGGGCTTCTTGTTCCTTAGCTAAGGGCATCTGCAGTAACATTCTGGCATCTGGGGATGTGTTCCAACCAGGTGAATATCAGATTCCTACAACTTCAAAGCCCAACCTTTATAATCTTCTTTGTTTGCTTTTAAATACTCATAATTTTCATGTTTAAACATTTTAAGACCCTATGAACAATGAGGAACATGATTCTCCCCAGACACAGAAGATTTTATCTATATTCCCATCTATTAAAATCTGTAAGTAACTGGAACTTTTAAAATACTTCCTTTCCATCAATAATTCCTTCATACCTGGAACCACATATTTCTTTAGATAACTGGGTGGGAATTTATATTTTTTTATTTGCAAGAGCTTAAAGAGAAGTTTTTACGCTTAGAATTCCTTTGCCATTTAAGTTTCTCATTCAGCACATAAGCCCCTTTCCTTTTGGAAAGTGCTAGATAAGTATTATACTTATTCTCCATGCAGGCCACACCTCAGGTTTGAAGGTATCTGGAGAATATATATAAAAGCAGAATTTTGATACTTAGAAACAGCTAAAAGTCATTTAGAGCAAAATCTGATGTATAAAATCAGCAATCAACTTGAGAAATGCTAATCTGATTTTTTTAATTGGATTAAACTCTCTAGAGGCATTGCACAGAGGAGTGTAATGATTAAAAGCATATGATCTGGAGTGTAAGTGGTGAGATTTGGATTCCAGCTCAATCATGCACAGTGTTAAACTCTCTACACCTCAGTTTCCTCATGTGTCAAATGGGCATAAAAATTCTAACCACATAGGGCTACAGTGAGGAATAGGTACATGTCAAGTACTTAAAGGTTTAGCATTAATTACTTAGCATGTATTAAGTACTTAATAAATGCTAGCTACTGGTAGACACTTCAGGGAATGATGAGGATTGGAGAGAGGGTAAGAGAGCAAGGCTGTGGCTTACTTACCATTGTCAACCAGAGAATATTCCCCTTTTCCTGTTTACTCATATTGGGCTTCTGAAGTAAGGTTCTGTAGGTTCCACAGCTAAACAAAGTTTGAAAACCAGTAATGAAGATATTTATTTATCAAGAGGAAAAGATAATCAAGACCTATTGCTAAATGATAAAAGCAGGTTGGCAAAACTGTATATTATAAAGCAACTCTATTTTTCTTTTTTTTTTTTTTTTTTTGAGATGGAGTTTCACTCATTGCCCAGGCTGGAGTGATCTCGGCTCACTGCAACCTCCCC
Organism: Homo sapiens; assembly: GCF_000001405.40. Lineage (NCBI taxonomy): Eukaryota > Metazoa > Chordata > Mammalia > Primates > Hominidae > Homo > Homo sapiens. The sequence goes on from NC_000016.10 coordinate 20,789,763, forward strand.
ATCCCGGGTTCAAGCAATTCTCCTGCTCAACCTCCCAAGTGGCTGGGATTACAGGTGCCCACCACCATGCCTGGCTAATTTTTCTATTTTTAGTAGAGATGGGGTTTCACCATGTTGCTCAGGCTGGTCTTGAACTCCTGACCTCAGGCGATCCACCCGCCTCGGCCTCCCAAAGTGCTAGGATTACAGGCATGAGCCACTGCGCCCAGCCAGCAATCCTATTTTTCGATTTATCTATATTGTCTCAAAGGATATTACCAAAATGTGATTATTGCTGGATGGTAAAATTTTTAAAAAATTTTATCCTGCGTTCACATGTTGGTAACCTGTATTTAATATTTTATGCAATAAGAATTTAAGTAAATATATTTCTCTTAGGAATTTAAAGTATATTTAAAATATTTTTGGGCCAGGTGCAGTGGCTCATGCCTATAATCCCAGCACTTTGGGAGGCCAAGGCTGGAATATCACTGGAAGCCAGGAACCAGCCTGGGCAACATAATGAGTCCCTCATCCCTACAAAAAATAAAAATAAACATTAGCTGAGCATAATGACATGTGCTTGTAGCCCCAGATACTTGGGAAGCTGAGGTGTGAGGACTGTTTGAGACCAGAAGTTTGACGCTGCAGTGAGCTATGAGCTATGATTGCACCACTGCACTCCAGCCTGGGTGACAAAGTGAGACCTTGTCTCACACACACAAAATTTTTTTTAAGTCTTCATTTTTAAATGGCAAAAGCCAAAATAAAACTTGCAAAGTTAATATTTAAGCTGCGACATTAAACAAAAATTTCCTTAAATAAATTGTTCTATTTTATCCTAGATTGTAGATGTAAATGGCAATGTTCTACCTCCTGGACAAGAAGGAGATATTGGCATTCAAGTTCTACCCAACCGACCATTTGGCCTTTTTACTCATTACGTAGTAAGTGACTTACTAAATAATCTCATTTTCTATTTATTTCTCAAGTGCTTGGTAACAATCCCTGTTTGCCACAAAACATACCTAGGATAGGTACTTGACCCTTTCTTGAGAGATTGGTTGTCCTGAATAGTAATCCAAAAGACAAGAAATTGAAGAAATACCCAAATTCTTGCTGAAGAAAAGCATGCTGGTCCCCTGAGGCCAGATCACTGTTCCAGGTCCACGAAGGCAAGAGGAAGGGACCCTAGAAAGAGGACAGCCTCTTAACATCCCCTGATCCTCTCAATTATCAAACAAAACCCACTCATTTTCCTGAAATCCAGTTAGTGCTCTTTCTTTTCGGGAAGAGTGAGAGGGACAGGGGATGCGGGGGTGGTGGGATTAAGCAAATGTCTTTCACAAGAGGCTTTCTAAGCTCCTTACTGTTTACAACAATATTTTCATCTCTAATCACAGTATACAAATTAGAGCAAAGTCTCTATCATATAATAAAAGATCCAGATGCTACTTGCCAGTGTATTTGATATAATGTAACAGTATCTTGTTTTTTCTTATGTCAGACTTGCAGAACCAATTCTATTATTGTGTAAAACAAAACAAAGCACAAAAACAAAACAAACCTGTCTGCTCTTTATTAGGTGTCAGTGCTTTCTTTTGACTCTTGAGTATTTACTTCTCTCTTTTCCTACCAGCATTATCTATTAATCAATTAGCAAAAGACTTAATTTAGTTTACTCCTCTGAGCTACTGCAATATTTATTTTGTAATCTATCTAAGAAAAATCTCAAGATGGAAACATGACTAATCTTTGTAACTGTAGTTTACCTTTCTTCTGTCGGGCTAGCTCCATGCTGGAATTTCATCTTTATTTTCACAATCTATCTCTTCCTAACTCTAATGCTTCTCAAAGGAGCCAAACTTTTCTGCTTCCTTGAACATTTAAAAATCCAATTGAGGGCCAGGAGCGGTGGCTTATGCCTGTAATCTCAGCACTTTGGGAGGCCAAGGTGGGCGGATCACTTGAGGTAAGGAGCTCGACACCAGCCTGGCCAACATGGGGAAACTCCATCTCAACCAAAAAATACAAAAATTAGCCGGGTGTGGTGGTGCACGTCTATAGTCCCAGCTATTTGGAAGGCTGAGGCAGGAGAATCGCTTGAACCTGGGAGGCAGAGGTTGCAGTAAGCCAAGATCGTACTACTGCACTCCAGCCTGGGTAACAGAGTGAGACTGTCTCGGAAAAAAAAAAAAAAATTCCAATTGACCAGAAGAGTTGGATTCACCATAACAACAAAATGCTATTTGTTTTGCAGGATAATCCTTCAAAAACAGCTTCAACTCTACGAGGCAATTTCTATATCACTGGGGACAGAGGATATATGGATAAAGATGGGTATTTCTGGTTTGTTGCAAGAGCAGATGATGTCATATTATCCTCTGGGTAACTTTCTTTTCCATATGTGCATATGTCTGTGTTAACTGATCATCAGTGTTCTAGAGTGAACCTGCCACTCACCTGTATGTATTCCTGCCATATGTGTTTCTAGCTATCGAATTGGACCATTTGAGGTAGAAAATGCCCTGAATGAACACCCTTCAGTTGCAGAGTCAGCTGTTGTCAGCAGCCCAGACCCCATCAGAGGAGAGGTAAAAGAACTGATTCATGTCAACTTTATAATTTGTTGGCAATTTAACACATACTTACAAACAGTAGCTCAGTGAAACAGAATTAACCAAATGATTCATTTACTAAATATGCAAGTCAGATAGAAATATGCTAGTCAGAAAGAACTGCTACAAAATAAGATTGAATTATGAGTTGCAGCTCTGATCCTAACAGACAAACAAAATAAGGCTGAAAATACGTACTAGAAAGAATTTGAATTCCTTCCGTGGTGGACTAGGGCAAAGATGGTGTGAATGCCAGTAACCCAGGCTCACGTCAGGATGGGGTGACAGAAGTCAGCTGGATGGGATCAAATTGTTACCCAGAAGGTCTGGAAACCAACGAGGTCCCTGGTGTAGTGAAGGAGAATGGGCTGGCATCAGATGTCAGAAGTGGGAACCAGAGGCTGGAACTGAGGTAACCATAAGCAGTCTTGGTAGGTAAATAAGTAGAGATTTCAGGAAATAAACTCTGAATAACACAGGTGTCCTGAAAGCCCATTCCTATTGGGGCTGACCACACAGTATTTTGGCTTAAAAGTACCATGCCAGGCAGCCTCCTGCGTTTTGCCTGTGTGTCTACAACATGCCCCTAGGGTTTCTCTAGCTGAGTTACAAGTTCTCACAAGTATTTCTTCAAGCCATATCCCTTCTAACACTGAATCCAAGTTTTGAAGATGACACTGATGTCAATACAAATCCAGAACTTTCTGTACCATGTATTCAAGCTCCTTATCTCAAATCCTAGGTATAGGGCTTCAAGCACAGGGCACAGGGCAGAGTTAGAAGGTATCCAATCTCAGGGGATGAAATAGGTCCTGAAGTTTAAGGCAGGCCAGGCACAGTGGCTCACACCTGTAATCCTAGCACTTTGGGAGGCTGAGGTGGGTGGATCACCTGAGGTCAGGAGTTTGAGACAAGCCTGGTCAACATGGTGAAACCCTGTCTCCACTAAAAATACAAAAATTAGCCAGGCATGGTGGCACACGCCTGTAATCCCTGCTACTTGGGAATCTGAGGCAGAAGAATCACTTGGACCCGGGACGGGGAGGTTACAGTGAGCCAAGATCGTGCCACTGTGCTCCAGCCTGGCTAACAGAACAAGACTCCGCCTCAAAAAAATAAAAATAAAAATAAAAAAGTTTAAGGTAAAAATAGGAGATGTGCATGTTACAGTGGAGGGTGGATCTCCCCCCAGGACTGATTCCCCTAACTGATCTTTGATGCCAGAAGATACCCTGTTAAGTCCTCCTGGATGGCCCAAAGTTGTTCCAGATATAGCCCAGTGGCTGGGAATTGGTAGTTTGTCAAGTTGCTAGGATGACAATCGCTATTTACTGTGAAAGGGTATATTCCAGGCAGCTGAGGGCAGGGAAAACAGTCAGTGATTATTGGCTTGTCTCTTTGCTCTGAACATCATCGGCAAGGTTTCACGAGTCTTAGCTCTTCCTGTACTTCTCCCCTACCATTAGTCATCATCAGTTTTACCCACCTAGACAGGTGCTTACTAGGGACAGGATGGTAGCTGAGCCTTTCGGAACAGGGTTAGCTTGGCAGCCACCTGATATCCTAGCGTACAATATAGGAAAGGTCTATAAGTGGGTTGTGGTCCCCTCACAGCTCCGGGGGCTTGGCATAGGGCTTGGATTAGTCAGAGTGAGGGGGAAAGTGTGGCCAGTTTTCCAACAGTGGTAGGCTGCAGCATTTCCTAGTAGAAGATGTGAGTGGGTATCTCAAACGAGGTATCCATGAACAAAACGGCCATGTGCTCCATGCCTCCCTTTCTGCTGCCAGGCCTATTCTACCTGGGTTAGGTCCTTCTCTAGGCTGGGTCCTGCCAGGCAGGGTAATTGGGTAGCAAGTTCCAGAATTGATTAAAAAGAATATTTGGATTTGAAATACCATTTTAACATTGGAATGTGAAAGACTTGTGGAATATGTGTCTAGATCACTAGGTTCTTAAATTTTTGGGATCACATATCTCTTTGAGAATGTGAAGAAAACCATAGGCCACTGTTAAGACTTATGCAGTGATGGAAATGTTCTATATTTGCACCATCCAATGCGATAGCCATGCATGGCTATCAATCACTTGAAATGTGGCTAGTGTGACTGAGAGTATTTAATCTTATTTAATTTTAATTGATTTAAATTGAAATAGACACACGTGGCTAGCAGCTATCATATTGAATGGCACAGCCATAGACTTTTCTCAGAAAAATACAAGATTTTGCATAGAATTTCATAGAGATTTGAAGCCCACTTATGGATTCTGGGTTAAAAAATAAGACCCAAACTTCTTGTAATTCTAAGACTACAACTAAGAGCTAATGTTTTTGATGACTTACTATGTGCCAGGCATTATACATCTATGCTAATTCATTTAATCATCATAATCTCTTTTACAGAGAAGGAAACTGAGGCACAAAGAGATTACCTAACTTGTCCAACATTACACAACAAACTGTGACTTGAACCCAGCTGTTCTGACTTCAGAGTTCATACTCTTACCCATGTTAGGTTGTTCCTTGTTAATTTAACATTTTCTGCAGTAGTTTAAAAAGATAAAAGAGACTATCCAAGTTGTAGAAATCGTCAATATGTGAACCAGTATTGCAGTTTTTAAAATAATTTACCTTTGAATGACTCACTTACAACAAGCATAATTTTTTAATTTGTAAAAATGTTAATGCAGCAGAGCTAGCATAACTACAAATGCATTTTATAAAATGTCAAAAAGTGAATGGAACAAAATTATATCCATAGACACACACACACACAAGGGTTCACAACTGCCGCATGGCACATGTAAATTAAAAATGTTCAAGTGTTGTTGTTGTTTTTTTTCTTAGAGACAAAGTCTCACTATGTTGCCCAGTCTGCTCTCGAACTCCTGGGCTCAAGCAATCCTCCCACCTCGGCCTCCCAAATGTTGGCAGTACAGGCGTGACCCACTGTGCCTGGCCACAAGGGTTTTGGGTAAAGACAAAAATGGGTAATTGTTCATACAATGTAAAACTGCCCACTGGTGAACAGTTTTCAATATGTGAAAAAATTATAACTTCAAGTCTTTGTTTCTCACCAAATGGCTGTCCTGGTAATTTGTTGTTTCAAATAATTCCTTTTCAATGAAATCTTTACTCCCAGATCAAAGTGGATAGGAAATGTTGCCAGCTTATCTTTAAGCTGGACAAACGAATCCTTGAATTTAATAAGATTTCAGGCACCTAAGTGCAGGATACTTAATCATAAAAAAGCTTCAGGGGACTCTCCTGGAACTGTGCCTACAGGGAAGCATCATTCCATAGCCAGCTCCGGGCTGGTAATCTGGCGTTGGAGGTACATACTAGTTGATGCACCTAGACTCATGCCTCTAGGGAAGGCAGTAAATGGCAGTCCTGGTAGTGCCCTAGGAGAGAAAATGACAGGACTCCAAATTTACTTTTAAAGGGGGCTATGAGGGATGGCCTATCTTTCTGTCTTCTCCATTACAGGTCCAAAAACTAGGCAGAGTTTTCAAAAACATTTCTAGGAAGGATAAAATTTGGAGAAGAGGATTTGTAAGCATAAAGTAATAACATCTTTCTTGGCTTCTGCCAGTTAAAGGCCACCATGATTTCCACTCTTGTTCCTCAGGGCCATGGAAATGGATCAGAGCAACAAAAAAATAGCTGCTGGAATCTTCACAGCCTTGTATAAAGACTGCATGTTCTCTGTGAACTGTTCCCTTCAACAAAGACATGGCAAACTCAGCGTGACTACTGTTTATAAGTAATCCCCCATGCTGAGGGCTAGGCTGGATGAGGCTGGGTTGTTACAGGGGTCCCAGAAGCTCTCCTGTATTAGGTACAGACCAGGAAGTGGCTGGCTTAAGAGCACAGAGCTGGGATCAAACTTTATTAAAACACACTGGCCCACCCCACCAGGCATGTAGATTCTCAGAGCAAGCAAACAAGACATACTAAAACATACAAATGCATAACTCATTTTCCTGGTGTTTCAAATATTTATTTTAGGTAGTAAAGGCTTTTGTCGTTCTAAATCCTGATTACAAGTCACATGATCAAGAACAACTAATAAAGGAGATTCAGGAGCATGTTAAAAAAACTACAGCACCTTACAAATATCCCAGAAAGGTAGGCATCCTAATTATAACGAATATTTGCTCAGTGTTGTGGACAATTTCAAGTGTTTATTTTTACATTTTAATGAATATTTTCTTCACACATGCTGCACCACATGTCCCAAACTGAACTGATGACATATGGGTAAGAATCAGAATCTTTGAGATTAAAATGAAACCCTGAACCTATTTTGTTTGGTCCTTTGGCTTACTGGACTCACAGTAAATACTTAATATCAAGACAACTTTCCTAACAATACCCTTTTCCCTATTTTGGCTGTTACCCAAAACCCATTCCAAAGACTATTCTAATTCTTCCACCTAGAATTCATAATCAAACTGCTATATAATTGGCTTTATGTAAAGATAAAAATTTCCAGGCTAATTTTCTTCCCCTTGATGCCAACAGGTAGAATTTATTCAAGAGCTGCCAAAGACTATCAGTGGGAAGACAAAAAGAAATGAACTGAGGAAGAAAGAATGGAAGACAATTTAAAGTTGTTTCATTAATTACCATATCTATAAAACAAACATAGTATCTGTCAATCTCTAGAAACCACAAGATGATGGAGAGGTCATAAAAACTGTGGTAGTATGCTTAGAAACTGTTGATTTAAAATATCTTGTGGTTATGATATCAGAGGCTAAATTTTGAAATAAAATATTTGGCAAATTCCTCCACATTAGTGTCAATGTTCCTATCATTTCTTAATATAAAAATAATACCATCAATTGCTGATTAATTTTTAAATGTATAGTATAGAAGCAGTTTCTGAACCAGATCTCTGCTACATAGGTTTTCAAACTTTAGTTGACTAATTCTTCTGATATGTTGATATACAAATCAGAACCAATGTTCAAGCCTGAAATAAAACTAAAGAACTTATAAAAGTTTTTAGAAAAATATAAAATATCAGTTAGAAGATTATGATAATCTCAAAGTACAAGAATCTACCTGAAAATAGACTAGGGATTTTTATTAGTCACATTTTTTGCAAATAATTTAAAAATAGTTTAGACTTGTTTCAAGGTCTAACTATAAAAGAAGGATCATATACTATTGTTGCTTATTATATGTAATCTAATAAATACTGTTTACAAAAGATTACACTTGTGGTTCCTGAAGAAAGTATGGTAAATGCAGTAAACATTAATATATAAAATAAAAATAAAATAGTGTAAGATGTTATCAGAATACTCATGTTTGGAAATTCAAGGAACAATTAGGATTCATACATGAAAGGTTATCAATTCCTCATTGAAGGCCTGAGTCTCAAAGAATTTTTGGTGGAAATACTTAAATTTCTGTCACAAATATGGCTTGTTTCTGGAGAACTAAAAGTGAGTCCCCCTGTGGAATGAGATGGAACCATGCTGTTGGCTCTTTCCTTTTGAAGTGTTTGTTCCCATTTGAAATAACCACAACATTTTCTGTTTTCTTGGTATTTCCCGATAGGGCAACAATAGAAGACTTTTCCATGGTTCGGTCCATTATTAGAAACAACAAGTCTCTTAGATCTCCGACCACACTTGCATAATGGAGGTGTCATTTTCCCACTCTTCCATGGCTCTTGTAGGTTAACTGTAGAAGTTAATATAGATGGGAGACGCCTCCAGGAAGAACTTCTTACTGGGGAGCAATCAGATGATGTAGGCTTTTCTTCATGAATAGTGAAGGGTTGTTTTTTTGCTGGTGGGAAAGCTTGGGGACTGCATGGATTCCTTTTGGTACCACCTGAAAGAAGAGGATGTTTCCCCAAAACTAAAGGATGAGACATATTGGCATTAACTCTGTTGAAGGTACTTGATTTGTGTTCAGGTAACTTAAAGGCAGAAATATCTGAACCTGGATCTTTGGCTTCTTTTACATTATAAATAGTAGTGTGAGGACTCTTGTACACAATAGACTTAGAAGTCTCAGATTTTTGAGGAGTTTCCTCTATGTCTCCAAAGTTTTCATGACTTGACATTTCCAATTCTTTCAAAACCATTAATCTTTCTCCAGAATTAAATGAAATCTCTAAGTCTGAGTCACTAATGGGAACTGTACAGTCTACGTTTTCCTCAGGCTGAGATGCTGGCAGTAAAACCACATCCTCCCAATCAGCCAACACAGGTAAACAGTCCAGAGTAGAGCTCATTTCCAAATCAGAAACATGATGAACAGTTGGAACGGTGGTAGAAACAAGTACCAATTCTGAACCAACTGTTGAAGCCTTAGATTTGGTATTAAATGCAAGATGTTCATTTTTTCCTTGCTTTTGCATATAGATAGGTGAATTCAAGGTAGGAGACTGCAACTGCCCCACAGAAGTAGAGGACTTAGTATTAAAAAGAGGTAAGGAACTTTTGACATTGTGAAGACTTGCTTTTATATTGTTTTTTACTTGTAATTGATCCTGTTGTGCCTTTATAGGAGAATTTGCACAAATTGACTTCATTTGAACTTTTTCATGAGGATTTATTATATTTTTAGGCTCCTTATTATATATGCTGGGACCCTGGATGCTAATGTTACAGGCAGACATTTCTTCAACTTGAATTGTATTCAAATTTCTGGCCAGAATGCTGAAATTCTTCTTAGTGGGAACCTATGATTCCACAGACAAATGCAACAGCTTTAGAAACTGTGCATTCGTTAATTTCTTCAGTATACAGTTTTATGACAAAAAAGAGAAATGTCATTGATTTATAAATGACTGCACACATTAAATCTACGTTTCAAAGAACGTATGACTGTTTATGAAGTTTGAGATGACAGAATAAAAAGGCAAGACACTACTAACCTTGTTCAACGACCTTGTAATTTTCATTACACAACCATCTCTGATCATTTTCCAAGCAAGAAGGGCAGTATTCCGAGAATCGTCCAACCCTGAGGATACAGATATCAAACACTGAATTTAGTGGTACTAGTACTATTTCCTTAGTACTAAAGAAATAACTTAAAAAGAAAAACACCACTTGTGTAGAAATTGGAACACAGTTTTAGTTTTATGACCATCTACTAATTTTAATCATGATAAACTGGTCTTGGAAGTGGAAGGCTATGGCAGCATTACCAGTGAAAGACAAGCTCGTCCACATTTATAGAGGAGGATATGAAAATGTATTAGACAGTTCCCCAAAATGTGGCCAGCGTTCTGCAGGAACCAGGATTTGTGAATAATCTAATAGTCTTGTTCAGTTTTTTCACTAGTCCATTCTATTATTTGAGCACTTGTTTAATCTCCATTTGATTTGGCTCATTCTTTTCATTCTTCTTAGCAACTAGAAAGCCACTAGATGGCAGTGTATCTTACAATAGTTTATGAAAGTGGTAATTTGAAAGTCTTAGAAACAATGTGAATTGTTTAGATTAGGAGTTTTTTTTTTTTAGGCTGAAGATATCCCTTACTAATGACATTACCAAAAAATGAAATTCATATGAAGTATTTTTTAAAAGTCAAATGGCTTACATAATTTTTAATGTATACTAACCAGAATGTTCTCGTCCTGAGAATTCTATTCCTACTTCCTGCAAGGCACCACTTAGTCCTTTTGGTTTTCTCCTATAGAAAAGCTAACCAATAAAAAAAGATATATTTAAAAGAAGATTACTATTTTAAAGACTATGTATTAAACACTTTTCATAATTTTTAGTTCTATTAGATTTAGAATGTGCTTATTTTTTGTGTGTTGTTTTTAAATACTTTAAGAAATGCATTTATGTGACCAGTACAAAAGAAAGTATCTTCTTTGCAGAAACCCATGCCCATGTGTAGGATAAAAGTTAATCATTTTTCCATAGAAAAAAGTAAACATGCCCCCATTTTTTACCATTACCTTGTAAGTTGCTCTGAGATCAATCCAAGAATTTAAAAACACAGGTTTTAACAGCTGCTTTCTTTTACACTCATACTCCAGGCAAACCCCCAAGTCCCAGTCTGCATTAGGTACATTAAAATAGAACAAAGTCAATGATGCCAGCATTTTTTACTTATGCTGCCACCATTTACAAATAGAATGCTAGAAGATCATATAAAATAGAACAGTATGATTTCATTGCTCTGCTAATATCTAAAAATTATTCACTTTATATAACTTACTATTAACAAGTTAGGTTGATGACTAAATTTCAAAATGATTTCTTAAACACCCAGTAAAACCTTATTTCAGAAAGAAGAGTAACATGTTAAATTACAAGGACTATATTTTCTATATTCTAGGAAAATATTAATGTTATTGAGAAACCAAACATTTTATAGTAACTGGAAACCAAATATGACTATCAATGCTATCTTATCAATGACACAGTATTGCTATTAATGACTATTAACAGCAATGCTCTAACACAGTCATACAAAAAACCTACTTTAAATGGCTCATTTTTTTTTTCTTTTAAGTGTCAAAGCATAAAAGCAAAGGATGTTGAGCTGATGAAGACTGTAGAAAATAGCATAAGAGTGTTCACTAAATCATCTTTGCTTAATTCTTAACAGTGGAACTCTAGAAACATTTTTTTAAGTTCAGGCTTAATATTTTAAGGTATCCCAAAAGGTTAATTTAAAAAATATGTATTAATTTACTTTTCTTGGCTAACATCTGCTAGGCATTTAAATTTTTTTTCCTAGCCCAGAAGATTAACAAACATAATTCTAGGTTAGCAAGTATAAAACTAGAAATAAAGAATTACATAGTGGTAATGCTACCCATCTGTGATTAATAGGTATAACTTATTCTTTACCTGACCAAGTAACAAATGCACATAATTTTACTTCAGAAGCAGAAGGCTCTGAAATCCCAGTAGCAAAAATAATGTTCTTCTGTTGCTGAATCTTATGAATCCATTTACAGAACTGAGATAAGCAAATCTTCAGAGGGACTCCTTCATCAACTTGAGCCTGAGTAGAGAGTCACAAAAGCTGAATTCAACAATCAAATTCCATTATTATTTAGCATGTTTTATAACTGTGGAGAAAGATTAATGGTTTTAAAAGAATCAGAAATGCCAAGTCATGAAAACACAGTGTACTGTGGGAAGACATAACAAAGTGGTTCTAACTGGCAAAGAGTTTATTTAGTGGAAAGAGGTAAAAACACGTGGGAAAGAAAGAATATTTAGAACCCACCAAGGTAAGAAAGATTAGGTTGATAAAAACTAAAATCACACAGAAATATGATCATTAAGTCCAGACTGACATAAATCATAGACAAATTTGAGTCACTTAATTTCCATAAAATCAATTTGATCCTCATTTTTATAACATTATTCTTCCTTTGCTGTGTATTTATTTAATTTTTAAAATTTATTTTTTTTTGAGACGAGGTCTTGCTTTGTTGCCCAGGGTGGAGTGCAGTGGCATGATCTCAGCTCACTGCAACCTCCACCTCCTGGGTTCAAGTGAGTCTCCTGCCTCAGCCTCCCAAGTAGTGGGAATCACAGGTGTGTAACACCATGCCTGGCTAATTTTTGTATTTTTAGTAGAGACGGGGTTTTGCCAAGTTGGCCAGGCTGGTCTCGAACTCCTGACCTCAGATGATCCACCCACCTTGGCCTCCCAAAGTACTGAGATTACAGGTATGTTCCTTTGCTTTTTAAATCGAGTCCTGAGGTGACTCACGCCTGTAATCCCAGCACCTCGGGAGGCCAAGGTGGGCAGATCACTTGAGGTCAGGAGTTCGAGACCAGCCTGGCCAACATAGTGAAACCCTGTCTCTATTAAAAATATAAAAATTAGCCAGATGTGGTGGTGTGTACCTATAGTCCCAGTTACTCAGGAAGCTGAGGCATGAGAATCGCCTGAACCCAGGAAGCAGAGGTTGCAGTGAGCCCCGCCACCTTACTCCAGCCTGGCCAACAGAGCATGCCTTTGTCTGAAAAATAAATAAATAAATACATAAATCGAGTCCTGAATCTGGAATAACACTAATCTTATTTATTTATTTACTTATTTATTCATTTATTTTCAGAGACAAAGTCTGTCACCCAGGATAGACTGAGATTATACCTCCCTGCAGCCTCAAACTCCTGGGCTCAAGTGGTCCTCCCACCTCAGCCTCAGCCTCCCAAGAAGCTGGGACTACAGACACATGCCACCAAGTCAGGCTAATTTAAATTTTTTTTTTTTTTTTTTTTAGAGATGGGGTTCTCACTATGTTGTCTAGGTTGGTCTCAAACTCCTGGCCTCAAGCAATTCTCGAACATCAGCCTGCAAAGTGCTGGGATTACAGGCATAAGCCATCATGCCTAACACTAAATAAATCTAATTTCAAATGGTATAATAACTTTTATTTTCTTTTTGAAACTGACTTCTGAATTTTAAGATTTGCATCATACCTGCTTTATGCCTGTCAATTCCATGCAAAATTCTGAAAGAATTGGATGTTCCTGAGGTTGAACATAAGCCTGGAACTCAGAGTCAATCTGTCCAGTTGATGTGTTCAGCAACACTGCTGGAAACTCAACTAAATGAAAGAATAATCAATTGACAGTTGAATAAATAATTTTTAAATTAATCCTGTAATCATCCTAAATTAAACATGTTACCATTTTAATTAAACAACCAGTTTTCAGTAAAAGCATACTAAAATGACCAAAGCAGTGTGACATAAAGGTTATAATAAAGTTATGCTAAAGTCAAAATATTGAAGTTATGAGCATGTTGTCTTAAAAGAAAACAATATAATTAAATAAATATAAAAACCATATGGAATATAAAATTTACTTTTTTTGCAAAGGCATTTTTTTCAGTTTCTATGCCATTGAGGTGTTGTATGTAATATAAAACAACTATTTTATATAATAACACATTTAGGTATTTGAGATTTTGCTCTTTTTTATTCAACATAAGTTTTGCATTAAACTACCAATGCATAGACCATCCTGTTTTCTTAAACTTTTGGCTGATTCAGATCTATAAACTTTAAAGTGACTCATCTAGTGCCAGCTTTGGCCATTCGTAGCCCAGACTTACTTATTTCCTGGCTATGGTGGTGCTTCCCATCATTCCAGCATGTCGATTCAAAATCAATGACAATTAAGTAGTCAAACAACTGCTCTGCAAAAGATCAAGTTGTTCTTATGCTTTACCAGTGCTGAAAATGCAAGGCTACAAAATGCAAAGAAACTAAGCATACTACTCACTGGATTTGCTTCTTCCGAGATTTCCATTTGCTGGCGCAATTGACTTTCTCCTAATTAATCCAAGCTGCCTAAAAATGTGAAGCAATCCAAATATGATCAATGAACTCATTCACACTCCTGTTTGAGTAGGCTACCAAACTAATGGTACTGGGCAACAATCTCATTATTTATTGTGACTGAGGGGAAATCGAACTGGACTTTGGCTTTACCTGCACAGGCCTCGAAAGTACATATTTGCAAATTAGGCTAATTTGTTGGTTTTGTTTTTGAGACAGGGTCTTGCTCTGTCACGTAGGTTGCAGTGCAGTGGTATGATCACCACTCACTACAGCCTTAATCTCCTGGGCTCAAGCAATCCTCCCACCACAGTCTCCTGACTAAGACTACAGATGCATGCCACCACGGCCCATTAGTTTTAATTTTTTTTTTTTTTTGAAGGCAGGGCCTCACTATGTTACCCAGGCTCATCTCGAACTCCTGAGCTCCAGCAATCCTCCCACCTCAGCCCCTCAAAGTGCTGGGATTACAGGCCTGAGCCACTGTGTCCAGCCAATTTACACTAATTTTATGTTACCCTTGTTTTACAGTAATACTGAGTAACTCATTTGAGTTCCTACAATCATTTGATTGTAGAGGTAAAAATGCACTGAAAATCTTATTTTTCCCCCTGCATTTTTTAAGCTCTTGCTATGTGTACAGTGCAGTTTTAAGAAGACAAGACAATGTAGGACATGGTTCAGTCTTCCAGTTTAAAAATCTGGGTAAAGAAACAAAAGATAGGGCCAGGTAAAGTGGCTCATGCCTGTAATCCCAGCACTTTGGGAGGCCAAGGCAGGTGGATTGCTTGAGCTCCGGAGTTCGAGACCAGCCTGAGCAACATGGTGAAACCCCGTCTCTACAAAAATTATAAAACCTAGCTGGGGCGTGATGGTGCATACCTGTAGTCCCAACTACTCAGGAGGCTAAGGTGGGAGGATTGCTTGAGCCCGGGAGGTGGAGACTGCAGTGAGCCGAGATCATGCCACTGCACTCCAGCATGGGCAACAGAGCGAGACCCTGTCTCAAAAAAATAAATAAATAAAATAAAATAAGAAAAAAAGAGAAGAGCTTACTGAGGTCTTAAGTGCAAGTAAAACAAACTACTTGGTATTAGCAGGTAGAGTTTTAACTAGGCAGACACCTCCTGTAGTTTTCTGTGTTTGCTAAGAGTGGGAAGTGCCAGGATTTGGGAATAATAAATATCATTTATTGACTGCTTACTACATAGCAGGTACTAAAATTAAACTAAGATGATGGCCTCCTTTAATCCTCAACAAGTGTAGTAGCTAGAAACTTTTCCTACCTATATTTTATGGATGAGAAAACTGATTCTTAATTTGCCAAAGAACATAGCTTTGGTATGTGAACCCAAGACTGTCCAATTCTGAAGCTCATGCTATTTGCTATTATATTACATCTTTCTAGTAATCAGAAATATGCACAGCGCATCCAGGAATCAGGGAGGACACAATAATTCATATTGTGAATTAAAAGGATCACTAGGCCAGGCACCGTGGCTCACACCTGTAACCCCAGCACTTTGGGAGGTTGAGGCGGGTGGATCACCTGAGGTCGGGAGTTCGAGAACAGTCTGACCAACATAGAGAAACCCCATTTCTACTAAAAATACAAAATTAGCTGGGTGTGGTGGTGCATGCCTGTAATCCCAGCTACTTGGGAGGCTGAGGCAGGAGAATGACTTGAACCCGGGAGGCAGAGGTTATGGTAAGCCGAGATCGCACCACTGCACTCTAGCCTAGGCAACAAAACTCCGTCTCAAAAAAAAAAAAAAAGATCACTAGAAAATGGGTTTGTAAAAAGTAGAGGTTCCTCTTCAAAGACTTCCTTCCCCGTCTAATTAGGAATAAATAGTAACTTCTCTTAGAGCAAAATTTATTCAAAGACCTGTGCTAACATTCTTAAATATCTGCTAGATATAATAAAGAAATCAATGTACTTTATGTTCTTAGCTCCCACAATTTAGCCTAAATATTTGCCCTGGCATGCTTATACTGGTCCAATCAAACATTAGGTCATAGCCTGTTCCTCTTCCTTACTTAAAAGTGTTTTTACCTTTCTCAGCATTCCACAAGTTACTTCCTTCTTCCTTTGTTCTCCTCTGCCTTTGCCTCTTTTAAAAAGTTCTATGTTGCTAGTCAGTCGGGACAAATACAGAATGTGAGGTCCCGTTCCAGCCAAAGGAAACCGGACACAGCAGTAGGGTGGACGCGCCACGTTATAAATGACCCTGTCTCCTTTGTTCAGTGTACTCTCCTGGCAAAACTGCTGGCGAGTGTACCCTTTCTGCAGGAAGTAAAAATGGCCTTACTAAATAAATTAAATTTAAGTTTAAGTTCTATTTCTTTACAGCACCGAGGAACGAGCATTTCGAACAGGTTGAACACCTTGACAGATTCAGTGTGTGGCCTGCCTGAGACCTCCAACCAGTCTGCAGGGCACTGTCACGTCCAGTCGTTTCCCAAGGCCTAAAATAGGCAGGCACTGGCTCAAGGCCACACAGTCAAGGCCCCAGGGTTCGTCCGCCTCGGGCTCCTGTCACCCTCGGGTAGAAGGTGGCCCAAGGCTGAAGACCGAGGTCCAGGGAGGCGCCTTTCCAACCGTGCCAGAGAGGGCAGGTCGCAGACGCCGGGGCTGCGGGGAATAGAGGCCCTCACCGCAGATGCCACCTGCCGTGCCCTGCTCTGCGGCCAACGCCAGCGCTGGACCCGGAGCTACCCGCCCCCGACCCGGAACTCCCTCGAGTACCGCGCGAGCCGCTTGGTCGCCATTCCCGACACTCCTTGCTTTTCCAAGTCCAGCTGCCGGAAGTCGCTCGACTTCTACTTCCGGTCCGTTCAAAAAGCCCGCGAGGCTGAGGGGCGGTTGTTGTTGGCAGCTGTGGCTAAGGAGGGGAGAACCTCTGCTCCCCGCCCGTCTTCTCTTCTGCGTTTCCCGGGCTAGGGGGCGTGGGGAGTGGTTTTAGGCGGCGAAGCCGCTCGGCAGCACCTTCCTTCTTTGCCAGGCAGACGCCCGTTGTAGCCGTTGGGGAACCGTTGAGAATCCGGTAACCGATGCGGACGGTAAAGCCGTTTGGGTTAGAGCGGCGCGGGTGTCCAGTCCGCGGAACGGGGAGATCGTTGGCACCTTCGCTTTTTTAGGGGAACGGGGATAGTTCGGTAAACTGAATTGAGAAGCGGATCCGAGGGAGGTTGAAAGCTGTCAAGCCCGTGTAGCTCTCCCGCTAGGAGGCGGCACGCGGGGGAATAGGGGCGCTGGAGTTTCCCCAGCTCTACCTCATCTTTCTCCACAGCCATGGAGCCAGAGAGGGAAGGGACCGAGAGACACCCCAGGAAGGTCAGGGAAAGCAGGCAGGCCCCAAATAAGCTGGTCGGGGCAGCTGAGGCGATGAAAGCCGGTTGGGATCTCGAGGAGAGTCAGCCCGAGGCCAAGGTGAGCAACGGGGATCCCGAGCAGGCGGCCCTAGGCGGTTTGGAGCTCCCGGACCCTCGCCCAACCGCCGTCGGGGGCACTGGATTCGGGCGGGCTCTCCGCCCTGGCCTCTCCGAACCTGATCCCTGATCATTAAAATGGGAATGAGTGTAATACCACCTTCCTGCAACAAGGCTGTCATTGGCTGTCACTGGGATAGTGAGTCGGCCGAGTGCGGTGGCTCATGCCTGTAATTCCAGCACTTTGGGAGGCCGAGGCGGGCGGATCACGAGGTCAGGAGTTCGAGACCAGCCTTGTCAACATGGAGAAATCCCCGTCTCTACCAAAAACACACACACAAAATTAGCCAGGCGTGGTAGTGGGTGACTGTAATCCCACCTACTTGGGAGGCTGAGGCAGGAGAATCGCTAGAACCCAGGAACCAGAGGTTGCAATGAGCCAAGACCACGCCATTACACTCCACCCTGGACAACAAGAAAGAAATCACGTCTCAGAAAAAAAAAAAAAAAAAAAAAAACTGGGATGGTGGGCCGGGTGCAGTGGCTCACGCCTGTAATCCCAGCAGTTTGGGAGGCCAAGGCGGGAGCATCATTTGAGGCCAGGAATTCAAGACCAGCCTGGGCAATATAGCAAGGACCCCATCTCTTAAAAAAAAAAAACAAAAAACAAAACAAAAAAAAAACTGCCTGTACATAATAGGAATGTTCATCGATATCCTGGGGCACAAAAATACAATTCCTTGCCCTCGTGCAGTTTACATTCCAGTAGGGCGGGGGTCCCCAACCCCCTGTGCACAGACTAGTACCTGCCTGTCCATGGGGTCCCCAACCCACTGTCCACAGCTGGCCTGTTAGGAACCGGGCCACAAAGCAGCAGGAGGTGAGCGGTGGCCGATAGAACGTTACCCCCTGAGCTCCACCTAGGCATTAGATTCTCATAGGAATGTGCCAAACCTATTGTGAGCCCTATTGTGAACTTTGCATACGAGGGTCCTAGGTGGCATGCTGCTTATGAGACTCTAATGATAAATGTAATGCACTTGAATCACCCCGAAACCATCCCCCCAGCCCTTCTCCCAGTCAGTGGAAAGATTATCTAACACGAAACCGGTCCCTGGTGCCAACGGTTGGGGACCGCTGCAATAGGGGAATAAAAAGGCTGATTATCCCTATCATCCTTACCATTTACTGAGAACTAAATATACTTCATTCATCCCTTCAGTCGTTCATTGGGCTTTTTTGTTTGTTTTTGTGTTTGAGACAGGGTCTCTGCTCTGCTGGACTCAGGCTGGACTACAGTGGTGTGACAAGGATCCTCCTGTCTCTGCCTCTTACAGGCATGAGCCACTGCACCCAGCTATTCATTGGTTTTTATTGTCTGCCATGTGCTGGGGCACTGACCTAGGTGCTTGGGGTACATCAGTGAATCAAGTTCACTGCCCTAGTAGGTCTTATATTCTAGTGGGCAGAGACAAATGATAAAAATAAGTTATAATATGTGAGAGAGGGATTAGGGATGTGATTTTTTTTTTTTTTTTTTTTTTTGAGGTGGAGTCTCCCTCTGTTGCCCAGGCTGGATTTGGCTCACTGCAACTTTTGCCTCCCAGGTTGAAGTGATCCTCCCACCTCAGTTCCACCAATTAGATGGGACTACAGATGTGTGCCACTGTGCCAGCTAATTTTTCTTTTTTTTGTAGAGACGGGGTTTTGCCATGTTGCCCAGGCTGGTCTTGAACTCCTGGACTTAAGCGATCTGTCCACCTTGGCCTCTGCAAGTTCTGGGATTACAGGCATGAGCCACTGCTTTTTTTTGTTTTTTTTTCGTTTGTTTTTTTTTAAAGAGAGACAGGGTCTCCAACTCCTGGGATCAGGAGATTCACCTGCCTCAGCCTCCCATAGTGCTGGGGATTACATGTGTGAGCCACTGCACCCAGCTGAAAATTTTTTTTATTAAAGTGGGATTCCAGTTTTTTTGCCTATCAAATTTGCAAAAAAATGTTTAATGTTTATGTGGTTAGTGTAAGGAGATTGACAATCACATATTTTGTTATGTTGAAACAATCTCAAACTTTTAGAAAAGTTGTAAGAATAGTATCAAAACCTCCCCTCAACCAACATTTGAAAGTAGTTGCTGACACAATGGTCTTTTTCTACCCACCCTCAAGATATTTTATTATATATTCTCTATAAACCTACATAATCACAATGCAACCATCAAAATTGGAAATTACCATGGATATATCATGACCATCTACTCCTCAGATGCCATCCAAATTTTCTGTAGTTGTTTGAATAACGCTTTTTAGCAATAAGATCCAGTCTAGAATTGTGTTAAATTTAATTGTCATGTCTCCATCAAACAGTTCCTTAGTCTTCCCTTGATATTCATGACTTTACTGCATTTGAATAATCCTGGGCCAATTATTTTGTTGAATGTCCCTTAAATTAGATTTGTCTGTTTCTTCATTGATTAGATTCAGGTTATATACATCTTTAGCAGGAATATCACAGGAGTGATACTCTGCTCCCTTGCAGATTGTACACAATTTGATTTGTCCCATTATTGGTGATATTAACCTTGATAACTAGATTAAGATAGTTTCTACTAAAGTTCTCTAAAGTTATCTTTTTCTCTGTGTAATTTTCATTCTTATTTTTTTGAGACAGGATCTTGCTATATTGCCCAGGCTAGTCTGGAATTCCTGGGCTAAAGCAATCCTCCCACCTCAGCCTCAGTGTAGCTGAGGTTACAGGCCCAAGCCACTGCTCCCAGCTGTCTGTAATGTGCTTCCTCAAACACTTTGGGCTTATGCATTTACTTTTTTATCAGTATGATGAACTCAGTGGTACCTATTTTGTTCAGTGTGTTACTATCTTTTACTGGATTGTGATGCTTTAAATATCCAAGATTTTGTCATTAAGCTAGCTTCTGTGGCCTTTTGACATGACAACATCATTCTTTGAGCATGTCATTACTTTCTGGCACAAGAAGATATTCCAGGCTCATATGTGCTTTCCCTGCCCCAAGCCTGGAATCAGTCATTTCTCTTAGGGTACCTGGTTCTTTTTAGTGTAGAATGATATTTAGATTTGGGTGCTATGGTGATGTTAATACAGATGCTTCTTCACTTAAAATAAGATTACGTCCCAATAAATCCATCGTAAATTGAAAATTTTGTAAGTTGAAAGTGTATACACACACACATACTTACATTTAAATATTTTTCTGTATTTTACTTATGTGAATTCACATCAGTATCTCCACTTTAATCCAAATCCAGTAATACAGGGTTCATTCTATTCATTCTAGTTTTCTCCTTTTTTTTTTTCTTTTGAGACAAAAGTCTTGCCCTGTCACCCAGGCTGGAGTGCAGTGGCATGATCTCTGCTCATTGCAACCTCTCCCTCCCAGCGATTCTCCTACCTCAGCCTCCTGAGTAGCTGGGATTACAGGCACCCACCACCACGCCTGGCTAATTTTTGTACATTTAGTGGAGATGGCGTTTGACCATGTTGGCTGGTCTCAAATTCATGACCTCAAGTGATCTGCCCACCTCGGCTTCGCAAAGTGTTGGGATTACAGGCGTGAACCACCGCGCCCAGTCCATTTTCATATTTGTAACTTCCTTCACTAACAATGAGAAACCCGACACCCAACATCTTCAGTATATTTGATCAATCCTTATTGCTGCCGCTGACCCACCCTCACACCCTCTTGACTCTGCTTAGGCTCTGTCACCCTGCACTGGCTCCATCACCTTGTACCAGGTCATCTTCCTTTGTGAGCACCCTCATCCTATGACAGGTGGCTGCCACCATCCCTCTCAGGTTTATACCCTCATCCTGTTCAGGCTTTAAACCCTGCAACAGGCCACTACTGTCCCTCAGCATTGATGCCCTCCTTACCCTAAATAGTTTCTGACATCTGATGTCAGGACTCACTGCCCTCCCTTCCTTCCTGTATGGGTGACGTCCTTGTGCTGCTGAGGCTTTGACACCCCACACCAGAGCACCCTCCTGCATGAATGTCCTCAGCTTCTGCTCCTAGTCCTGGACTGTCTCCTCTACAGGACACCTTCCTCACCCAACTCAGGCTCTTGACATCCCATGCCTGGCAACCAGGGTTACTCACCGCCATATAGACTCCATCTTGCTCAGTCTCACCTTATTAATCTCATGTTTTTATTTGGTAAAAACAAACTGGCATATTCTTTCAGGAGTTCATTTGAACCAGGAATTGATCCTAAGAAAGTAGATAGATGTACAAAGGTGTCTGTACAAGGATGTTCATCATAATGTTGTTTGTAATTTAAAAAACCAGTGTTATCAATAGGGAATGTTTTTCAGATATATTATAAATTTTCAGGTAAATTTAGAAAATGGACTATTATTCAAGTATTAAAATTGATTTTTTTTAACTGATATGGAAAGATACAGCTTAAGTTCGGGAGTAGGGAGTTGGTTTCAAAAAAGAATGATTGATAAAATCCACTGCGGGCTGTATAGTATAGAGATAAGCCTGCATTCCAGTCTTGGTTCTATCATTTATCTGTCTCTCCAATTTATCTGTAAAATGGGGATGATAGTAGTACACACTTACAAAGTTGTGAGAATTAAATGATTTAATGCATGTAAAATGATCAGAACTGTGTTTCGCTAATGTAAGAGTTTAACATTAGCTTAAGGCCATGGGAATACATTAGCAATAATATCTAATGTTTATTAAGTACTTATGTCAGGTACTAGCCTCAGTACATTGTACTTGAACTATTTCATTGGTCCTCCCAATTATTTAATGAGATAAAATTATAATTACTCTCTAGATGAGGAAACTGAGTCTTAGAAAGGCTATGGCACTGGTCCAAGATGATGATGATGGTCCAAGGCTATGGCACTGGTCCAAGCCTGGTGTTTGAACTCAGGTAGTATGACTAGGGCTTGAGCTTCTAACCGCTATGCTCTGCTGCCTCGCAGACCAAAACGAAAGTGGTGATTACCTCTAAGTTGTACTTTTATTTTAATTATCTCTGAGGTGACTTTTATTTTCGTTTCTCTGTATCATTTATTTTACAATTCTCTGTTAATGAGTCTTTTGTAACAAACACGAATTACTTTATTAAACAAATATAGGCTGGGCGTGGTGACTATAGGCCGGGCGTGGTGGCTCATGCTTGTAATCCCAGCACTTTGGGAGGCTGAGGAGAGCAGATCGCTTGAGCTCAGGAGCTCGAGACCAGCCTGGGCAACATGGTAAAAACTCATCTCTACCAAAAATACAAAAAAAATTAGCCAGGTGTGGTGGCATACATCTGTGGTCCCAGCTACTCAGGACACTGAGGCAGGAGGATCGCTTGAGCCTGGGAGGCAGAGGTTGTAGTGAGCAAAGATAGCGCCACTGTACTCCATCCTGGGTGACAGAGTGAGACTCTGTCTCAGAAAAGAAAAAAACAAGTATAAGTTCAAAGCCTTTTTAAAGGGGTTGGGAGCTTTGCTGAACTCTTGTTGCCCAGGGGATAAATTCTGATTCATTAGCTTAGGCCGCATTGATCTATGATCTGGCTCCTGCTTCCCTCTCCTCATACCTCCACTACTATGCAACATGCAATCCTGGCTCCTTGCCAAACCATACTACATGTTGAATGCGATGTTCCCTCCAACATGGCATTGTTTTCAAGGCTCAGCCTCAGTATTTTCATCTCAGTAGCCTTCCCCAAACTCTCTAACCCCTAAGGCAGTTAGACTCCTTGTTCTCATAGCTTTGTAATAGCACTTACCCACACTGTGTTGGAATTAGCTATTGCTTTCTCTCCCTAGTAGAATGGACTCTTTGAGAGCATGAATTATGCTTTATTTATCCTATTCCTAGCATGTAACCAAGTATCTATAATTCAGTTTTGTGTCAATGATAATTACTTTATTAATAATGTCATACCTACCACATATTGTTATTTTAGGCCATCATTTTCAATTAATTAGCACTTCCTTATGTTAGAATATACCTGTATGTTAAAGTAATCAGAAGCTAGAATAATTTAACTTGCTTTGTTGGTATTCTTGATAACCAATAATGGCTTGCTACGCCCTGATTAATCTTTGCAGAAAGCCCGCTTATCTACCATTTTATTTACTGACAACTGTGAAGTAACCCATGACCAGCTGTGTGAATTGCTGAAGTATGCAGTTCTGGGCAAATCCAATGTTCCAAAACCCAGGTATGAGATGAATTTAAATGGTGGGTATTGACCAGCGGTTTCTTTTTTTTTTTTTTTTTTTTACCTCTCCCAAGCTCCATCATTCAAACCAGAGGTTTCAAACTGGCTTATCGACAGTATTTTTTTGCTATGCAGCATGTCCTGAATTTTTTATGATGGCTGCCAAGTGTTAATTCTGGAAATTCCTATATAAAAATCTACATTTTCTTCTTCCAAAAACTCAAAGATGGCAGCTATCCCTATATTCCCACATGGCAATAATTTGTCAAAGCTGAGTGGTGGTCTCCCCCTTTATATGGGACATGTATACTACAATGTCCTACCTGGCCTGCTTCCCATATTTACAGTATCTGTCTGGCTACTATAGATATTTTAGTTTGTTTCCCGTGTTGCAGACTCAGCTGAAATAACAATGATCTGTGAAGAATTCCAGTTAATCTTTTTTCTTTCTTTTACAAATAAAAGGCAAAGAGAGCCCCGGCATAGTGGCTCACAGTTATAATCCCAGCACTTTGGGAGGCCAAGGTGTGAGGATCACTTGAGTCCCAGAGTCTGAGACCAGCCTGGGCAACATAGCGAGACTCAGGCCCTACAAAAAAAAAAGAGAATCTTACTGTTCTGATATTGTTGGTGCCATTATTAAGTGTCTTATGAAAAATATTTTGTATGTATGCAAATAATACACACGTCTTTCTGGGGGAGGTTGTTATGAATTGGCTAGCTACTTCGAGAACTGTCTTCTCCATCAACAATTACAGCCATCAGTCTGTCAGTTTATCTAAAACTGTTTTTTTTTTTTTTTGGTAGGTTTTATGTCTCTATTGCAACTACCCAACTTGGCCATTGTAGCCCAAAGCAGCCATACATAACACATAGACAAATAAGCATGACTGTAGTTCAATAGTCTTATTTACAAAAATGGGTGGAGCAGGATTTGACATTTTTTTGGTGGGGGATGGAGCCTCGCTCTGTCACCTAGGCTGGAGTGCAGTGGCACGATCTCCGCTCAATGCAACCTCCACCTCCCAGGTTCAAGTGATCCTCTTGCCTCAGCCTCCAGAGTAGCTAGGATTGTAGGCTCATACAACCAGGCCCAGCTAATTTTTTTGTATTTTTTTTAGTAGAGATGGGGTTTCGCCATGTTGCCCAGGTTGGTCTTGAACTCCTGACCTCAAGTCATCCACCTGCCTCGGCCTCCCAAAGTGCTGGGATTACAGGCGTGAGTCACCGTGCCCAGCGAAAACTGAATTTCTTAAAGCCAGCCATTTGATTCCCTGGTTTAGGAAGGACCGCAGAGTAGGTTGGTATCTTAGGGATGACTTTGTAAAGTGAGCTTAGTTCTGATTCCAAACAAACCTTAATAGGACTGTGAATTTAAATGCATTGCATTTTGCTTGGTATTTTACTGGATTTGAATACAACAAGTATTTATCTCTAGGGATCTTTATTTGAATTCTGTGCAATAATGGCTGTCTTCCAGTTCCAGGCAGACGGTGAATGGTGATAAATTCTATTAACTCTCACTCACTGCTTTTCCTGCGCCTTCTCCCCTATTTCCCCTCTATATGACTGTAACTGACTTAAGGCCATCTGTCTTAACTGTGTTGGTTTGATTTCTTGGCAGCTGGTGCCAGCTTTTTCATCAAAACCACCTAAACAACGTAGTGGTTTTTGTTCTGCAGGGAATGAGTCAGCTACACTTTTACAGGTTCTATTTGGAGTTTGGATGTCTTCGAAAAGCATTCAGACATGTAAGTTAAGAATACTTTGTACTAGGGGCTGAGTCTGTTTTCCCATTCTGAGACTAATACATGTGTCAGGGACCATGCTCCTTGGCAACCTAACTGAACAAACAGTAGGGGATATAGAAAGCAAAAAGACCTTAGAGGCCTCATGTAGATTTGTCTCTGATTTTCTTTGGAAATCTAGGCAAACTCTTATTCCCAGGTTATAATCTGTAGCTCCTAGGTTGATATTGTTCTATTTTATTTGGGCTATGGTGTTTTCAGAAATTGTAAAATATAATACAAGCTGAGTTTTCTACCTCTCTTTAAAAAAATCGCAAGATTGGGCACCCTTAAAACAGTATATGGAACTGAATAGCAGTTGTCATCTTTAAAAAGAGGCACCTGCTGTCCATTTTCCCGTAGCCTCTTCCATTTCCTAGTGACCCATTTCATCCATTTATTCCTGAAGGCATTTGAGTTGGTGAGCCCTAATTTAACCTCCCTGGGTCACCATTTTTTTTGCTTTCATTTATTGAGCACTTCCTGTGTATCAGGCTCTCTATTAACCACGGACCACCTGCTACACGTATCATCTTTAATTATCACAATAGTCTTATAAAATAGATACTTTTTAATTTCCATTTTGTACATGAGAAACTGAGTAACTTGCCCGAGTTCCAGCTAGTAAGTGGTAGGGCTGAAATTTAAGCCCAGGTGAACCTGAAGCTGAAGCTCTCAACCTTTTTGCCGTGTGATACCATCTATTCTGATGGCAATGGCATGCTTTCCAATGAAATAATAGATTTGGAAGAACTTTGAAAATACAAAGGGACTTTTCTTGTCTAAGTTGTATATTTCTGTAAAGTTTGTCTATTTTACAATATATAATCATAGGGATCAGTTAGTGTTGTGTGGCTTCATTTACTTAGTCACTTTTCTATATTAAGGAAACAGTTCTTATTTTAAAATGCTAACAATTACTGTCTAGAACTTTCAAAGCACTGAGGTGACAATAAAAGTCCAGGCCTTTCACAGTATTTTAGCTGTTTTCAACCATTTTTGTAAAACCTGTTAATATATTTTCAGAAATTCCGCTTGCCTCCACCATCATCTGATTTTCTAGCTGATGTTGTTGGGCTACAAACTGAACAAAGAGCTGGAGATCTGCCCAAGACAATGGAAGGTATAGCTATGATGCTGGTTTGATGCTTTGCTCACTCTAAAAGATACGGATATGATTGTAAGTAGGTTTAGCACAACAAAACTCAATTCTAACTAGCTTAAGCACAAAAACAATTTTTTTTTTTTTTGAAACGGGGGTCTCACTCTTGTCACCCAGGTGTGAGTGCAGTGGCGTGATCACACGGCTCACTGCAGCCTTGACCTCCCAGACTCAAGCAGTCCTTCCACCTCAGCCTCCTGAGTAGCTGGGGAACTACCAGCACAGGCCACATCCCCAGCTAATTTTGTTTGTTTGTTTGTTTGTTTGTTTTGAGAAACGGGGCTCCACTGTGCTGCCCAGGCTGGTCTCAAACTCCTGAGCTCAAGTGATCTTCCCACCTTGGCTTCCCAAAGTGTGGGGATTATAGGCATGAGCCACCATACCTGGGCCACAAAAACAGTTTTTTTAAGGAAAAATGGGCAGGTACTCAGGGAAGTTAGATAGCAGGAACCACAGCCAGGGTTCATGTCTCAGAAACAATCTGGTTAGATAGCTAAGGATACCTGGGTATCACTGATGTTGGACTCTTATGAATTACTGTGAATAATTTCTAAACTGTCACTGGGTCTTTGTACCCACCAGTGTACAGGTGGGAAGGAAGATCTTGCCTTTGACTAATATAAGGGATACCTGCTGATACTACTCACAGTGAAGAATAGGCAGGAGGTTTAGATACTAGCCAGCTGAAAGATTCATGATAGCAGTGTGTTTTTCAAACTGTGGGTTGTGTCCTATTGGTAAGTTATAAGTAATCTTTTTGGTTTTGCAGGAAGGTGAGTGATAGAGTAGTATAGGACTTATCAGAGTTAGTTGCATATAGTAAGGTTAGGTATTGTTCAATGATACTCTATTTTGTGTTCAGAAATAATTAATTGAATAATTGCACTGAGGGAACATGAAAAAGTAGTGAGGAGTAACTTGATTTCTTATCTCCTCTAGAAATGTGCTTGCATTATCCTCTGTCCTAATCCCCACTTCTAATTTTCTATCTTTCTGTTGTTCTCTTCTTCTCATGGATGCCCATTTTTGATCTGCAATTGTATTTGATTTGATTTGCACTGTATTTTAAACATCTGTGATTAAATCACAGAGTAATCATTATGAGATTCTAGGTTCAAGTAAAAGCATCACGTTGCAAAAGAAAAGATGTAATCAGGAAAAAGAAATCTGACATGTTTGAAGAGTACAGCTTGTTGGACATGCTGAGAAGAATAGGAGGAGGTGGTGATGAGAGACAAAGCTGGAAAGGCAGATTAAAGCCATATCCTGCAGGCTTTGTTTTTATTTTATGTTTTATTTTTATATTCTGTACCAGCCACGGAGAGACAACCTACAGGCTTTGAATGTCATGCCAAAAGAATTTGGATTTTATTCTGTAGGCCTTGAGGAGCCAGAGAGGTTAGGGCAACTTCTCCATCCTCCTAAGTATTTCACTTCATTTTCCAGTGCTAAATATCAGAGTCCCCAAGGCATAGTCCCTCGCACTCTGATCTTCGTTAATCAGTCTTTCCTTCGGAGCATTCATCTGTTCTTGCCAAGTTTACCTATTAGTTTTCTTTGAATGACTCCTGTATCTTTATCTCTAGGTCTGATGCCCCAGATTGCAGGCCTGCATTCTCAACTGCCTGCTGAATATTCCAATTGCTATTTGGATATTCTACTGTCCTCAGTCATAACATAGCTAAATGCGTTTTTCTCATCCTCAAATAATGGTCTCTTCATATTCCCTCTTGTTGGTGTCATTTTTCTCTAAGACACCAGTGTTGAATTTTACAGTTTTCTTTTGGCTCCCTATCCCCAAACTGTCTGCATGCCTAATTCCCTTTGCTCCTATAAATCTCTATTCAGATGTCAATTTAACAGAGACCTTCTCAGCTCATCCTATACAAAATATATGACAGTAACCCTTTCCCTGCCCCAATATTTCCTATACTTTTCTCCTCCTTTTCTTCAAAGCCCTTATCTTACCTGATATATTACGTATTTATTTGTTTATTATCCATATTTCCAACTATAAGTTAAATGTCATGAGGAATTTTGTTGGTTTTGTGCATTGGGGAATTCCTAGTGGCCAAAACAGTGCCGGCTACATAATAAAGTTATAAATATTTAAATATTTTGCTGGCTGAATAATTTTTTCACCATGTTCTACCAGTTTTTCATGTATGTTTTATATATCCCTTTTTCTCCATAGCTTCCACTATCTTAATTCAGATGCTGTAACAACTTCTTTTTGAAACAGAGTCTCGCTCTGTCGCTGAGGCTGGAGTGCAGTGGGATGATCCCAGTTCACTGCAACCTCTGCCACCTGGGTTCAAGCGATTTTTGTGCCTCTCAGCCTCCTGAGTAGCTGGGACTACAGGCGTGCACCACCATACCAGCTAATTTTTGTATTTTTAGTAACGACAGAGTTTCACCATGTTTGGCCAGGCTGGTATTGAACGCTTGGCCTCAAGTGATCCACCTGCCTCAGCCTCTTAAAATGCTGAAAGTACAGGCGTGAGCCACTGCACTTGGCCTTTTTTCATCAACATTTATTTTAAGTTCCTGGGTACATGTGCAGGATGTGTAGGTTTGTTACATAGGTAAATGTGTGCTGTAGTGGTTTACTACACAGATCAGCCAATCACCTAGGTATTAAGCTCAGCCTCCATTAACTATTCTTCCTGATGCTTTACCTCCACCAACCCCTCTGACAACCCCAAATGTGTGTTGTCATGTGTCCATGTGTTTTCATCATTCAGCTCCCTCTTATAAGTGAGAACATGGTGTTGTTTGGTTTTCTGTTTCTGCATTTGCTGAGAATAATGGCTTCCAGTTCCATCCATGTCCCTGCAAAGGACATGGTCTTGTTCCTTTTTGTGGCTGCATAGTATTCCATGGTGTATATGTACCACATTTTTTTTTATCTGATCTATCATTTATGGGCATTTGGGTTGATACCATGTCTTTTCCACCTGCGCATATCTTTATAATAGAATGATTTATATTCCTTTAGAATATACCCAGTAACATGATTGCTGGCTCAAATGGTATTTCTGCCCCTAGCAGATGCTCATAATTTTTTGGCCAGAATTATTGTAAAGCCCTTTCTAGCCTCTTTCTACTTCGCTTTCTTTCTTTCTTCATTTCTTTCCTTTCCTTTCCTTTCTTTTCCTTTCCTTTCCTTCCTTTCTTTTCTTTCTTTCTTTCCTCCTTTTTTTTTTTTTTTTTTTAAATTTAGGCTGGGCGCAGTGGCTCACACCTATAATCCCAGCACTTTGGGAGGCTGAGGCAGGTGGATCACCTGAGGTCGGGAGTTGGAGACCAGCCTGACCAACATGGAGAAATCCCATCTCTACTAAAAATACAAAATTAGCCGGGCGTGGTGGTACATGCCTGTAATCCCAGCTACTCAGGAGGCTGAGGCAGGAGAATCATCTGAACCTGGGAGGCAGAGGTTACAGTGAGCCGAGATCGCGCCATTGCACTCCAGCCTGGGCAACAAGAGCGAAACTCCGTCTCCAAAAAAAAAAAAAAATTTAGAGTCAGGATCTCCCTCTGTTGCCCAGGCTAAAGTGCAGTGGTACAATCTAAGCTCACTGCAGTCTCAAACTCCTACATTCAAGCGATCCTCCTGCCTCAGCCTCCTGAGTAGCTAAGACTTGCAGTTATGCACTACCATGCCTGGCTAATTTTTGTTTTTGTAGAGACTGGGTCTTGCTCCGTTGCCTAGGGTGGTCTCAAACTCCTGGACTCAAGCAATCCTCTTGCCTTGGCCTCCCAAATTGCTGGGATTACAGGCATGCCATGCACCCAGCCTCTACTCCATTTTTTACAAATCTTTGAGGTTGATGTTTCTTAAAACACTGCTTTAATTACATCACTTCCGTTCTCAGGAGCTTTTTGTGGCTCCCCATTACGTATTGAATGGTGGACGAAAGTTAATTATGCTCCTGTCTCAACTTTGTTTCCTATGCTCATCTCTTGCACAGACCTTTCTTTCTTCATTACTGGTCTACTGACAAACCAAGTTTACTCTACATTTCTGTCTTGCCTGGAATGTCCTCTTCTACTTATGATACTTTGGCTATTTTCTTTACAAGGATCAGCTACTCACTTAGGTCATCTTGAGCAAATATTGTTTGAAGAAGGATGTATGTGGGTAGAAAGCCAGCAGGAACCTAAGTGCCCCTAGTAAAAAGATTTTCTCCAACCCTTTCATAGCATCTACTTATCTGTGTATTTTCTTTTCTCTTCTGACTAGTCAGTTCTCTCTCTTTATATATATATATATATATATATATATATATATTTTTTTTTTTTTTTTTTTTTTTTTTTTTTTTTTTTTGAGACAGAGCCT
Source organism: Homo sapiens (assembly GCF_000001405.40). Lineage (NCBI taxonomy): Eukaryota > Metazoa > Chordata > Mammalia > Primates > Hominidae > Homo > Homo sapiens. Next base: position 20,820,594 of record NC_000016.10, read on the forward strand.
CGCTCTGTTGCCCAGGCAGGAGTGCAGTGGCACAATCTCTGCTCACTGCAACCTCTGCCTCCCGAGTTCAAGCAATTCTTGTGCCTTAGCCTCCTGAATAGGTGGAATTACAGGTGCATGCCACTACACCTGGCTAATTTTTGTGTTTTTAGTAGAGATGGGGTTTCACCATGTTGGCCAGGCTGGTCTTGAACTCCTGACCTCAAGGGTTCCACCTACCTCAGCCTCCCAAAGTGCTGGAATTACAGGTGTGAGCCACTGTACCTAGCCCAGTTCTTTATATTTTTTAGTGAAAATCCTTAAAGCAGGCGGTCTGATGAACTTAACTACTTAAGATTTTCCCTCTGAGAACATGTCTTGATAAGGAATATCAAGTCATTGGTCAATCTATAGATGATCTCTCTTGAGCCAGGTCATACCCTTAATCCAATCAGTAATGGTCCCTGGTTAAAGAACAAGCTTTTGCTGCTTAAATAGGTGGCTGAGGGTGGAGTATATTTAGCTAGAATGAACCATAAGGGAGAGACAGGCACTGTAAAGAACAGGTTGAATATACCAACTATCTGAATTCTGTCTTTTTTTTAAGACTCAATCTTTTCCTTTCTTGATCTCTGACACTCTATTGTGAAGTATATTCCTCCTCCTATCCCTTTACTGTTTTAGCTCATTTGGGACTTCATTTTCTCTGTGTTTTTTTTGTTTGTTTGTTTTGAGACGGAGTCTCGCTCTGCTGCCCAGGCTGGAGTGCAGTGGCGCGATCTCGGCTCACTGCAAGCTCTGCCTCTCGGGTTCACGCCATTCTGCCACCTCAGCCTCCCAAGTAGCTGGGACTACAGGCACCCACCACCACACCCGGCTAATTTTGTTTTTGTATTTTTAGTAGAGACAGGGTTTCACCATGTTAGCCAGGATGGATGGTCTCGATCTCCTGACCTCGTGATCTGCCTGCCTCAGCCTCCCAAAGTGCTGGGATTACAGGCGTGAGCCACTGCACCCTGCCTTTCTGTGTTCTTATAATTGTAATAGATTGCAAGCCCCTAAATGGTTGGGGCTGAGTTTTATACATCTTTTGATCTTCCTTGTGCTTAGCCTATACAACCTTAGGAGACATTTCTTCTAGGGTTCTTAAACACACATTCTAATATACGTTCAATTGTTTTTCTTTCAGGGCCTTTACCTTCTAATGCAAAAGCCGCCATCAACCTTCAGGATGATCCCATCATTCAAAAGTATGGCTCTAAGAAAGTGGGCTTGACCAGATGCCTTCTGACAAAGGAGGAAATGAGAACGTTTCACTTTCCATTACAAGGTTGGCTTAGGCTTACTCTGATATTGCTAACAATGTAAGAATATCTAACAGCTTATTTAAATACTACTGTTTGAGATTCATTTATCTGGCTGTTTTCTGAGTGGCTTATTCTTATTTCATCTTCTATTAATGAGGAAATATCTTCGGCACAGTGTATCTCAAAAGTGTGTGATGTCTACCGTGATTGGCAAAGTGATGATTTTAGGTAGTACATGAATGTGACATTAAATAGCATTGAAATAATATTTAATAAGAAAGTTATTCCCTTTCCTTTTCATTCAGTTTTCTTTCATTTCTTCTTAATATATTAAAAACAGTCAGTATGTCTTTAACATTTTAACACTTTTCCAGTACTTCTAATTCTCCTCCCACACTGCCCCCATATTTCTTTAACAAATAGAGCAGGTCTAGGCTCGGAGCCTTGGTCAATTATATAGCAAGAATTTAATAAAAGTACTTTGATTTCATTTTATTTTCTTTGTTACCTCCTAATTATAGCAATGATAATTAAATTTCCTTTTTTAAAAACAGATATAATTTAACATACCACACAATTCACCCACTTAAAGTTACAATTAAGTATTTTTTACTATGTTCACAGAGTTGTACAGCCATCACCACAATTTTAGAACACTTCTATCATCCCAAAAGAAACCCTGTATTATAATTTCCCTCCAACTCCCTGAGCCTTTGACAACCGTTAATCTAGTTTCTATATATAGATTTACCCATTCTGGGTATTTCCTGTAAGTGGATGTGCAATATGTGGGCTTTGTGACTGGCTTCTTTAACTTAGCATAATGTTCTCAAGCTTCATCCATGTTGTAGCATGTATCAGTACTACATTTATTTTCACTGCTTAATGATACTGCATTGGATAGACTGTTCATCAGGTGATGGACATTTGGGTTGTTTCCACTTTTTAGTTAATAATGCTGCTATGAATATTCAGGTCCAAGTTTTTTGTGTGGGCACATGCTTTCATTTCTGTTGGGTATATACCTAGGAGTATAATTGCTGGGTCATGTGACAACTCTGTGTTTAACCTTTTGAGGAACTGTCAGGCTGTGAAAGCTGCCGTACCATTTTACTTTCCCACCAGCAGCATATGAGGTTTCCAGTTCCTGCACATTCTTGCCAACATTTACTATTATCTTGTCTGAATATATCCATCCTAGTGGGTATGAAGTGGTGTCTCATTGTGATTTTGATTTGCATGTTTCTGTTGGCTGATGATTTTGAGCAACTTTTCACATGCTTATTAGTCATTTGTATAGCTTCAGAGAACTGTCTATTCAGATCCTTTGTCCATTTTTAAATTGGGCTGTATTTTATCATGGAATTATTGGAGTTCTTATTTTCTGGATGCATAAATTTTATTTTTTTAATTTTTTAAGTTGATGTAGGCGTGTTTTATAGGTGCCAGGCACCGTACTAAGTGCCTTTTTGTACATTAACTGGCAGTCCTATGATATATGAACTAAATTTTAACTCCATTTTATACATGGCTTTTTTCTCTATTTATTTTAACATATTTATAACCATCTTTTTCTTGAGGTTGCACTACTGTCACATGAGCACGTAGTAAGGGCAGTACTGCTAACACCTATAAAACACCACTGATAATATAGATAAGGTAGGCAGCAAATATAGTGTCTGTGAGATTTGAGGCTGCCTTTCTTCTCTGGGATAGACCATCTTTTGATTCTTTTCATTGCGATTAGTTGGAAATTTCACAGTACCGGGAATCAGAAATTGGTCAAAGGTTTGCATAGCCCCCTTTGTTCCGTGTCAAACAAGATTTAGATGTTACCTTTACTGCTCCAGCCTCTGCCTGAAGGTAGAAATCTTCAACAATTCAGATGCTTTTGGGTTTTTGAGCTAAATATGCATGGTTATGGACTCAGGGTTCACAAATAGAGGGAGTACCTTAAATCTATAGCTGAGCCTCTGTAGGAAATATGTGATTCCAGAAAATGCAGGCAAGGCTCTGAATAGGTGTTTCAGAGGAATCTCACAGGTTGAGTTGGGTGGAGGGACACATATGGTGAATGTTACTTAAACTTTCTTCCTACTATGAAATCCTTTTAGATCTCCATTATGGTGGAATCTCATTCCTATTTTCTCTTCCTGTATTTAGGAAAGAAAGATGCCACATACAGTTATTTGCATACTTTATTCATTCTTTCTTAGTGCTGACATGGAAAGCGCCTAATGACTTTGGGTTTAGCCATGATTTAGTTATCTCTTTTCTCATGAGGAGGAAAAATTGTTACTTGGTAACTGCCAGGAAGTTCAAGCCCCAGAATCTCCTCCTAACAGCAAGCCTACATTATTCTTTCAATATAAAAATGAGTAGATGGAGAAAAACTTGAGGACAGAGATTGTATCTTATTTAGTCATTGTATTTCAAGTGTCTAACATACCAACATATCTGACTAAAATATCTAGTATTGTAGTTTTACCTGCTTGAATCTAAGAGTGATGTTTACCATCTCTATTCTAAAGGCAAACATTTTCTTCCTTTTTCTCCTAGGTTTTCCTGATTGTGAAAACTTTTTACTTACCAAATGTAATGGTTCTATAGCAGACAATAGTCCTCTCTTTGGACTTGACTGTGAAATGGCACGTACTACTTTTAATTTTTCAATTGGAGTGTTGCAAGCTGAGGTCTAGTAGAAAATGATTTCTTGAGTCTAATGCACTAATGAACGAATACATTCATTTTTAGTATTCTGTTTTAATAGCTGAAAGTAGGTCCTTTTACTCACACTTTAGAAAACTTAGATCTGTATTCCAGGATAAAGAATAAATATCACATAAGTGGCTGGGTGCCGTGGCTCACACCTGTAATCCCAGCACTTTGGGAGGCTGAGGCGGGTGGATCATGAGGTCAGGAGATCAAGACCATCCTGGCCAACATGGTGAAACCCCATCTCTACTAAAAATACAAAAAATTAGCTGGGCATGGCAGCATGCACCTGTAGTCCCAGGTACTCGGGAGGCTGAGGCAGGAGAATCGCTTGAACCCAGTAGGCAGAGGTTGCAGTGAGCTGAGATAGCGCCACTGCACTCCAGCCTGGCGACAGAGTGAGACTCGATCTCAAAAAAAAAAAATCACGTTTTCCAACTAGTTACTATGTTTAATCAGGTCTTTGCATGTTGCTAGAAGTTGATTCCTTGTGTTTGAAGAAGTATTTTGTTGTTGCTGCCATGAGGACTTTGCCTTAATTGTTGGTTTGGCTTAGTTTTACACCTTGAAGATCAGAAATAGGATTTCCCTGCTTAAGTTCCCCTCGTGCTTTGCTTTATCTAATTGTAGTAAGCCTCTTTTCAAAGACAGTGCATCCCCTCTCAGTACTCAGGAAACAGTTTCTCAATTCTTAATAGAGTAACTAAGACCTAAAATTTGAGAATCTGACATATCAGGGTGTATATCCTGTCCTTGCCTGTTAGTGGCTATGTCGCCTTAGACAAATACCCCTAACCTATCAGCCTCGGCTTCTCCCTCTGTGAAGTGGGGGTAATAATAAAGCCTACCTCAAAAGGTAATTATGAGAGTGGCATATATAAAATTCTTAGTACAGCACTAGCTGATAATAGAATGGGCTTCATAAAAATTACCTATTAGTGGTATTTAGCATAATACTGGATATAGTACACACTCCATAAATGGTAGATACAATTATTAATATTATTTGCATTCATCTTCTTTGTGCAGACTACACTGTGTTGATCCTCTTAAGTGTAACATTCAGCAGCCTGCCCAGCTTTAATTTCACTCACACTAGATCCTCTAGAAAGCAAGTTTGTGCCATTGCTGCAGGGACCCTGGTAGATTACAGTAGATGGCAGTTGACATAGTGTAAATAGTAAGAAGAAGCAATAACTTCCACAGTTCAGCAGCCTGACTACATGTTGGTCTTTCAGTGCCTCACATCCAAGGGGAGAGAGCTAACACGCATCTCACTGGTTGCTGAAGGAGGCTGCTGTGTTATGGATGAACTGGTCAAACCTGAAAACAAGATTCTGGACTACCTCACCAGGTATTTTTCACCTTGCCTGCAGCTCTTCTAAGAGCTATCGGGCTAGAATGGAATAATACTTAAGAATGGCCCACAGCTTCAGTTTAGTTAGGTTTTATCTACTTAAATATTATCAAAGGTTAGGGCATCACATAGGTATATTTTAATGCTGAAATTGCACAATGTCAGTGTATAATGCTCTTGCCCTTCTTGATCTTCAATCTTCTTGTGACCTTAAGTCAGCAGAATATTATCTTCCTTGTTCCAGAATCTCCCAATTATAATCATTATCTACAACTGCCAAACAGCTAGAGCTTTGCTTTCTGATAAGACCTCATCTGAAAATCTGCAAGTCATCATTTGGCAGTCAAGTGATGTTAGAGCTTAATCTGCCTTGACCCCCAAAACACAAACAAATATTTTTCATAACAGAAATTTGAAGCTGAAAATGTTAGTCTACTTTTCCAAAGATTAGCATGTAATCTCAGAATGTACACACAGTGACTAGGCAAGAAGCCAGTGAAACATTACTGTTCCCATCCGTTGACGTGGCACCAGTAGATTCGTGATGACTTAGGGACAGAGAGGCAATGATAGTGATAAATACTGTCCTATTAGCAGACTTGACAATTAGATTCTTAGAGAACAGTCACGTGTGGCAAAGTTGTATGCACAAGCATGTTTGTCACAGTATTGCAAAAATGTGAGTATATAAATGTCTGAAAGTAGGGGATTAGTTAAAATATGCTGTATCTGTATAATGGAATACTCTGTAACCATTTAAAAGGATGTGCTAAATAGATTTATTGATGTGCAAATGTGTTTATGACATATTATAAATGATAGATTCATTGTAAAGCAGCTCATGCATTATGATTACATTTTTATAAAAATTAAATATATACCTGAATCTATATCAAAAGTATGGAACGACATTTACTAAAATGTAAAAAAGCAATCATCTCTGGGTGATAGGATTATGACTAATTTTTAATTCTTATTTGTCACTTTGGACACTAAGCATATATATATTAACAGTAATTTTAAAAAATGTTATTTTTAAAATCACTTTCCAGAGAGGAAAACTTGTTAATATCCTAGCCTGTCCATTTCTCTTTTTTTAATGAAAGCTTTTCGGGAATCACGAAGAAGATTCTTAACCCAGTGACGACCAAACTCAAAGATGTACAGAGGCAGTTAAAAGCACTGCTTCCTCCTGATGCTGTGTTAGTGGGCCACTCCTTAGATTTGGATCTCAGAGCACTGAAAGTGAGTATCTGATTTAGGACTTTGCATTTTCAGTATAAATGCCTGTTCCATTTATCTCAAATCTAAAGTCTTGGGCTCTTCTCTCCCACCCTGCTAGCCCACTTGTTTTTTCCTTTAGCATAAGACACTACTCATTTTATTCTCTTTCTTCCTCAGATGATACATCCATATGTTATTGATACATCGTTGCTTTATGTCAGAGAGCAGGGCAGAAGATTTAAGCTCAAGTTCTTAGCCAAAGTTATTTTGGGGTAGGTTTGCTTATATGCTGTAATATTGTTCTGACAAACTGCATACAAGTTAGCATGTAGTATCTAATTTAATGCATATTGCAAAATTCAGGGTTTCTGCTCTCTTTGCTTTAAACATGTTTTTTTGCATTTCTTATGAAATGAAGAAATTGTAGCAATAGAGACAGGGGTTTACATTCACAGTCGAGGCTTAATGGACAGAACTGAACCATGAAGGCAGAAGAGGTAACCAAAATTTCAAAACATAACATACCTATATGCCTATACAAGGTAGTATAACATACTTATACTGTCCTATTGTATTAAGACACATATGTACAAAGGTGTTCATTATAACATGGTTTAAAATAGCAAAATAGAAAACCTCAAATATTCTAGAAGTCTGGTTGAGTAAATTATGGTTATCTGTATTATTGAATATTTTGTTGTTCAGAAGAATATGATAAATCTGTTTGTGATATGAACACCTCTCTAAGACACTCCTGAGAATAAGGGATGCAGAGCAAGATCTATATATGCCTCAATATTTATATGATATAGATTAGATTTAGTTCTATCTATAAATATATACATATATTAAGCTTTTTAAAAACACCTAAGAAAGTATTTAAGTATGTATAGACACTTATATACAAATAAAAAAGTTTCAGGAAGGCAACTTTAAACAATGGTTAGATCTGAGAAATGGGCCTGGTCCATTTCTTAGAGAAGGGCCTGGCCAGGGAGTCAGCCAGAAACTTTTTGTTGGGTAGCCTTTTGTCCGGATGCTATGCTTGCTGTGAACAAAGCTATTCCTGATTGTTTTGCACCCCCAGTTCCTCTCGCAGGGCTGGGCAATTAGCTGGAATAAAGGAACCTTGATTTTTGTGATGCAAATCTAATTATCAGAATTCTAACATTTTATATGTAATCAGAACACTTGAGATGGTTGAAAAAGCCTATCATTAAAAGTGCTTCCAGTATGTCAATTTTATATTGACTTTCCAGGAAGGATATACAGTGTCCAGACAGACTTGGTCATGATGCCACAGAAGATGCTAGAACAATCCTTGAATTGGCTCGGTATTTCCTTAAGCATGGCCCAAAAAAGGTTAGTATCTTTGCCCAGTGTGTTCACCTTTTCTTAAAATCATGGGACTAGATCAGATTATCACAGACTACCAACTCCTATTATCTATTTTTATGAAAATGGCAGTGTGGGCCAGGTGCAGTGGCTCATGCCTGTAATCCCAGCACTTTGGGAGGCCAGGGTGGGCAGATCACCAGGTCAGGAGTTCGAGACCAGCCTGGCCAATATGGTGAAACCCCGTCTCTACTAAAAATACAAAAATTAGCCAGGTGTGGTGGCGCGTGCCTGTAGTCCCAGCTACTCCAGAGGCTGAGACAGGAGAATCGCTTGAACCAGGGAGGCAGAGGTTGCGGGGAGGCAGAGGTTGCAGTGAGCCGAGATTGCACCACTGCACTCCAGCTTAGGTGACAGAGCAAGACTTCATCTCAAAAAAAAAAAAAAGAAAAGAAAATGGCAGTGTGATTGAATCCTAAAAAAAGAAAATGGCAGTGTGATTGAAGCCTAGCATGTATTTCGAATTAAGACCCATATCACTAGCATAATGTGGTTAAGTATATAGTCCCTGCAGTTGGGCTTATCTGTTTTAAAATATATGTTCTACTATGTCTAGCTGTATAATCTAGGGCAATTTCTCTGAACAACATCAGTTTTTGGATCTATAATATGGGAATACACACTTTTCTGGGATATTGTTGAGAGTAAATGAGATATTGTGTATAAAATTCTTAGCACAGTGTCTTGAATATACTAAGCACTATCCTGGTGGTGTGGTGATTATTGTAGTTAATACTAATAATTATAAAAAATCTGCATAGATTTTTGTTTTCTTGGAGTAGGGGGAGCATACAATTGTTTCAACAGCAGTTCAGTGGGTAAATGTTAGAACAACACATAAGGGAGACATGGAAGAGGACATAGTCTCTGACAAACTTTATTATAATGCATTCTAACCTATTAGATTGTCCCATTGCATAGTACATTCCATCATGACTCCATTATGAAATAAATTGTACTCCACATAGAATAATAAGTAACAGCCAGAATAGTCTTTTGTGTCAGGTGGTAGAAAGACATTCTAACAGATCTTCTTTGAGCATATAGATAATAATAGCCACCACTCACTGAGGTCTTAAGTGTACTGTTCTAAAATGCTGTATATACATTATCTTATTTAATCCTCACAACAGCCCTGTGAGTTAGCTATTATCATTCCAATTTTATACATGAGCCTTTCGAGGTTACCAAAGGTTAGATAACTTATCTGAGGTCCCACAGTCAGTCAGAGGTGGAACCAGAATTGAAACCCAGGTCTGTCACATTCTGTCTTTTCTGTATACCAGGGATTAGCAAACTTTTTCTGTAAAGGCCAACTAGTAAATATTGTAGGCTTTGCAGATCATATTGTCTTTATTGCAGCTACTCAACTTGCTGTGGTACTGCAAGAGCAGCCATAGACATTATGTCAACACTGGTGGGCACAGCTGAAATAAAACTTTATTTATTTACAAAAAAATATGTATTGGTGTCTGCTAATCTCTGCTCTAAATCACTACAATAGGTTCTAAAACCCTTTTGGTCTCATGACTCTTTTTATATTGTTACCCACACAATGGTGTGTTCAGTCACTTAGTGGGTGTTAACCCAATGACCACTACCAAGGAATATTTATTTTTATTTTTATTTTTTTTGAGACAGAGTCTCACTCTGTTTCCCAGGCTGGAGTGCAGTGGTGCGATCTCTCTTCACTGCAGCCTCTGCCTCCCCGGTTCAAGTGATTCTCCTGCCTCAGCTTCCCGAGCAGCTGGGATTACAGGTGCCTGCCACCACACCTTGCTAATTTTTTTTTTTTTTGTATTTTTATTAGAGATGGGGTTTCACCATGTTGGCCAGGCTGGTCTCAAACTCCTAACCTCAGGTGATCCACCCATCTCAGCCTCCCAAAGTGCTGGGATTACAGGCATGAGTCACTGTGCCTGGCCCAAGAGGATTTAACAAGGGGATTTTATTACTTTGCAACAAGTAAGAACACCAGGGATAGTTCCCAAAGCACTATCTCCCCAAATGAAGGCAAAAGCAGGGCTTTTATTTTGCTAGTCGGCTGAGTCATTGCATGTAAAGGCAGGGTTTGTTCCTTGACACATACATGTATAGAAAATGGAGAATAAGTTCCTCCCTAGGTGAGATTTTTAGTATGGTAATGCAGAGAGTTTGCCAAGTTCATCTCTAACTTCAGGCATCTCTGGTTCCAGCTGGTTTTTATCTTGCTGTAGCTGGTGGTCTTCCTGTACCCTTTTGAAACAACAAGGTGCAACAGGGGTTACACTTTTATAGTGTGCACCTGAAGACCCAGGGACTCTGGGTTACAATATCTATCAACATTTACCATATTAGAAATTAAATAAATTTTTAATATTAGTTTAAGATAAATAAAAAGCCATTATATGTTAACACAAATCACTTTTTTTCTTTTTCTGTTTTTTTTTTTTTTTTTTTTTTGAGACGGGGTCTCACTGTGTTGCCTAAGCTGGACTGGAACTCCTGGGCTCAAGGGATCCTCCTACTTCAGCCTCCTGAGTAGCTGGAACTTAAGCATATACAGCCACTCTGTCCAGCTACAAATAACTTACTTTTATGGAAAAAAGAATTTTCCATAAAAATTAGTGGAAAGAACATCATTGTTTTAGGTATTTTTGTGAAACCTTTTAATATCTAGCTTAATAGAAAACAAGTGGCTTTTCATATCTGCTTTCACATTCAGTCTGTTATGTCACATAGTTGGAGAAGGAAGGACCTCACCCCTTGTGAGAAGATGTCTGGAAACCCCAGGATTCTCAAACCACACTTGGGGCACTTAATTATGCTTGATTTCCAGTGAAAATTGTGTCTCACTTGGATAAAAACTAACCAAATCTGAATTAAGCATGGGCTTAATTAATAATAATGCATTACTATTGGTTCATTAATTGTGACAAATGCACCATACAAATCTATTACTAATAGGTAAAAATGGAGGTATGCTATATGGGAACTCTGTACTATTTTCATAATTTTTCTGTAAATCTAAACTGATTCTAAAAAAAAAGTTTATTTTTAAAATTTGTAACTTTAAAAATTATTCTCTCTACATCACAACTCCCTGGTGGGCTCCCACTTTACGGAAGGAGAAGAAATAACTAGAATAGACTTCTCATGATTTTGTATTAAACTAATAAATAGTCTTTTTAAAAAATTTTCCTGTAAAAGCCATTCTTTTATCATTTCCAAAATTGCATGTTTGCAGAGAAGTAAATTTTAAGTGACTCAGAGAAGTAAATTTTAAGTGACTGACTGTTGGATGAGTGATGAGCCAAAATTGACATCCTTTTTCAATCAGCCCTACTTGGCCCTTCCCCATATTCATGTAACAATGTTAGTAGCTGATAACAGATTGCCGGTCTTGGCTAAGCAACCATAAACCATCTGGTAACTATTGAAGCCATCCCAGGGCTGTGGCAATGGCAAAGCCACTGCCTAAGAGAACAGAGAACATTATTCAAGTGGATTTTTTGCTTTTTGTTGTTGTTGCTTTTTGTTTTGTATTTATTTGAGCATCAAATGCTCTGCAAGCAATTATATTTTTACCACTTTGTTTTCTTCAAGATTGCAGAACTAAATCTAGAAGCACTAGCTAATCACCAAGAAATACAAGCAGCAGGCCAAGAGCCTAAAAACACAGCAGAAGTACTTCAGCACCCAAACACAAGGTAATATTTTCAGTTTGAAACAAGAGCAAAGACAAATGGAGTATCTAGTTTCTTATTTAACAACACCTGAGAATGTTTTTATCCTCTTTTGAGTCTATTAAAAACTATTTACCAAAAAATGATAACATCTATCACAAAAACCACGGAAAAAATACCACCTTCTAGCCTTAATATATAGTATTTAATTTCTAATTTTCTGAATCTAGTGGCTGGTCTAAAATGATATCCTTGATCAAAAAAAAAAAAAAGAAAAAATAATTGGAATACGTTGAACCTAGGTAGCACTGGGAAAGATGATAGACTAGTTGGTATTTTGGCTAGAAGAGTCAATCTGTAGCCTTGTTGTATTGCCCAGACTATGAAAGACACACACACAGACTCAAAAGGGCTTTGTCTCCAGACTATAGCAAATGTATCAGATCTTTAGAATTTTGCCTAATCTTTTGATAGAGAGCTTTGGGTATATTTCTTGTTTATCCTTCCTCTCTCTATTGAAGCAACACTGTCCAAAACAATTTTCTGTGATGATGGAAGTGCTCTACATCTGTGCTATCTCGTTTGGTAGCTGCTAGTCACATTTGACTAGTGCAGTTGAGGAACTGAATTTTTAATTTTATTTAATTTTAATTTTAATAGCTATATATTGCTAGTGGCTACCATATTGTATAATGCAAGTATAGAGAAATAACTGTCAGGTTCTGGAAAACTGTTGTTCTTACCTTAACTCTTCTACTTCTTTATAGTGTTTTAGAATGCTTGGATTCAGTGGGTCAGAAGCTTCTTTTTTTGACCCGGGAGACAGATGCTGGTGAACTTCCATCTTCCAGAAATTGTCAAACTATTAAGTGTCTTTCAAATAAAGAGGTGAGTGGCCTGCTGAACCTTTGCAGGTTATATTCAAAGCAGAGGGGAATGTAGCCCTTTGCACCCATGCCAGTGTCAAGCTTTTTTTCATCAGCAACCCTGGCTACAGTTAGCAAGCCTGGCTTGTGTCTCACATCTTGTATGGAGTACCTAAGTCCTCATAGGGGCAGAACTGTCAGCTGCCAATGCCTGCTTCCAGAGCCCAGCAGGCCTCTGGCTTTGGTCTTGCATACATCTTTGAGTTTCTGTTGTGTTTCTGGTTCATGGAAACGTTTATCTTGGTTTTGAGCCTGGCTATATCCTTTCGATTTTTTCTTTTTATATTTTATGTATCATTGCTGTATGTTAAGTCAGAGAGGCTACATCAAACATGAGCTTATTATGTTATCATATTCAGAAGATCTGTGTTTGTTTTTTTTTAACATTTTGTTTGTAAATAATTTCAACCTTACAGAAAGCGTGCATGAATGGTAGAACACCTGTATACTTTCTGTCTAGATTCACCTTTTTTAGCACTCTGCCCCAGTTGCTTTATTATTTTATATGTACCCTCATGCTTATGCTCTCTCATGTACACACTCTCTCTTTCTTCCTCTCTGTATGGCATTTCCTGAACCATTTGAGAGTAAGCTGCATATATCATGGCCCTAAACACTTCAGAGTGTATTTCATGAGAATAAAAATATTATTTTATATAACCACATCTTAACATAGTTACCAATTTTAGTAAATCTAATATTGTCCTGGTACCTTTATCTACTTGTCATCTGTATTCTAATTTTCTTGGCTGACCAAATAATGTCTTTATAGCATGTCTTTTCCCTTTAGAACAGTATCATTTCTAGGGTCATGTATTACAATTACTTGTCATATCTTTTTAGTCTCCTTTAAAGCTGTAACAGTTCCTCAACCTTTCTTTGTCTTTCATAACCTTAATACTTTTTGAGTAATGCATGCCCCCCTCCCTTTCTTAGCAGAGTTGCTTATTTTAGGTTTGTGTGGTGTTTGCTCATGATTAAATTCAGATTATGCATTCTTAGCCAAATTTCTTGGGGTGTTGCATCCAGAGGCAGTTATTACTCATCTGCCCCTCTTTTGTGCTGTTTATTTTGATCACCTGGTCAAGGTGTTGTCTGCTTTCTCTATTGCAGAGTTCTTGTTTTTTCTCTTAATTCTAATAAATATGTGGGGAGATATTTTAAGAACATGCCAGTATCGCTTGAGCGCAGGAGGTTGAGGCTGCAGTGAACTATGATCGCACCACTACACTCCAGCCTGGGATTACAGGTGTGAGCCACCAGGCTCGGCCAAGTGTTCTTTTTTATGCGTCTTTTGCTTGAGCTTGTTGAGCTTTTGCAATTTGCGGGTTTATCATTTTTATCAAATTAGAAAAAATGTTGACCATTATTTCTCCCCATTATTTTTTCTTTCACCACCCTCCCCTCCTTTGGGCACTCCCATTGCATATGTATTAGGCCGTTTAAAGTTGTCCCATAGCTCACTGATGTGCTGTTCATGTTTTTTCCAGTTTTTTTTCCTGTCTGTTTTATTTTAGATTGTTTCCGTTGCTATGTCTTAGGTTTCTAATTCTGCTGCAGTATCTAATCTACTGATAATCCAATCCAGTGTACTTTCACCTCACACATTGTATTTTTTACCTCTAGAAGTTAACTTTTGTTCTATTTTGTATCTTCCATGTGTCTAGTTAACATTCAGACTTTCCTCTAGCTTCTTAAATTTCAGAATATAGTTACAATAACTATTTTAACATCCTTCTCTATTAATTTGATAATCTGTGTCATTTTTAGATTAACTGAAATTGATTGGTTTTTCTCCTTATTATGGACTATATTCATTCTTCTTTGCAGCCTGGTAGTTTTTGTATTGGATGCCAGACATAGTGAATTTTAATTTGTTGGGTGCTATATATTTTTGTATTTCTATAAATATTTGTGAGCTTTGGTCTGAGATGTGGTAAAGTTACTTGGAAACACTTTGGTCCTTTTGGATCTTCTTTCTTTCTTTCCTTCCTTCTTTTCTTATCTTTCTTTTCTTTTCTTTCTTATGTTGCCTAGGCTGATCTCAAACTCCTGGCCTCAAGTAATCTGCCCACTTCAGCATTCCAAAGTGCTGGGATTACAGGGGTGAGCCACTATGCCTGGCCAGATCCTTTTGAATTCTTGCTTTTAAGGTTTGTTAGGTGAAACCAGAGTAAATTTTGTCCCACTACTGAAGCAAAACCATACTAAGTACTTAATCTCCATAAATTATGAGATTTTACACTCTAGCTTTTGGGAATCTAAACCATTCCTGGCCTTGTGTTAGCCCTTGCGATTGTTTCCTCTAATCCTTTTGGGCATCCTTTCCTTGACCTCGCATAGTTTACTTACATGGATACACTAATCCCTACTCAACTGAATATTTGAGGGGGATTATTTATAGATCTATCGGTTTCCTATCTTTAAGGATCACTGTCCTTCATTTTCCAATATCCCGAGAACTGCTGTTCTTAGGAATTTTTTTTTTCTTCCTGAGCACTTACATGGGCCTCAAGGGCTCTTTGGGCATTATTATTGTTATTTTAATAGACTTTTATTTTTAGAGCAGTTTTAGGTTCACAACAATATTAAATGGAAAGTCTAAGCTGGGTGCAGTAGTTTACACCTGTAATCTCAGGACTTTGGGAGGCTGAGGTAGGTGGATCTCTTGAGTCCAGGAGTTTGAGACTGACCTGGGCAACATGGCGAAACACTGTCGCTACAAAAAATTAGCCAGGCCTGGTAGCACATGCCTGTGGTCCCAGCTGCTCAGGAGGCTGAGATGGGAGGATTGCTTGAGCCCAGGAGGTGGAGGTTGCAGTGACTGACGTATGATCGCACTACTGCACTCCAGCCTGGCAACAGAGACCCTGTCTCAAAAAAAAGAAAGTACAGAGAGTTCCCATTTACCCCCACACCCACCCACACAAACAACTTCCACCATTATCAACAACCTGTACCTGGGTAGTACATTTGTTAAAATCAATGAACCCACTATGACATATAATTACCAAAGTCCATAGTTTACGTTAGGGTTCTGTCTTGGTGTTGACAAATGTATAGTGACATATATCTACCATTATAGTATCATACAGAATAGTTTCATTGGCCTAAAAATCTGTGATGAATGTGCTCTGCCTGTTGGAAACCACTGATTTTTTTTTTACTGTCTCCATAATTTTGCCTGTTTTAGAAAGTCACATAGTTGGAATCATATAGTATATAGCTTTTTCAGACTGGCTTCTTTAACTTAGTATATGTATTTAAGTTTTCTCCATGTCTTTTCACTGCTTTATAGTTTTTTTTCCTTTTTAACACTGAATAACTATACATTACCTAGATTTACCACAATTTATCCATTCACCTGCTGATAGACATCTTGGCTGCTTCCAAGTTTTGGCAATTATGGACAAAGTTGCTATAAATGTCTGTGTGCAGGTTTTCATGTGTACATAAGTTTCAAACACATTTGGGCAAATACCAAAGAGTACAATTTCTAGATTGTATAGTAAGAATATGTTTAGTCTTGTAAGAAACTGCTGAACTTCTGAAGTGTCTATGATTTTGCATTCCCACCAGCAGTGAATGAGAGTTCCTGTTGCTCCACATTCTTTTCAGCATTTGATGGTGTCAGTGTTTTGTTGGATTTTGGCTATTCTGATGGATATGTATTAGTATCTCATTGTTTTAATTTGCAGTCCCCTAATGACATGTAATGTGAAGCATCTTTTCATATGCTTATTTGCTATATGTATCTCTTCTTTGGTGAAGTGTCTGTTCAACTCTTTTGCCCATTTTTAAAATTGGATTGTTCATTTTCTTATTGGTGAGTTTTAATAGTTCTTTGTATATTTGGGTAAGAGTCCTTTAACAGATAAGTCTTTTGCAAATATTTTCTCCCAGTCTGGCTTGTCTTCTCATTCTCTTTATCGTATATTTTTTATAGTTTCTTAGGTGTTTGAGGAGAGAGGGTAACTCTACTCTTTGTTATTCAGTCTTGACTGGGGATGGAAATCCTTGTAAGTTGCATTTGAGAAACTTAATGGCAATCTAATTTTCTTGGCCTTTTAAGTTACTTTTACTGAGGATTTATTTTTCCCGTTTTGTTTAAAGTCTAATTGTTTTACTAAGCTATGTCTCAGAGTTGATCATTCCAAGTCACTTTTTATTGGTACCCAAGGCCCCTTTCAATATTTAGGTTATAGTTTCTTTTATTTCCAGAAGGTTTTCTTGGATTGTATTTTCAAGTATTTGGTTCCATTGCTTTAATTTTCTTCCTCATGGACTTCACTTATGCATATATGTTGTTCCCCGCTGGCCTATCTTTCATTCACCTACTTTCTCTCTGATCCTTTTGATTTCATTTGTATACTCCTAATTCTTTCCATGCTTTTCATTAATGCCCTTTATTAAAATTTCACTTGAATCTATTCTTTCTTGACAACTTGTAGTTGCTTTTTCATATCCTCAAATGCTTGGCTGCTAATATTCAATTCAGTTTAGACCGTAATGTTAACTGTATCCTTTAGCCCCATGGTTGATTTTTTTTTTTAGGGGGAATAATTTTCATCAGCTGAAATGCTTCGATTCTCACTTTATGTCTTGGCTTTTGTTTTTGTTTTTGAGACAGGGTCTTGCTCTATTGCCCAGGCTGGAGTGCAGTGGCGTGAGCAGAGCTCACTGCAGCCTTGACCTCCGGGCTCAAGCGATCCTCCTGCCTCAGCCACCCAAGTAGCTGGGACTACAGGCATGTGCCACCATGCCTGGCTAATTTTTAAATTTTTTATACAGATGAGGTCTCATTATGTTGCCCAGGCTCGTCTCAAAACTCCTGAGCTCAAAATATCTTCCCACCTTGGCTTCCCAAAGTGCCAGGATCACAAGCATGAGCCACCGCGCCCAGCTGTTGCTGTTTTTTTAATAGTAGTTTAGATTAATATGGTCTACTATTTTCTAATTTTACTGATTTGTTTTTGAACAAGGTTTTCATTCAAGAGCATCTCTTTTATTCTGCCTTCCTCAGTGCAGTTTTTTCTTCTTTTTTTGTGCTTTTCCTCTACTTATCAAGGGATTCTCTCTCCCTTTCCTCTCCTGCCTCTCTTCTTATTGTAGTAAAAAACATAAAATTTACCATCTTAACTGTTTTTATGTACATAGTTCAGTAATGTTAGGTATATTTATATTATTGTGAAAGAGATCTTATAACTTTTTTATTTTGCAGAAGTGAAACTTGGGCTATGTTTCTTTGTATGCCTTGTGACTTATTGTTGTTGGTATTGTTGAGGCTTGGGCATTTGAATAAATACCCAGTTGTTGTCTTTACAGACTGCTTCGTGCAGGGGAAGACCTTCACCAATCAGCCTAGTTAGAGATTTCATGACCTCCCAAACCTGTTCTGGAGATTTGTCTTCTCTGGGGTTATGCATGTGCCTTTAGTTGTTCCCTGAGCCCCTTGTCCCTACTTCTTTTCAGAGCCCATAATCTCTTTCTTCCCCTGGTTTCTTACTGCAGCTCTAACATGCCATGGTGATCACATCTGTTTTCAGTGGCTTCCAAACAAGGCCTTCTTCAGTCCTGTCAGCCTTCCGAGTCACGCAAAACAGAAAATAGTCCCTCAGACAGCCCCCACAGTACCCAGAACATTGGACACATGGTCCCCTCTTTTTTTTCCATCCCAAGAGAAGATCTGTGGTGTGGAAGAAGCCATATTATGTCAGATAGGGAGAGGTGTAGATGGGACCACAAAACATCACAAATTTTCCTTTCCCATTTACTGGAAACCCTTCTTGGTTTCATGCTGGTCTAGGTGCTATATAGTTTCTCATGGAATCTCTACAGTTCTCTCAAAGGTGTTCTGGTCCGTATATTGTTGTTAACTCATTGTTTCTGTGAGAGTGAGAGGCTGAAGTGAAGCTTCCTAGTTCTCCATTTCCAGAATGATGGTGTGGTGTTGAGGGAAGGGAGGAATTTATAATATTGTTCAGAAGAGTTGGCATTCTTCACAGCAGTGTCTCCAAGGAGTACCACCTTTTCTCTATATATCTGATTCTTCTCCAGAAGCATGGCTTCTCTGAGGCTGCCAAGCCTCTTGCTTGTAGTCAAGTGCTGAGAACTGTCAAAATCATGACCCATGTTCCTTATTTGACATTTAATTGGAGTTTTTATTTTGGGGTTTTTTTATGCTTCATCTAATTCTTCCATGCCCCTTGATTTTTTTTTTTTTAACCAAATCTATTAAGCCTCCTCTCCCTTGCTTTCCCTACTCACAGGCTTGCAGCAGTTTACAATAGTGGGAGTTACACTTATTTATTTAATTACAGGTCATTTGAAAATTTTTGTAATAGCCCTTGTCTCTTAGTAATGCCGAAGGTATGGCTCATATGTATTTTATTTTTATTCTTTTTATTGATTCTGTGGTTCTTTGGGGAAGGTGTGTGGTTTCACCATTTTCCTGCAGACCTGGAAGTCAGCCCCATATTACCTTTCAGTATGCGTAAAAAGACAACTACTGTTTATATTATTGTGGCTCATATCCAGGAGCCACAATAGAGTATGAGGTTCCTACCTTATCCAGGCTGTGCTGTTCTCTACAGGTTCTTGAGCAGGCCAGAGTGGAAATCCCCCTGTTTCCCTTCAGCATTGTTCAGTTCTCTTTTAAGGCCTTTTCACCTGTCCTCACTGAGGAGATGAACAAAAGGGTAAGTGAATGGGTTCTGCTGAATGATTTATTTAGTGACTTATTATAACCTCTCATCATTAAGGAAAGTAATACATGCTTTATTTAATTTGTTGTGTTTTTCTCTAGATTTTTACTATCTGCATATTAACATTTAAAAATATTTTTATGAAAATGGGAATCAGACTATGCATACTGTTTTGCAACTTTATTTTTTCATTTAACAGTATATCATACATCTTTCTGTATCACTACATATCTTATTTCCCTTGTTTTTAATGGCTACATAGTATTCTGCTATATGATATACCTATTAACATTTGTGCTTTATACATTTTTGCTATTACAAATAATACTTCAGTGAACATCCTTGGACATTTGGCAAGTATTTATATCAAAAAAATCTTTGGTGAATAATCCCATGCATTGACTCATGATTTCAGTTCTCTTTCCATATTCATTCCCATACTATATTCTGTTGTTTTTCCTACAGATGAGGATCAAGTGGACAGAGATATCAACTGTCTATGCTGGGCCATTTAGCAAAAATTGCAATCTCAGGGCTCTGAAGAGGCTGTTTAAAAGCTTTGGCCCAGTCCAGTCAATGACTTTTGTTCTTGAAACCCGTCAGGTAAGACCGGAAAATTCAGATTTCATTTTCTAGATTAGTGTTAGACATTCAGGTGACTGCTTGGGCCATGCAGATAGCAAATATTCGTAAAGTAAGCTTGATTGCTACCAACTGGAGTGTGAGACATACTCTAATGAGAGCAGTTGTTGACCCACAAGAATGTATACCCAGTATTGTGAGATCTTTTGTTGTGTGTGTTTAAAGAATTGAGAAATCTGGCTGGGCGCAGTGGCCTATACCTGTAATCCCAGCACTTTGGGAGTTTGAGGAGGGAGGATTGCTTGAGCCCAGGAGTTCAAGACCAGCCTGGGCTCAAGCAATGTGAGACCACATTGCTACAAACAATTTAAAAACAAGAATTAAGAAATCTGTCAGTTTTCATATGTTGGCTCCCATTTCTCAAATACCAGGCCATACGAAAAAATATGTCTGCTGGTTGAATATAACCTGTGGTCCTTATGATTGTACCTCAGCTTTAAATGATAAAATACTCTTTCAAAAAGAGAAGTAACTTTCATATCTTAGAAAGTTACTTCTTTTTTTACATTACAGAGTAGGCTCATGGCTTGCTTGGTTAAGATACAGGAGGAAGATTATGGGAGGGCTTTTGTTGTTATTGTTATCTCTTATCTCTTAGGGTAAGTTTTTGGTATTGTAGGTTTGTATTTACATAAAAGCCCTTTAAAGAGATTAGTTTTACTTTAACAAAAATAATACTTGCATATGGTTTTAAAAATTTATGTAGTTCAAAAGGACTTCACAAGTTATGTCTCCATCTTCACAGTCATAACAATACCATATCAATAGATAAAGTTTATATGTGAAGCAATAACATCATAAGCATATAGAGACATGGAAGAAATCATGAAAAGAAAAATGGAAACAGTGTAATGTAGGATGTTTGTAGAATGATATACAATAAAGGTAACAATGGAGGCCTCTAGGGGGAAGAATTAGGCAGCTAGCTAATGGGATTAGGGGAAGACTTCACTGTAAATATATTGTTCCTTTAGAATTCGGAACTAGGTAACTATTAAACTGGTGTATTACAATGTATGAAAGTGAAGTAAAAACACTTCTAAAGTGATCTAAGTGCAGGATCCTAGATATTTTAAAATGGCTGTCTCTAAATTTTTTAATTTAATTTTTATTTTATTTTTATTTTTGAGACAGAGGCCCAGGCTGCAGTGCAGTGGTGCCATCTTGGCTCACCACAGCCTCTGCCTCCCCAGTTCAAATGATTTCTCATGCCTCAGCCTCCCAAGTAGCTGAGACGACAGGTATGTGCCCCCACGCCTGGCTAATTTTTGTATTTTTAGTAGAGACTGGGTTTCACCATATTGGCCAGGCTGGTCGCGAACTCCTGACCTCAAGTGATCCACCTCCCAAAGTGCTGGGATTACAGGCATGAGCCACTGCACCCAGCTTCCAAATCTTTTATTAATGGCTTTTCTATGACTAAAAATAAAAATACAAAGATTGTCCCTGAGAAGATGGATTGGGGGATGAGAAGTGTATAGCAAGGGACTATAACATCTTCCTTTCTCTTGGCCCCTTTTTTTGGTTGCGGGGGTGGCGGGTAAAATACATATAAAATAAAATGTACCTTTTTAACCATTTTTAAGTGGCATTCAGTATGTTGATATTGTGCAGCTATCATCACCATCCATCTCTAGAACTTTTTCATCATCCCGAACTGAAATTTCCTATTAAGCAATAATTTCCTATTACCCCTCCCCCCAGCCCCTGGTAATCATTGTTTTACTTTCTGTCTTTATGAATTTGACTACTCTGTGTACGTACCTCACATAAGTGGAATCATACAATATTTGTCCTTTTGTGTCTGGTTTATTTCATTTAGCATGTCTTCAAGGTTCATTCATGTTGTAGCATGTATTAGAATTTCATTTTCAAGGCAAAATAATATTCCATTTCATGTATATACCACATTTTGTTTATCCATTTGTTGATGGACATTTGGGTTGTTTCTTGTTTCTACCCTTTGTTTTGTTTGTTTTTTTTTTTTTTGAGATAGGGTCTTGCTCACCCAGGCTGGAGTTCAGTGGCGTGATCACAACTAACTACAGCCTCAACCTCCTGGGCTCGAGCAATCCTCCCACCTCAGCCTCCTGCTGGGACCACAGGCATGCACGCCTGGCTAATTTTTTGTAAGACAGGGTCTCTCTATGTTGCCCAGGCTGATCTTGAACTCCTGGACTCAAGAGATCCACCCACCTTGGCCTCCCAAAGTTCTTGGATTACAGGCGTGAGCCACTGTGCCTGACCCTGGGTTGTTTCTACCTTTGACTATCATGAATAATGCTGCTATGAACATGGTTGTACACATATCTGTTCAAGTCCCTGCTTTCAGTTCTTCTGGGTGTATACCCAGAAGTGGAATTGATGGATCAAATAGTAATTCTATGTTTAATTTTTTGAGGAACCATTATACTGTTTTCCACAGTGGCTATACCATTTTACATTCCTACCAGCAAAGAACAAAGGTTCCAACTTATCTACATCTTCACTGACACTTGTTTTCTATTTTATTTAATAGTAGCCATCCTAATGGATGTGAAATGGTATCTCATTTGGGTTTGATTTGCGTTTCCCTAATGATTAGTGATGTTGAGTGTCGCAGGCAATTTGTACATCTTTTACAGCAAAGTCTATTCACTTGTTTGCCCTTTTTTTCTTATTTATTTTTTTCAGTTCCAGCTACTCTGCAGTGTTTGCCCATTTTTAAATCAGGTTGTTTGGCTTTTTTATTGTTGAATTGTAGGATTTCTCTGTACATTCTGGATATTAATCTTTTATTAGCTATGTGATTGCAACTATTTCTCCATTCTGTGGGTTGCTTTTTGACACTGCTGTTAGTGTCCTTTGATATACAAAAGGTTTTAATTTTTATGAAGTCTAATTTGTCTATTTTTAATTTTGTTGCCTGCCTTTGATGTCATATTCAAGAAACCATTGCCAAATCCAGTGTCATGAAACTTTTCTATGGGAAGGCTTTTATCTCCATATTGATGCTATGGCTCAGATAATCACAAAGATTTAGTTACTCCGAGTTAACAAACAGAAAAGCAGACCATTTGAAGATGTAGCCTATCCAGTGGAAGAACTTATCCTTCCCAAGCTTATAAAGTTAAGCCAAAAGACAAATGGGAATCTCTGCCCGTGACTTGCAGTGATGACTTTAGTGATGCATAATAAATATTATGAAAAGCCTGTTGGGTAGTTCCATTTTAAATGACAAAGTTATTTGTTGTCTGAAAGCTAGTTTCTGAACTTTGATGATCCCATTTAAAGTTGACAGTTTACAATCAATACTTGTGTAGCCCAGCACAGTAAAGGCATCCATTCTGGTGGCTTTGGCCACTGTAGTTTGAATCCTTTCCCCAACCCCTTCTTTAGCAGTTTGAGCTGGAAAGCAATGATGAGGAAATCTTGGTCTTTCTGCAGCCTCATCTCTGTATACAGTATGAAGTCCTAGAAGCTGCCCAGCTGGCCATAGAATCCTTGGATGGTATTCTGGTAGATGGTATCTGCATCAAGGTAGGGTGACAAGAGAAAGCCCCCTTTGCTTGGGTCTGGCCTACCACAGCCTGTATTTATAGTGCCCCAGGACATATAGGAAACACTCTCAAGAGGCCCACGCACAAGACTTTGTTATGGAAAGTCTTCAGCCAAGTCTAACATTCTCCTACTGGCAGTGATTGAAGACATAACGGCTTTCATTTGTGTCAGAAATCATCCTGGGCTAGATTTGGGTCTTCCTTGCATTCTTTGTTACTACTTAAGTCCCCTGTGGTTTATTCTGGTTGGTTCTTTGTGGTTACCCTTTTCTTCACCTTTCAGGGAGATCAAATGGTGGTATTTTGAAGTTTCTTGTGCACATAAACAGAATTTCATTAAGGGTGGGAGGCAGGAAACTGAAGAGAATATGTTTACATGAAAATATGTATTTATCAATTAAGTCTCTAACATAATTCTGTGAGGCCATTATCTTTAGTTTCCTTTTACAGAAAAGAAAAGAAACGGAAAATTTTAGGAAACTGAAAAATGAAGTTATTAGTAATGGCAACAACTTGCTAGTATCCAATAGGCCTGAGGATTAAATTGATTTTCTACCACTAACACCAACTTTCCTTGGTTAGGTGCAGAGGCCTGTGACAGAGCTCACGCTTGATTGTGACACCCTCGTGAATGAGCTGGAAGGAGATTCTGAAAACCAAGGCTCTATATATCTGTCTGGAGTGAGTGAAACCTTCAAAGAACAGCTATTGCAGGAGCCCCGCCTCTTTCTTGGCCTGGAAGCTGTGATCTTGCCTAAAGATCTTAAAAGTGGAAAGCAGAAAAAATACTGTTTCCTGAGTAAGTCTATGCTACTGAATGTAGCTTTGGGGAAGGAAACTGGGGATGGTGATAACATGAGGTCAGAGAAAGGAAGATTCACCTCCTGGGCTGGACCAGGGCAGCAGTTCCTGATTCTGTCCTTCTCCTTTGACCCTGGCCAGGCAGCTTGGATGGTGATCAGCTTTCTTGGCCCTTAATAACATAAGGTGGGGGTTCTTGCTTTCAGAATTCAAAAGTTTTGGCAGTGCCCAGCAGGCCCTCAACATTCTCACAGGCAAGGACTGGAAGCTGAAAGGCAGGCATGCCCTAACCCCCAGGCACCTCCATGCCTGGCTCAGAGGCTTACCACCTGAATCAACAAGGCTCCCAGGGCTTCGTGTTGTACCTCCCCCCTTTGAACAGGAGGCCTTGCAGGTGAGTGAGTGAAGGCGTCTTGGAGAAGATGTCAGGAGAGTCCTGCTCAGTGACACTTAATCCTTTAATCTTTTTTTTTTTTCTACCCTGGCCCTCAGTCTTATTTCACTCTCCAGCTTCCTCCAGTCCTGGCCACATCTTTTCTCGCAGATCTCTCATACTTTTGCCCCCACCATACCTGCTAAACTTAGTTTTTTAGTCTTCCAGATCTCCAAGGGACTTTGAAGGACAAAGGCAGGAAGTCAGAGAGCTGGACAATTATTCAGTGATCTAGTCTAGGGTTTCCCAAAGTGTGGTATATACACAAGATAAATTGTGGTTGTCATAGATGGTCTTTTCTTTTTTGTTTTCACTTTTATGATTATGGACTTGTCCGTCTTTTTATTATATCTAAGACATCTGAATGGACTTGTTTTGCTAATACTTGTTAAAGTATACAATAACTACATTGAGCCTATGATTTTGTGGATGGCATTAGTTAGACAAGGCTAAGGAAGAAATTAACTCACTTTATGGAAAAATGTTAGAGGGATATACAAGCAGAAGAGTGGAGGTAGAAGGTAAATGGCTGAAGCTTGGGAAACCCTGTCTTAGTCTAATCTCTCATACTTAACAGATGAAAAGTAGGGGCTAGAGTTGGTAAGTCACTTGCCCAAGGTCACAAAGAGACTTAATGGCAGAAGCCAGACTAGACCCCTCATCAGCAATGTGGCTCCCCTAGCTTGGGGTCTTGGAAGACCCATGTGGAGGAAAGGACAGTAGCTGTCCTCCCCTGAGGAAGTCCTTAGCCAACTTGGAGGCCTGGGGATGCTGGGTCAGCAGAGAACCTGCAGTGTGGGCTCCAGTGTTAGAAAAGGGATTTGTCTGGAACCTTTACTGGAATCCCATAGCCTTAGAGGCAGAGGAAGAGTGTTGCAGCCCTTCCAAAGGTAACGAGAGAGTGTTCTGGCTGAGTATCGACACATGGCTTTGATCCCAGACTCTGAAACTGGACCACCCGAAGATAGCAGCCTGGCGCTGGAGCCGGAAGATTGGAAAGCTCTACAACAGCTTGTGCCCGGGCACTCTCTGCCTCATCCTGCTGCCAGGAACCAAGAGGTAAGGACTAGAAAGGGTATCCCTTCAGGACTCTGTCCCCTGGATTTCAGCTGTTCTTAGAGAAAAAGCCTTTTGCTGATATTTAGGCACATAGTGAGGACTTACATGAATCATCTCTTTAATTTTCACCGTTCTAAAAGATAGGCATTGTATTCCCATTTCACATTTATATGCTCTTGTATAACTACATTTATTGGTCCCTCAAGGAGATAATTTATCCCCAGTTAAAACCAGGAGTCTTATGTCCTTACTGCTCTCTGGAGTAAGAAGTAGCTGCTAACCCCACTTGAGTAAAAAAAGTAAAGTCTCAGAACAAGCCCTAGGCTTAGGTGTAACCACTCTACATGTGAGGAATGTGTTCCTGCCTTCTGTACCCTTTTCCCCATTGACACCTATGTTTTAAGAGATAACAGGGCCTGGTTTGCTGATTCTAAGCCTGAGGAATACTGGAGCAGGACTTTGAGTCTAGTTGCAGCTTTATCACCTATCTCCTCTGACAAGTGGCCAAGCTACTTCCCCACTGTAGGTCTCAATGTCCTTTTAGTAACATGAGGGATTTGGAATAAATCAGTTGATTTTCAAACCCTTTTAACTGTAAACCCTTTCTTTAAAGAAAAACTGATATTAAATCTTAAAGCATAAAGATGGGCAGTTTTGGAATGAGTGAGTGGGCAGCTAAATGAATGAGTGTATATTGGGGAAGGGAGGGAAAGATGGTGGCTTTTTTGAACAGTGTGAAAACCTTGGGTTGTGTTAATTTTTAAAAGTCCCTTGAGATTCTGACATCTGGTTAGGCGCAGTGGCTCATGCCTATAATCCTAGCACTTTAGAAGGCCAAGGTGAGCGGAGCACTTGAGCTCAGGAGTTCAAGACCAGACTAGGCAACATGACAAGACCCTGTCTCTACCAAAAACACACACACAAAAAAAAAAACAAAAAAAAAAAACCCAGCCAGGTTTGGTGTTGTGTGCCTGTGGTCCCAACTACTTGGGAGGCTGAGGCACGAGAATCACTTGAACCCAGGGGGCAGAGGTTGCAGTGAGCTGAGATTGCACCACTGCACTCCAGCCTGGGCTACAGAGTAAGACTCTTATCTCAAAAAAAAAAAAAAAAAAAGATTCTTACATTCTAGGAGTTGACAGAGCATGAATACCTCTGGCCTTGAAGGTGGATCAGAAGAAATTCATTTCCTAGCATAAAGTTCTTATAACATGCATCTGAGGACCATTAGGGAGATGGTCTACCTACTGGGCACCTTTGAAAGAACCGCTTTCTCTGAAAAGCAGAAACAAGTATTAGGTGCTTACATTGAGGGGAAAAAAAATCTTAGACCAACATACTTTAAACAGGCTTGTGGGTAAGCTAACAGGAACAGGTTAAAAAGTGACCACAAGTTGCCAGTAAAAGCTTTTTGGTTAAGATGTGGGCTCTGGGGAACAGACAGACTTGCTCCTCAGGGGCAGTGTATGGTGGTAGGTGGACTGGGTTTTCATGTTCTCACGTAGAATACTTAGATTACAGTCCACCATTGTTTAGGTAAACTAAGTCAAGAGTAGCCCAAATCATTGTTCTTCCTGGATGTTCCACAGAGGGTGAAGCCAGAGGAGGAAGTGCTGGGGTCAGGGAGCAAAAACACTTAAGTTGTGACTGAGACAAAGGTCCTAAGTTTGACAAGTCAGTAGAATTAAGCACCCCCTGGAAGCAGCAAATCCTGTGGTGAAGAAACCTGAACTACTCCTATCCTTTAAAAGTCACATTCTGATTTCTGTAGACATATTGATCAAACTCAGCAGCAGTAGCATGCATTTCCCCAGGCTGTGGAAGCTTGCTGTGTGACTGACTTCTCTGGGCCTTGTTTGTGCAGTTGTGTCCGTGATGGCAGCAGATACTCTTGGGAAACGTTGGGGAAAAAAGGAATAGCAAAAACAATAGAAGGTTTCCTTAGGCTGGGGTCTTGATGCAGCTCTTAATCCTTACATTTTTGGTAGCTTCTTAAATTAATATTGAAAACAACAGTAATGTATTAAACCCAGGTACTGTGCTAAATGCTTCTATATGCATTTTTGGTTGAGGTTGTCAGAATCTTTACTGAACAAGTGGAGAAAAAGTCTCAGATTAACCAATTTTCCTAGGGTCACATAGCTAGTAAGTGCATAGTCAGGACTTGTACCCTGATGGTGTGTCTGACTCCAGAGCAACTCTCCTGCCCTCAAAGCTCTAGTTCTCCATACACAAAAGTCTAGTGTTTGCATGTTTAAGTTCATACATCAGGTGGAGACAGATTCTGTGTTTGTCTTTGCTCATTTCTACCTGCTTTGCCTCAGAGAGCTCCTCAACGCTGACCCAGTTCCATGAATATTCATTACAAGGTGGCAGGGAACTAACAAGTATTGAAGGCTCCTAAATTCCAAGCACCACACCAGGTTTTTTACAACAAACATTGTTAAATAAGTTAATGTTTTGTAACTTTTTTAAACAGCCTCTGGCACCTAGCAGGTGCTACAAAAGTATGGAATGAACAAAGACTAAGACTCTTTAACAGCAACTTATAAGGGATCTAATGACAGATTGCTATTATTGATATCCTGGTTCTGTCACTTAACAGTTGTGTGACTTCAGCAAGTCATATAATGTCTATGAGCTTTTTTATTTTTTAAATGAGGATAACACTTGTACCTACATCAGTGAGCAGTTTTGAGGATTAAATGAGACAAGTGCTTAGAACAACTCTTGGCATGTAGTAAGTGCTCAGTGTATGTTTGCTATTGTCGATAGTCTTCACCAAATCCCTGTGAGATAGTAATTTAAATATTTCATAGTTTTATAGATATGCCTCATATCTCTTAATTGGTAAAGGTAGGATTTGAATCTAGACCTCTGAGACTCATCAGTGCTTTTTCCATTAAACCATCTTCAGCAGGCAGCTTTCCATAAACCTTCCTGCCCTTGCCCCATGGCACACACACATACTTGGAAAAATATCTCCTCTAACTAGGCATTTATAACCATTCATTCAACCTTATGGATAAAAACATACCTTTGTTTCTTATTTATTGCAGCACTCATGGTTCACTCTCTGGTCTAGGACTGATGGGAATAAAAGAGGAAGAAGAAAGCGCTGGCCCAGGCCTGTGTTCGTGAGTCGGCCTGCCATGTTTCCATGTGCCATTTCTTACCCCTTGTAGGCAATGGCAAAGAATGTGGTCAGGCTGTAGCCTCCCCAACCAGCAGACAGCTTTATGGAAACTTGGTATAGCAGCTAAAAGAGTTTAGTTTGTTTATATGGCATGTATAAGTTTTCAATAAATGCCTAAAGTTCAAGCATAGTATGGGGATGTCCACAGATTGTTTCTTTGTGTCATTGAGTTTATGTGCATAGGTGCGGTACAAGGTGCTCATTCCATGTAGCACCCCTATTACGTGGTATATACTGCTAAGGAAACCAAGAGGAGTGATTACTCAGAAAACCAGCCGATTATGCAATTTGTCAAAGTTGTAATGTCTGTGAAGCAAATTTCTTTAAACTGTTTTCTTATTGACAACTCTTAAAAAATTGAAGGACAATGATAGCTGAACTGAGAAATCTGGCAAGTCCACCAGGCAGTGGAGTGGAAGATTCTTTTAGTTTTTTTAACCAGCCCTGGAAACCCCTTCCATTCCACGTTTAGGAATCCTCCTTCCCTTCAGAACATGACTGCAGTGCCACCCTTCACCAGTAGGTGCCTCCATCACACCATCTCTCCCTCTAGGAACTGGAAACTTGAAATTCAGTAAAAGCCGTTTTAATCAACTCTCAAACTGATAACAATCTGTGTTGGAAAGGACATGGGGCATAGGCACCCAATTCCAAAACTACTAGAAATATTAACTGCCCTCCAGAAAAGATGAATCTGGCATACAGTATGTATCATACCCAAAAACCTCGTAAATTGCTCTGTACACTGAGACCCTGCAATTCTACAGCATTATCCTAGGATACTAGGATAGCTACACAAAAACATGTAATGAAGGAGCTATCAGAGGGTTATTACAATGGAGTTCTAGGTAGCCAGTTCTAATGTGTGTGTGAGAGAGAGTAAATAAAATCTTCGGTGAAAGAGATCTTCAAGAAGAGGCAGTAGACCTCTGGATCCAGAATGCTTGACTTTGAATCCCAGCTTTTTAAATTATTGTGTGAACTTGAATAAATTGCTTAACATTTCTGTGCTTGGGATAATAATGGTATGTATCCGAGAGGATTACAGATTAGTGAGATTATACATTCACAGTACTGTATATTATTTGTTGTATGAAGTCTGGAGGGATACAGAATAGCATGTAGTTTGAGTACACTTTTGTAGGAGAAAATATACAAAGCTATACATAGGCTTCTAACAAAACCTGCAAGGCTATATGCCAAAACGTTAATAGTATTTATCTATGGCTAGTGCCATTGACAAATCAGGTTTTAACAAATGCTTTTCTGTTGTAGACTCGATTTTTTTTAACATTCAACATATATTGCTTTTATAATTGGAAAATAATTCTTACCACCTGCTGTCAGGAGAAGAAAAGAAGAGAAAGATAATTCTACTTAAAATTAACTCTTAGGGTTGGGCAGTTGGAGCAGTGTTTAATCTTATAAATGTAGCTTCATAAGATCTGGTCCTATATGAAAGTTTAAATGTAGCTTCTGTAAGATCTGGCCCTATGTGGAACCAGAACTGAAGAGCTTGACTTGGGATCAGACACCGCAACTTGATTCAAGTCCCTTCATCAGGAGGAAAGTTCCCTAGGTGAATTGCCAACTTCCGCTGCAAGGCCCTGAGAACAACTTGAAACTGACAGTGTTGTTGGGTTCCTTCCTGCCCAGCTGAGCTCCAAAGCTGTGAGAGCTTAGCTGCTGTTTACCTCTTGAGGCTCAA
The DNA here is from genome assembly GCF_000001405.40 of Homo sapiens. Classification (NCBI taxonomy): domain Eukaryota; kingdom Metazoa; phylum Chordata; class Mammalia; order Primates; family Hominidae; genus Homo; species Homo sapiens. The sequence continues at coordinate 20,851,244 of NC_000016.10, forward strand.
GTCCTGAGAGATAAATTAAGTGTCTGCCTCGGATATGAAGAGGCCTGGGTTGGAGCTTCACCTCCCACACACACCTGAGTATTTTGGGGCAAGTCACTTAACCTCATTTGAGGCTATTTCCACAGCTGTATAAAATAAGGAAATAACTATTTTGATTATTGAGACATTTGTGGAAAATAACACAGTAATGCACTATGTGTGAATTAATTTCCCTCTCTGGGCCTGTTTCCTCACCTTTAAAATAGGGGAAATTAGTACTTCATAAGGTTATGAGGATTAAACTAGGAAAAGTCAAGATTGAGTGCTGAATAAATGACATACTATTTTACTAGGGATCATCTCCCTGTACCAAGAGCACTCCACTTGCTCTCAAGAATAGCCAAGGCCATCTTTTTCTTAGGAAAAAGGGTAGGGGTGGAGGTTTCCCCAGGGATCCAACTCCAGAACTCTGCAGAGATGGGCCTGCACTACAAGGCCTCTGAGACTTCAGTCTGCACACTCTGTTCTTTAGCCTGATGCTCCACCTTTTGGAAGCCAAAGCTGCCAACTTGGCCTCTTGCAAAACACACATTCCATTCATAAGTGCGTTTGTGCATTTTTCCTCCCACACCCTTCTAGGCAGCCAGCGCAGAGCTGCCAAGGCAGCTGCTGGAGAAGCAGCTTCTTATGGGGGAAAAGCAACTCCAAGGGCTTTTACAGAACTCATGGTTTAGGCTTTGAACACATTACTCCCATTTTCTGGTCTCCTTGACCATAGGGGGGGTTGTTCATTTCTTTTTGCCCCCCTTTTTGTAAATAACCTCTTCCCTATTAAAAGGAAACCTATTAATGAAAATTTGAAAAATACAGAAAAATTTAAATCACAACTGATCCCACCATCAACAGTCAATGACTGCCAATATTTTATAATCGATCAACTTTTTCCATGATGATAGAAATTCTATTATTCAAAAGCAGAGTTTTAATAGCTGTGTAATATTCTAGCATTGATGTATGCCATAATTTCTAAAACAGTCCCTTTTGTTGACCTTGGAAGTTGTTCCCAAATGATGCTGCCAGTGATATCCTTGCACATACATCCTTGGGAGATATTTCTTTTAGGAAAAGTGCCTAAGTGAAATTATTGGGTTAAAGAGTACGAACACATGCTTTTAACTCCAGAAAGGATTTTACTGTTTACTAGCATAGATTTCTTTCAAATTTTTGCCATTTAAAATTTTTCATTGTATATTTAATGTCTGCTTATTTGAATACCCTTTAGATTGGCATCCTGCTTTTTTTCCCAGAAGCTTTTTGGTAAATTATTTTTCCTAAGTGAGTTGTTCATATCCTTTGCCATTTTTCTATTGGGAAGCCAGATCCTTTTCCATACTGAATTTTTAAGAGCGCCTTATGGATTCACTATATATAGTGTCCATTTACAAACTATTACAAAATTTTAGTTTGCTTTTTAAGGTATATCATTTTATGTTTAGTCTTTTGTGATTTCCTCTATTTGCTTTTATGCTTAGAAAGCCCTGACTGATCTCTGGATCCAATGACAAGTTTATATATTTCTAATGATTTAATGTCTATACTTCATAGCCTTATTTTTCTTGGAATTTATCTTGGCATGTAATAACTTTCTCCCAAATATTTAGATAATTTTACCCAATTATCTAGCTTTACTTACCCAATAAAGGAGGATGCTCCTTTATCATTTAAGTCCATGTGTATACTAGGGCCAGTATTCATGTTTTCTTCTGTCTTGTCATGTAGTAGTACCACACTATTGTGTAGCTCTATGATGTACTAGCAGTTTTAGCAGCATCACCCCAGATAAACACAGGGCCCATGGAGAGTCTCCATCAGCATGGATTACAGAACACTGTAGAGTTAAGATGCTTCGCTGCTGACTGCACTGGTGCTGCTACATTCCACCAGGACTTTTTCAGCACCCCTGAGTCAAGAGACGGGACAAGGGTCAGAACACTGAACAGAAGAATGTTAAACTCAGGTAGGAGCCTTATGTTTTTAAGACAGGGCATCCTCACAAGTCAACGTAAAGGAAAGGAAATGGAGAGGTTAGGCAAGCTCCCTAATCTTATCAGGCAGACTAACCCTTTTTGACCTACGTCAAAACTCAGAGCTAGAAGGATGACTTCCAGAGCCAATCCAGCCATGTGCTTCAGCAACTGATTTGAAAGGAGGGAAGAAGCCAGTGTTGCAACTCTTCCGTACTCCTCAGATCCTCAGCACTACCTTCAGTGCACCTTTCTTGCTAGAAAGCATTCCACGTGCAGTTAAGCTCATCTGGTAACTAAGTGAAGTTGTTTGTCCATCATCTAATTGAAAATTAGATTTTAGCTGTATATAATCTATACAGCCTGTGACAGCACTTTGAATAGCCCAGGCTCTATACAAGCCCCCAAATCAGTATCCTTCCACTTTATTCCCCAAACCTATTTGTAAGGCTCTGGCTGGGCTCCATAACTCAGAAGTGCCAAAGCACAGAAGAAACAAGCCCAAAAGAGCCAACTGGGGAATGTTTTAGAGGCATACTTTTTAAGTGAGGAAAACATCATCCCTTAAGATTTCCTTCCTGCCCCCACCTGGTCCTGTCCTTAGTAATGAGGAAGAGAAAAAGAGTTGCAGTTCATTGAGGAAATCTCAGAAACCTCTCCCTAATCAGAGAATGTAGACATGACTTCCAGAGCCTTTGCAACAGAAAAGAAAAAGTACACCTACTCCCACCACCATACTTACTTATTTTTACAAGATACCAACATGAGGCTGGGAATCTTTGGGGAGGCCATCAGGGTCTCCATGAAAGAAATGTGTAAGATGGCCAGTCAAGAGCTTTCCTGAATGTAAACAATAACTAGACAGAAAATACAATGGAAGGAAGCTAAGGGTCGTAAGTGGTCTAATCATCATACATCTAGAGTGTTAAGAGGCAGATGGGAATCCCAGGGATCACGTTAGTCTGAGCTTCTTCCCCCATCCCCAATTTGGCACAGAGGGAAATTAAGCCCCTAAGAGGGGCTGTGACTTGTGAAAGGTCATGTATGACCATGCCAACCCCCTCTCTTATTCTCTGGTTTCCCTGCATTACTCACCTAGCATTCCTTTGGAGAACCTTAAAAGAGCTTGTAATGTTTGAGCACTTATGTGTCATTGGGACTTTATCAAGACTTTTAAATCCTAGCACTCTGATGGAACCAAGAGTCTTTTAATTTTGCAGATGAGTAAAAGGAAACTTAGAGGTTCACTAACTTGCCGAAGGTCACATAGCAGTGGCATTTGACAGTTAAAGCCAGATACAGCTTGTTTCCTTTGCCTTAATGCACTGCCATACTGTTAAATCTAGGGGTCATGCATTTAACATACTGCTCAACTTCACTTTTTATTCCTCATGAGAATTCACATCAGTTGCAAAGGTAAGACTATTTAGGCAGTGGCCCTGTGAAGACTTATTTGCTCTTTGCCTCTAAGCACTGAGACCCCCAAAAGCCACCCTACTAAGCTTGGTATGTGGGAGGTCAACACCCATGTTTGGAGTCTGAGGATCCTGTACTTATCTGGATTGTTTTTCAAAGAATAAAAATTGTTACTCAATATCATGTTGGTAGAAGCTCCCAGTGGGTAAATTTTGCCCCAGAATAAAGTCACTGTTTTTTTTTTTTTGTAGAAATATCAATATTCAAGTAAACAAATTTATTAAATCCAACAGCAGGTAACCTTCCAAATAAAAAACATTAAAGGAAAAAATGTAGACATCAAAGACAAAAATGTGTGTAACAAGTCAATAAAAATACTCAAGGGGCCATTTGGAGAGTGCAACAGTGCAGAAAATACAAACAAAAGTATTAACTTTTGTCAAGTTTGTACAACCTCAACAAACAGACACACTGGTCACAAACCAAGAGGGATCCACAAAGGTGGAGGGTCACATGAGCAGTGGACTCATCACCTCAGCGGCTTAAGGCAGGGTATATCTGTGGGACCAATTCATCCAAGCCCCATGTGCCTATTGCTTCACATTCCCCCTTTAAAACCTAGTCATATTCATTAGTGCAACAGGTAAGAGCAATTAAGCACAGACGGAGCTGGGGACCAGGGTCAGAGGGAAGACACTTCTCCCAGAGCAAATGTATGCATGTCAGGGGGATGAAAAACCCCAGCAGCTGCTGAATGGCTTCCTTTGGCAATATCCAAGATTTGTGTTGAAAGGAGCAGGGAGGTTGGATGGGTGGCGGAAGTAGGTATTTATGAGATAGGCTGGGTTTCCAAGAAGAGAAGAATAGGGAGGACATGATGCCCAGCACCTGAATCAGAAGCAGAACCCAATGGTTATGCAAAGCTATTTGAACTATTTTGGCTTCTGCAACCAGTGCTCAAGAATCTATTTCATCTTTCGAAAAGGGGGAAAACCCCTGCCGATCCTCACCAACATGCAGTCCCAGTCCAGTTTAAACTGGATATGCAATTACAGCTTACCAGGGGAATAAACTCTGAGGGGGATGGATGGTTCGGAACCTTCTTTATATGATCAGAAAACACACTGTGGAATAAGAGGAGGATCAATGTCGCATTTCCTCAATGAGTCCCAATTAACACAATTCAACAACCTTAATAGTCCTTTCAGTCGTTTAAACAAGATACTGCTGGAGTCCTCCAAGAAGACCTGTCATTTACCAAGATGTTCAAGTCCCCCAAGGAAGACCTTTGTCAGTTACCAAGATGCTCAAGTCATAGCTAACCAAACATGAGAGACAAGAAAAACAGCAGAGCAGTCAAGTAAAATGCAACAAAAACCTAGCAGCAGCTTTCTTCTACGCCTTAACCTTATAATTGCATAACTGAGTCTACACCTTTTGGGCTTTGCTGCACTGAAGACCTCATTTGGAATCTGGCAAACCAAACATTCTTAAATACATAGGTTGGTGTAAAAGTAATTGTGGTTTTTGCCATACTTAATGGCAATACATTAAGTATGGCAAAAACTTACTTTTGCACCAACCTAACAGATCTGTTTTGGTTTGTAAACTTTTAGACAAGTTCTTATCCCAGTAACTCCCCACCACTGTTTAATACAATTTGGCACAGTATATAGTACATGAGGCCATCGAGTGTAACTACTATGGGACTCCATTTTGGCACCAGCCCCTAGAGACCAGTACTGCTTCAAAGACTAATACTGTGTGGCTTAATCCTTTCTCCCTTTCCAAAAAGACTAGTTTGTGCTTTCCTTGGGGAAGTTTAATATTGAAAACACTGCCTTGTACATTTTCAATTGTTATTTTCCTGGGCCCAGGGGTTTGGTTAAAATTTAGATCTTCACCCAGCTCTAGATTCATCTTCCCTTATCAGAAGGGCAGACATGGTTTCCTGGACCCAACTCACACAGGTGGGCAGCACTTCAGCTGCTGAGACAACCAGCTGAAGCATAGCAAAGCCCCTTACAGGAGGTGGGGTTAAGAACGATACATTGAGATTTGGCAAAGATGGGGGAAAGAGCAATTCAATGAAGCAGCACGTCATCTCATACCATCTTTCCAATAAACTGCTAAAGAAACATCACAAAAGCTGACAAAGCCAGTTGTCAAAACTGAGTTATTTCTTATTTCCCAACACACTTGTTTGTTGTTGCCCTCAGATGTTGCCGATTTCCAAAGTGGCGTCCACATCCTGCCCCTCTCCACATCACCCTGATGTTCTGTTGCTAAGCAAGGAGTGTACTGGCTTATCTGAGGGGCATGCATTCAGCCTCTTACACAGACTTACTGCTCACTCATTAAGTGGCAAACCTATTTCTAGGTTGAAAGGAACAAGACTTTTCACTTCCCAGAAGTATAACTTCAAACCCTACACACACCTCACCTTGGATCCCTTTGCAGAAAAACTGCATTTCTTGTGGTCATGAAAGAGTCAAGCATTGGCCCAGAGCTACTGCAGAAGCTTGAAATCTTTGCTGAGCATCAAGTACTCAAACTTGAAAGGAACTTGTAAGTCCCTCCCTGACTGCTCCCTTTTCTGGCTTCTCATTTGCAAATGGATCAATATAACCAAAAAATAACTAAATGGCTTTTTTGGTGGGGGATGAGGAGGCTAAATAGTTAATTTAAAAAACAACAAAATACATCCACTCTAGTACATCTAATGCACGGAATGTCTTCTTAAAGGGTGGGGAAGGAACCTAGTTTCTCCAGAGTACTCAGGGTCCTGGGCTGCCTGCCTCTTTTGTGCAGCTTTCTCTGATACACTCTGATCTGGGATGGAAAGGGCCTTATCTGGCCAAGAGCAGCCTGGCTTTTCCCTCAGTCAACCACTACCCAATCCAGAACCGGGGAAAATGAGTTGCAAACTGGCTTAATGAAAAAGCAGTCTTTTTAAAACCTCAGTCTGGGTACCCAGCTACAACTGATCCCACAGAACCTGCTGGGACCCCTGGAGACTTATTCAAGAGTCTTATTTAGCTAGAACAGAAGCCAGGCATCTGGCCCAAGACCCCCTTCAGCTTTCTAGCAGTACTATACCGTGGGTGATCTTAAAGTTTCCCATTTGCCCCTCTGAAGGAGGAACTGTCAGGTTTAGGATTTAAAAAAAAAAACAAATTCCAAGTATGTTCCCTATGGTCAATATCAGTTTTAGAAAAATACCAACTGCCAAAACTCTTTAATAATCCTTAAGATGGGAGCCCAGAGCTGTAAGGCTGCTCACAATGGAACTCAAAACATGCAATTCCTGCCCAGGCTGAGAAACATACCTGGGACGCAGCGGGGTATTAGGTTAAGGGAGAAACCTCCAAATGTTTAACAGACAAAGTCTCATTACCTCAAGAGTATAAATATTTTTATACGTTTTTATTTAAAAGATTCCCTTTTTAATCTGTTCCAAAGTGTTGGAAGCTGAACTATACAAGTTCCTGCCACCCATCCTTCCAGTACAGTTTTCTGAGGACATACTTTTTAAATGGAAAAATAACAGGAGGACCCTCTAACTGAAACCAGGTAGGCCCAGAGTGAGCTCCTCAGGCCCCTGTGGCAGCCTGGCCAAAGCTGGCCTTTATGGAGCCAGCGCGTGGAGAAGTCTGGGGAACCGGGGCCCTCCCTCTTGTGAGGAAAGGGCTGAGCAAACTCATGTTCTCTTTAGTGAAATGGTCCAAATTCAGATCCAAAAGCCTCCATTATGGCATTCCCTGGCACTCTTCTTATACTTTATACATTGAAGGCAGCTCCCTCTTTTATGGCCAGTATAAGCAGGCAAAGAAACAAAGGAATATAGATACATATATGTGTATATATATATATTTTATATAGGTAAAATATATACATATTTTATATATGTATATATACATATTTGGGGGTAGGGAAAGGAGAGGAGGGTCATGTAAACCTAAACAGTCATCACATTACCCCAAATGAGCCTGACTTTAACAAAAAGATAATAAATAACTCCTGGGGGTTAAGTGACAACATGGGTGCAGCAAGAAGGGAAAGGGCACAAATTTAACTATTAAATACACTTTGATATTTGTTTGGCAGAGTTCAGGCCAACCCCAGGCTTCTGCCCTTGCCAGACAAGTAAGCTGATGATATTCAAAGAAAAAAATAAAAATATTAAAAAAAAAAAAATTCAAGCAGAGCTCCATACCACAGTTTTCCTTCAAGTCAGTTGGCCGGCAGGCAGTTTCCCGACCACCAGGAACAGAAACTTTGGCTCCAAGGCAAATGAAACAAACAAACAAAAAAAAGTATTTCCACTTACAACATGAAAATACAGAAACTTCATCAAAGAAAGAAAACTATCAAAGAAGTCTACTTCCAGCAAAACTGAGGTAGCACTGCTTTCTCCGCATTCAATGCTTAAGTGGTTCTCAGTACAATGTGTTCTTAAAAAATGCTCACTTGACTGACAGGTGCAGCATGTTGATGGAAAAACTCAACATGAAATGCAATAGGTCAAAGAAGGAATGAGCAAGAAGTGAGGGAAATCAGGGTTCTGGATAAATTAGCTTAAAAGGGGGTTGTCACCAGACTACAAATGCTCTTGGCTGGCCTTGGCTCTCCAAGAGCTCTAAATCGCCTGGGAATTAATGCAATGTGGTTAACAGTTAACACTGCTATTCAAATCTGTGTAAATCTTTAAAAATAATTATTACAACCTAAATTCATCTATGTAAACAGCACTACACACAGTACAGACCTGCCCTGAAAAACAATATGCGAAACTGAGATCTGGCACTGTATCATTTTGTAATGTTAATTCAACCTAACAGTCCCATCCCCCCGCCCTGCTCTATGCCCTCCCCTACCAAAAAAAAAAAAAAAAAAACAAAAAAAAACAAAAAAAAAACCTAAATTTGTGCAAGAAATGGCAGGCTTATTCTATCTGAAGGCTTCAAAAAAAGATACACAACATGTAACCAGGTTCAAATATTCTGGGAGATCCCCCCAAAAAGGAAATAACCAAAATAACCAAAAAAATGAAGAAAGTGCCTAAAACATGATACAGCATTTTAGAGCCCTTTCAGATACAAGGCAGAGAAAGGTGTAAAGTAGAAAATATCCGGATCTTCAGTAATTTCCAAAATGGTCCAATTCCTCAGTTGGCTGCAGGGCAGCTGGCAGATCCTTGCTGCTGCTCCTGGGACAGAGCCACTAAGTCTGCTCCTCGGGACACAAGCCCTCAGGCCCTGAGCTGAGTGCACCTCTCCCTTCCCCTTCTCTTTTCCTTCGCTCCATTTCCCACTCCACAAAGGTGTCAAAGAGACTTGGCCAGGCCTCATCTTCACTGTAGTTGCTGAGGTCAGGGCCAATCACCTGAGTGAAGTTAAGGAACATGTTCCAAGTGTCCCGGGAGATGCCCTTGATCCCCGAGGGGTTCTCTGTTAGGAAGTTTAGCCATTGGTCCAATACCGGAGGATTGTTCTGGGTAAAGACTAGTTTCCACAGGGCAATGGCTATTTCCCGATGCAGTGACCGCTGCCCTTCTTCAGAGTCCAGGCCAAACTGAAATGTAAACCGGTAGAGATCCTTGAATTTATCCTCTTGTTTGGCTTCTGTTAAGAGGCTAGGGAACCGTGCACAGATTCCGTCAATGCTGTCTGCACTTATTGCTTTGCAGCCATCAAAAAACTCCTTCCTGCAACAGAAAGGAAAAGGACAATTAATCATTATAAACTATACTATTTACAGGCAATATACATAGTGATTAAGAGCAAGGCTTTCAGGCCAGATGGTCTGAATTTGAATTCTAACTCCTCCAACTAATTAGTCCTATTTCCTTACTTGTCAAATGGTAAAAATACCACCTTACTTCATAGGGTTTTGGTGAGGACTAAACAAATTACTATTCTGCTTCTAACAGTGCCTGGCACACGGTTGGCAGCTGATAATGGTTCATTTATTCATTCATTCATCTTCCCAAAGCTAAACTCAAGTCTCCTGCTCCCTGCCCTGTTTCCCGCTCTGCAATAGCGATTAAGCTGCGGATTCTTTCTCCTTCCAGAGGAGGAGGCTTCCTGTTTCCCTTCTGATTCTCTATGGGTTGTTTGTTTGGGGTATATTTTTAGAGATTGCCAAGGGAGACTTCTGGAGCCAAGGATTCTGAACCTGAGTAATTCTACCACCAGAGATCAAAATTCTATTATTAAAAAACAAAAATTATGTATGTATTTTTAACATCTATACAACCCTTTCAGCTTACAGCATGGTCTCGCATTGATCGTCTTCTCAGGGACTGTAGTATCTGCTGAAGAGGTGAGGCCTCTGAGGTCTGGAGGGTAACCTTCCTGGGGTGGGGGGCATGCAAACTACAAATTGTATGGCTAGGCCTCACAGTCAGTTCTTATTCACAACCCCGTGCTCTACAAACCACATTCTACAGGGACATATGACCAGAACAATATGCACAGCTACTGCTTAGTAACTGAGGCCAACTGACCTTATTATACACAGGCCTGGCTGAGGGCGGGCAACATGCTAAGTACCAGAAAGGGCAAGTGGCTTCATGGAGGGAGAGAGGCGTATCCCCTCCCCAGAGGCACTTACTATATTGGTACTCACAGTGCAAGTGGCTTCATGGAGGGAGAGAGGCGTATCCCCTCCCCAGAGGCACTTACCATATTGGTACTCACAGTGCAAGTGGCTTCATGGAGGGAGAGAGGCGTATCCCCTCCCCAGAGGCACTTACCATATTGGTACTCACAGTGCAAGTGGCTTCATGGAGGGAGAGAGGTGTATCCCCTCCCCAGAGGCACTTACTATATTGGTACTCACAGTGCCTGGCACATGCTGGGCATACAATAAATATCAAGTGAGTGAACTGACATGTAAAGGAGTAAAAGAAAAGAAAGGTCCAAGACAGCAGTGGGGCCGAGCAGCAACTTGGCCACCTGGCTCACCCTGGCTTATTTCTCATTTAAGGCAAAGATGAGCAGTGCCCAGTTACTCAGAAGCTGCCAAATAATGCTATGATAGGCCTGAAATTTGACCTATGAATTAGGCAAAGGCGTTATTCTGCAAAAAAAAAAAGAAAAAGAAAAAGAAAAAAAAAACCATAGCGTACACATTAGAACCAGACATGAATCTCTATCAAAATCCAAGTGCCTGGGCCTTCCCTGCTGAGATTCCTATTCAGTAGGTCTGCTGCAGAGCCAGAGAGATATATTTTAAACCCTTAGAGTCCAGAGGGGCTTCTCAGCATCATAACCACAACTTGGCTCAAAAGATTCAAGCTTTAGAGAACCTGATCAGAAAAATAAAAACTTACCCAAAACCCTATGAAGCCAACCCAGTCCTATCCTAGCTGGGCACCACTGCCCAATGCTGTTCCCTTTCCTCCACTGCTCACCTGGTGACATAAAGTGTTTGTGACTAACCTGGTGAATTTGCACATGGTTGCAGCCTGGAACTTCCAAGCCAAGAGCAGCACTCGAAATTCTGTGGGGTCAACACACAGGTCATTGCAAAAGCGCTCCATGCCTTCCTCCAAAATTGCATCTTCCCGCTCATCCTTGTAGCGCCTGAACAGTTCTTCCAATCTTTGCAAGGAAGACTCCTCGGCATTGGACTTGGACTCCCTCCCAGCATCTCCCGAGGACGTTGGCAGCTGGCAGGCCTCAGTGGCAGCCTCGGCCTTCTTGGTCCCGTTGACGAGGATATCTCCACCTGGCTTGCCACAGGGTGGTACCTGCTCCTCACGGTGGCCTGCACCCCTCCTGCTATGTGACTTGTTGCTGGGCTCACGGTCTCCATTTTTGCTGCCCAGGGTCGATGAGGGATTCTTACACTTGGTGACACACTGGCCCATGGTGCTGGTGGCCTGGCCTCTAGAGTGGACCCCTCTGGATTGGATGCCCTCGCTGCCGCTGGCCCATGTACCTCAACATGCCATCAGCCAGAGGAGCCAGCCAACCTGGAAGGAAATTAGAAAGCCATCACCTCTGGGTGGGGGAAATGGGGTATGGACCCTACCTTCTAGGGTGCACACTGGTTCACCGCTCTATTTCCATGAGCCAACAACGAACCATGGGAGAGACCCTGAGTTCATCATCCCCTTCACAGGCCAGCTCCGTAACTTCACCTTGGCGACGCAGAGGCTGGGGCACATATGGAGAACCAATGAGGGAAATTCCTAAAATTCTTAAGGTAACATAGATTTCAAAGAGGCCGATTCATATGTAGAATGCATCAAAGACTGACAGAAATATTCCAGAGGAAATCTGTCTTGCCAACTTGCCATCACATAAGAAAAGTTATTTGGACCTGGGTTAAGCCAGAAGGCACAAAGGAAGGGTTCATCTTCTAATTCCTAATGCCAACATTCTCAGATTTTCTTTTTAAGTAGGATGAGTAGGGAGAAGGGGTGGCCATATTCAGAACAATAGTCTCATAATGCCCTAATGATGAGGTTGTCAAGACTACAAGCAGGGGCCTAAGCCAAGCAGCAAAATGAAATTTGCCTCTGATCTCTCCAGATTCCTTTCTGGGCCTATCCCACACAGTAGGTGAAATGCCCTTGCTTTGCCCTACTCCATCCACCTATAGAAACCATCCACCAAGCCTATACTCCAAACCAAGTTTCCCAACTGAGGAGCTTCTTCTCCCCCAGGTCCTCAGCAAGGCTGTACTTAGAATGCAAGCCAAGTCCACAATAAATGTGATTGTCCTATAGGGCCTATAGGCTGAGCCTTCCAAAGAAGCATGTCTCCACTTTAAAAGAAGGACTGGGGCCGGTTGCAGTGGCTCACATCTGTAATCCCAACATTTTGGGAGGCAAGGTGGGTGGGCAGATAGCTTGAGTGCAGCAGTTTGTGACTAGCCTGGGAGACATAGCAAGACCCTGTCTCTACGAAAAATAGAAAAAAATTAGTTGGGTGTGGTGATGCACACCTGTACTCCCAGCTACAAGGGAGGCTCAGGTGGGAGGATCAACTGAGCCCAGGTCAAGGCTGCAGTGAGCTGGGATAGCACCACTCCACTGCAACCTGGGTGACAAAGACCCTGTGTAAAAAAATTGAAAAAATCACTGGTACAAAAACAGGCACACAGACCAATGGAACAGAATGGAGAGCCCAAAAATAAGGCCACACATCTACAACCATCTGATCTTCAACAAAGCTGACAAAAACAAGCAATGGGGAAAAGACTCCCTATTCAATAAATGGTGCTGGGATAACCGGCTAGCCATATGCAGAAGACTGAGGCTGGATCCCTTCCTTACACCATATACAAAAATCAACTCAAGATGGATTAAAGACTTAAATGTAAAACCCCAAACTATAAAAACCTTAGAAGGCAACCTAGGCAATACCATCCTGGACATAGAACCAGGCAAAGATTTCATAACAAAGACACCAAAAGCAATCAAAACAAAAGCAAAAATTGACAAGTGGGATCCATAATAATTAAACTTAAGAGCTTCTGCACAGCAAAAGAAACTATCGAGAGATAGCAAATATGAAACTATCAAGAGATTCCTACAGAATGGAAGAGGAAATATGCAAACTATGCATCTGACAAAGGTCTAATATCCAGCATCTATAAGGAACTTAAATTTACAAGAGAAAAACAAATAACCCCATTAAAAAGTGGGCAAAGTACATGAATAGACACTTCTCAAAAGAAGACATACATGTGGCCAACAAGCATATGAAAAAAAGCTCAATATCACTGATCATTAGAGAAATGCAAATCAAAACCACAATGAGATACCATCTCACACCAGTCAGAATGGCTATTACTAAAAAGTCAAAAAAAAAAACAGGAGATGGTTAGGTTGTAGAGAAAAGGGAACACTTATACACGGCTGGTGGGAGTGTAAATTACTTCGACCACCGTGGAAAGCAGTATGGTGATTCCTCAAAGAGCTAAAAGCAGAACTACATTCGAACTAGCAATCCCATTACTGGGCATATACCCAGATGAATAAAAACCATTCTGCCACAAAGACACACGCATGCGAATGTTCACTGCAGCACTATTCACAATAGCAAAGACATGGAATCAACCTAAATGCCCATCAGTGACAGATAAGATAAAGAAAATGTGGTCCATATACACCACGGAACGCTATGCAGCCATAAAAAAGAACGAGATCATGTCTTTTGTGGGAACACACATGGAGCTGGAGGCTATGATCCTCAGCAAACTAACGCAGGGACAGAAAACCAAATACTCACTTATAAAGTGCGAGCTAAATGATGAGAACTTATGAATACAAAGAAGGAAACAACAGAAACTGGGGTCTACTTGAGGGTAGAGGGTGGAGGGTGGTAGGAGGGAGAGGAGCAGAAAAGATAATTACTGGGCTCTGGACTTAACACCTGGGTGATGAAATAATATGTACAACAAACCCCCATGACACATGTTTACCTGTGTAACAAACCTTGACATGTACCCCCAAACCTAAAATAAAAGCTAAAAAAAAAAAGTTACCAAAAATAAATAAATAAAAATGCTCAGGATATTCAGAAAAAAAGAAAAAACTGAAAAAAGTGGGAAAAAAATAGAAAAACAAAAGAAGGACAGATTTACCCAAATACAATCTTTAAATGGTAGGATAATTGCTAGATGAAAAAGAAAAGTTTGCACTGATACATAACAAACTCGTCATGGTGGTTTATTAATTATTTATATAATTTAAAAGTGGTTTTTTAAACAAATTGCTAGACATTTCTGAGCCAGAAGCGAGGTGATTTCTCTAAGATGACTCTGGCTACTTAGGACTCTTATTCCTACCTTCAACTGGTTTGTTGGAAAATCCATGTACAATTTAGTATTTATAAAACTTTGCCAACTGCTATAATAATGGCAGCCACTGAAATTACGTTGTTAATGAAGTGTGGACCAGGAGCCAGAAGTGTAGCAGGAAACAGACACTAAACAGAAGTCAACGTCAGTCACCCGGGCCTCCCCAGGTCTAGGGAGCTTTCATGGACCTCTATGATCCAAACTAAAAGATCTTTGAAAACCGGCAGTGGGACAGAAGGTGTTTTTTATGAAAGGCTGGAGCTTTAAACTTTGCCTAAAATACTTGGCTTCCTCCAAATAGTGCCTGGATAAATTGGGGGTCGTCTTCAAGAGGAATTCTCTCTGAGGATAAGCTCTGAGTATACAGTAAGTTTAAAATGAAGAGCACAATCATTCCTGTAGTTATTAGAGATTAGTCATATCAAGGCCTGTCCCCTTCTCCACCCGCAAAGAGAGCAATGACAAAAATACATGTCCAAACATGCCCTCAAAGACTTGTAGTTTTACTTAGGCTTCAAAAATACACTGAAGCTCTTATAAGGGCTTTTGGTATGGAAAACAACCATCCTAAGTAAGTTTTTTAAAAGACTTTTTATGCTTTAAGACTACAGCTAGTAAGCCATAAGTACAACTCATTACAATTTCAAATGGCAAGGGGTTAATTCTTGGAAGACCATGGTACAAGGGAAGCAACTGTGCGAGCTGAATTATCTCAAAACAAGGACTGTACCATGTGGAGGGCCTGGTTTCCAGATTTGTGTTCCTAAAGACTAGAATGCTGAAAGAAACAAAAGGCCCAAACTTACACAAACCCCACATGCTCACAGACTGGCAACTCTAATTCCCAGGCACGCTGACTCACCAGGGTTTACTGCTCAGCTCCTGCTGCTGAGTGAGGCATGGGCACCCAGCGAGATAAGAGGATTTCCTGGCCTCCATCTGACCCACCTACCCCAGGCCACTCACCCCGCCCCCACTGGACAGATGCTTCATCCTAGCAGCTTCCTCCAAATCCTGGCGCCAAGGCCTTCAGGTAGGGACAGAACAGATGGGGCTCCCAAAGAGGCCCTAATCCCATTGAGCCAACCAGCCCTCCATGTAAGAGTATCTTTTGACTACCTGACACAGCAGAACCAGCTGAAACCTGAAAGCTTTTAACATGACCAGCAGATGAAAAAAAGGAGAAGAAAATTAGTTTCAACAGATGATCAATCAGCAAATGCCAGAAGGTTGGATCGTTCTTCCACTCTGGTCTCTTTCTTTGAAATGCCCCCATTCCATTGAGTGTTGAGGCGAGTGGTGGTCTAAACCCAGAAGAAAATATCTCCAGATCTGGTAAGTATGGTCCCCCGATTACTCTGATTACTGCCCAGTGGTCTACCTTCTTCTGTGTCTACCCCCTTCTCTGGGAAAATACTTTTGCTCTCCCAGAGCTTTCCCCAGGCTCCATCACAGTGCCCAGCCCCATGGCCCAGGCTGGCAGCACTTCAAGTGTTTTAAAGTTGAAGGTCTCCCGTAGACTCACTAGCTGATGGCTAACAGCTAATAATAGCAGTCATCAATTATTGAGCACTTGATACGGTGCCAGGCACTATGCTAAGCACTTTTGGGGACATGAACTCACATATACTCATCACAGCCTCATTTAAAAACAAGGAAACTGAGGCTGAGGAAAGTAAATTACCCATGATCACACATCTGGCTCAAGATACCATGACATTTACCCCTAGGCTAGATTGCTGAGCCCACCCCCAGCAAAGCATCTAGAGAGAACACATGACGGACCGGCCCCAAGTTCAGGAGTGACACCACAGCAACCCCAGAGCAGCAAATCTCACCATCAGCCACTGGAGAGAGAACACATGGTCTGTGCTCGGTGCTCAAGAAGGATCTCCTACTCGCTGCCATGATCCAGGCAAGCACCATGCACCCAGGCTCAGCCCCACCAGACGTGGAAACGAGAATTAGTCCAGATGCCCTAAACGTGTGACGTTTTTGTCCACCAGCACAGTTAAAAGCTCCAGCTCTGAAAAGGACGCCCAACTGCGCCACTGGCTAATTGTTTGACCCTAATGGAAGCCTGAATTTCCTCAATCTGCAAAATGATATCTGCCTGATAGAGCTCTTGAAAGGATTCAGTGAGGAACTGCAGATTAAAGGTACATGGCTTCAGAGAAAACACTTGATATGACAGCTGTTACTGTATCAGTAGTAGTAGTAGCTCAGTAGTATCTGGTTAGCCTGTTGGAAGCCCCAACTTACCCCATCTGAACAATGGGCTCCAGGCCTCAGATTCCACAGGCCCAGCTGGCCAGGACTTCCTATCCCTGCACTGAGTCACTGGCCCAGGGCTTGTTCCAAAACCGATTATCTTGCCACAGCACTGATCCTACTCAAATACACCACTACCCAGTAATGCTTGGAGGATCAGACTCTCCACAACACAGGATTTCCTTGTGATTGATCCTGAATAAAATCAAGCTGAGTATCTGCTGTGCCCAACGGACAATGAATTGCTGGTTATGCCCAGTCCCTAACCTGGAGCAGGCTTTCAGCCAGTTCCAAACTCCTTCCCCTCTCCACTTAGTCCCAACTCTGTAGATCTCTGCAAAAGAAAGGATGTCTAGCTTTCCACTCAGTTACTAATTTAATGGAACTGCCTTCCCAGTTGGTCCTCCTCCCCATCACTGCCACCTCTGAAGTGGACAGCCTCAGCACAATCTGGACATCCCAGCACCAAATTTTCAACAGCAACAGAGCATTATTAGTCCTGAATATCATTTGGTATTTGTTAATACATTAAGAAAGCTATATATAAATGTAGCTCTGTGAAGCAATTACCCCCATTTTACAGGAAACTAAACACAGACAAACTGAGGTCAAGGAGTCTATTTAGGAATGGAGGAAACAGAAGCGCAGTGATGAAGAGGATGAGCTCAGACAAACCAAGACAAACCATTGCCATTGCCATGGCAATCTCACCAAATAATGGGAACTGTCCGCATGGAACTTTAAATCGAGGCAGTTGTACCTCAAAGCACTATTGGGTAGAATAAATAACGCAGGTAAATGCTCTGCTCAATACCTGACTCACAGAAAGCATTTGGTTGGTGTTAGCCTCTATAATAGTTATAATTATTGTCACAACTTTGGTGACAGAATCGTCTCCCTTCTCCTAGAACAGTGCTCTTTTCAGGAGCCAGCCCAGATCTCCCATAGCGATTCAGGTCTGCTCACAATAAGTGACCATTCTCCTGCATTAGCAAGGGACACAAATGGGTTGAATGGAGCCAGAGACAAGGAGGGATGTGGAGAAAGAAAAGGCAGAAGAAAGAAGGAAAAAAAAAACCCATGCACTGGGGAAACCAACTTCTAGGCTTTTTTTCTTTTCTACTTATAGCTTTGAGTGTTTACCTGAAAGACCAAAGACAGCAGCTCTGCTCAGCTTCTGCTGGACCAAGATCAGCCTCCAGCTTCTCTCCCTCAGTCTCAGCCCAGCTGCTCTGCCTCTCCCTCCCTCCTCTGCACATCAGCCTCCAGACTCTTTCCTCCCCTGTGCCAGCGCTGGCCGCTGTTCCTGGGGATGGGCTTGGCTGGCTGCCTGGTCCTAGGCCTGGAGCGGCCACTGCTGAGCCCAAAGGGCAATCCCAGAGGCTGCAGTCCCTGGGTTGCTCTAGCTCCAAAGAGGGATCAGGAAGTTGTTCCCATCTCCTAGGCAGATCATGAAATGACAACCAGGCAAGTCCCTGTCTTCTAGGGGCTTACTCTCAACTGTGTCTTACAGAACAGAACCACCACAGAGGACAAACTCACACTGAGACTCTGTACAAATGCAGACAGGAGAAGGAGAGAGAAGTGTGAACTACTATTACGGAAAGAAAGGTAGGGAGGGACTGGGGACGTGAAATCAGTATCTGTGGAGCCTGGGGCTACATGCTTCATATTCATCATCACCTTCAAGCCTCCCAACAACCTCAAGAAAATAGTTGTTGCAGCTTTCATAGATTAGGAAACAGGTCTCTTAACTACTAAGCAGTAAGGCTGGAAAATAAAACCAGTCTGCCAGACTTTCCATGGGCAAGTTTCAGAGAGAAGGCAGGTTTAATTCTGGTCCTTAAATGTCTATAAGCATGAAATGGAAAGGAGGAGGGAGAGGGTTGATATGGTTGGCTCATGTTATTAATGTATATTAATAACAATATTGTAAAAATAATTACATATATTTATTGGCATGAATTATCACATGTAATCCACGACTCTATAAGGAAGACAATATAATCTTCATTTTACAGAGGGAGGAAGTGAATAGAGCTTGAGGGAGGTAGCCTGAGGTCACACAGCCAATGGAGGAGAAGGATTCAAATCCAGGCAGTCTGACTCTAAACTCGCCACTTTCCATCACTGGTCTCACTACTGTTCTCTGCTATGATGTGTGCCAGGATATTCCCCTACCCCTAAGGAGGTCCTGGTGCCCCAAGAAGAAAATGTCCAACATCCTATCAATGCCTAAGTATATTCCTGAGGAACCAAGTCAATAGGAACAGAATACGCCCCCAGGAAGCCTTTGGTTCTGGTGTGAAATCCTCCTGAGCAATGTGCACTCTCGAGCAAGCCACTTAACCTCTCTGAGTTTCTGTGACACTGACATTAAAGTGAGAGGTCTGGGTTAGTCTTTCCAAGGTCTAATATTCTGGGACTACTTCACCTTTTTTGGCATTCAGTGAGGCCAAAGTTCTAAATGTGCAACCCTCCTAAGGACAGGCACTTTGCCTCCTTGGTGAACAGATCTCACACTACTCCTTGCCCAAGACTATCAGAGTCAAAGAAAAAGCAGAAGTCCAAAAGCAGAGGGAAAGCAGGGCTACTCCAATCTGAACAACGAGGGATAGGAAACACCAGTTTTGCAGCCTTCCCTCTCCTTAATCATCTTAGTTTGATCTCTGGAGGGTCAGTAACAGGTCCAGACATGGAAAACAGACCCAAGTAAACTGCTGCAGCTCGCTGGGTCAGGAAGCCCACTCAGAGGAATGCATGTTGGCTACTACTAATGGACAGCCTGTCACCCAAGGAACAGACTTGTGAAATGAGGAGCTAAAAAACAGGAGGCAAATGCTGGCACCAAAAGTCAGTGTCAGCAAAGCACTTGAGATCTGCTCTGAGGCTTCCTTGACAGAAGGGACCAATCCATTCCACTCCTCCATTCTGTTCCCATCTAGAATCTATTCAGCAGCAAGAAACCACTGCCAGATGCTGGTGCTCCTACATATTAACAATATAAAAAGCCCATCTTTTCAACTTTCATCTAAATAGTTTGTAGAGCTAGCTGGGTGCAGCTTTTTATTTCTTCCTACATATGTCAGATACCCAAAGGCCAGAGAACATAAGTACATGAATTCCTCAGACAGCTTTTCTACAGCTGCCAGGGGCTGAGGCGGTTGTACTGGCACAGCCATCCTCCGGAGAGTCTCAAGGACCACAGGAGCCCCTTGATCCCACCTGGGAGCAAGACTCTGAATGACCTGAGAAAAAGACGGAATATGGCTGGTGTCCATTTGTAAACTACTTCCTAGAAAGTAAATGTGCAAAAATAACAAGGAAGACTGAGGGAACACTTTAAATGCACAGTTGCTGCTGCCACTTCCAACTTAAGACTTCAAAGATCACCTTTGGAGATTAGGTCTTACCCAGAGCTACTTGGGAGGGAAAGTTGATCCCTCTGCCAAAGCAAACGAGACCCGTCTGCTTCTATTTTCCAGCTTTTAAAAGACTTTTTGTCCTAAAATGTACAGCAGCAACAAGCAACAGCAGTTCCAGTTAGGGTTGGGGAGGAACCCATGACTTTTTACATCAACCAATCTCAAAAGTGCAAAAGAAAAGAGGGAGGAAGGAAGGGAGAAAGGGGGTAGGGAGGACAGAGAAAACTTTTAAAAAAGAAAACTGGCTATGTTTCTATAAAAATCATCTTAGGTCACATGACTAAGACCAGCCAGTTTAGCATAAAGTCATTTCTTTTTGAAAGTGTTCTCAATGTCCCTCGCATTGCACCCTTTGAATTCACTACTAAGAATATATGTCCAGTTGAGGCCTCAGGACTGAAGCCAGTGTGGGCTGGCTAGAACAAATGCCTACTTGCCAAATACAGCCAAGCCAACACACGCACATACTATAAAGTTTCCAAATACCAAATAATGAACCATTTTTTTGGTCTCTGGGCTTCCAAACTGAGCTACATGTTTAATCCCACATAACTCAAAATAACCAAAAAAGGGCTATATCATTTCACTGACCCATACTTGAAATATTTTTTGCTGTCACTATTGATCTGGGCATTTCTAACTACCCACTTATGTGCAAGGGGGAGCATCATAAATGGGCACCAAATTTCTAGGTCATTCTTTGTTTTCACACCAGCTTTTCCAGTGACTTTCCCTGTTTAAAACCAGAAAGCCATCCTGGATTTGTACTGAACCTTAACTCTAATAAAAACGGCATGCCTGCTGCACTCTTCATCTCCGTTATAAGCTTGCAGCTTGTTTTATTCCTTAGGATGGAGCCTCAGTAGAGCCCACTGAAAGTAAACCACTGATTAGCACTAATACCCTCCTTCCAGTCAGCATATGGTTATCAGCCACCCTGGAGGTTTACCTGATTGTAGCTGATTAGTCCTCAAAACACCCAATTACCACATCAACTGCTCATTTTTCAATCACCTTCTGAGAACTTGGGAGTCAGCAACTCACTGAAAATTAGTGAACTGGAGATAAGGTTAGATTTTTGCATCTAAGTAAAAGGCAAGAAAGGAAATTATGAAATGAGTCCAAAGACGACGAAGGAACACAACATACAGATGATAAATGACTGCATCCAAATGTCTTAAAGGGCACCTGGATGACCACAAATGTAGATATGTGGTTTCGGGAGCCAAAGGCCTCTAAGTAGGCCTCAGGTTCACCACGTGGTAACCAATCAACCTCTTAATGTTTGCTAATTCTTAAAAAAAAAAAAAAAAATCTAAATCCATTAAGACCACATTTATCAGCTTTTTCCCCACGATGGAGGTTGACTGCTAATGCATAGCAGACAGGAAGAGGAAGAGGGACAGAAAAGATCCACACAATAAAAGAATTCCTGCTTTCAACCACATCAGTAACCTGGTCAGAAAAGTGAGGTCACTAGACTCTCTTTCCTGCTGGCAAATTCAAAAGTATTACATAATTATTTTGTGAAGTTTAGAAAGTACAGAGAGGCATAAAGAAAAAAAAAGCCAATCACTAATTTCACCACCTACGGTTAATATTTTGGAGTATATCCTTTCAGTCTTGCTTCACTGCGAATCACATCAAAAAGGCTAACCAGGCTAGGCGCAGTGGCTCACGCCTGCAATCCCAGCACTTTGGGAGGCCAAGGCAGGTGGATCACGAGGTCAGGAGTTCAAGACCAGCCTGGCCAACATGGTGAAACCCCGTCTCTACTAAAAATACAAAAATTAGCTGGGCATGGTGGCACATGCCTGTAATCCCAGCTACTTGGGAACCTGAGGCAGGAGAACTGCTTGAAGTGGGACCTGGGAGGCAGAGGTAGCAGTGAGGAAGACTGTGCCACTGCACTCCAGCCTGGGCTACAGAGCGAGACTCTGTCTCAAAAAAAAAAAAAAAAACAACTAACCAATCCAATGATCCAGTGATTCTGGCTCCAGGGATTTTAAGGAAGTGTTTTTAAATGATGGGGGAATGGGGAGAAAAGCAGCTTAATCCTAAAGACATCTTTCACTTATATCTAAATTTCCTCAATTTATTCTTTCAAAAGAAGATCAACTTCCTCCTCACACTCCCTCCAAGGAAAAGAAGAGGACAAAGATGATGACCATCTTAAGGTCTAATGAGTAACAGTCCCCTTATCAAAGGTTTAACATCAGGGGTAGAAGGGTCTGGCCCATGGATTGAGTGATTCACATTCCCAGGGAGCAAGAGGCTCATTCAAAAGAGAAATGTGGAATGCCTGGAAATGGTCAATGGGCTGGATTTAGTGTGAAGACTAACATGGGCTGTCAAGCTGCAGACTGGGTCAAAGGACAGATTTGTAGCAGACGTGTCTGCCTTCCCAGCATCCAGGCTCTTCATCAGGTGATTACCCAATTTTCACCAGCAGATCCTTTTCCCTCGCTCTCGGCCATATGGCTGGGTGGGGTTCATAAAGAACTATGGGACTCAGCCCCACCAAGGCCTCACATGCCCCTGGCTTTAATGACTGGACCCAGGATATGCCCATGACAAGCCAGCCAGACAGAATCTCAACCCTGAAAATACAGGAGGCTGGAGATGCTACCAGAAAGAGCTACCAGAGAAAATAAGAATGCCTAGGGGGTCACTGTGAGGATTAAATGGTCCCTGTTTATCACATGGGGCTCAGCTCAAATGCATGTAGAACCCAAAAATGAAATCACCAAGTGGAAAGCAGTATGAAGAGACAAAGGGAAACTGAATTTTGAAGGCATTATTTACACCCTGAATCCAACTGTTCCTAGAGTCAAGATCAAAGCCTGAACTTCACAGGTGTGAGCCAACAAACTCTCCTTTGCATAAGTTAGATATCAGGTTTTCTATCACAACTGAAAGAGTCCCTACCAAGACACAGCTATGTCACTCAGATCTCTTCTATTCAGAGAGCAAAGAGAGAGAAGATCTAATTGCCAGATGTTCTGATTCATGGTTCAGAACCAACTGACTAGGCCACAATTTCTAGTCGAATATATCATAGGACCCTTAGCTGAACAACAGGACCAATGATCCCAAGTTCATGAAAGCTGTCAAATTCCATTATAACTACGTGGACCAGTAGGATGCTATTTAAAAGATGGTATGACTAACTGGCTACAAGAATCTTTCCAATTGCAATTTTTACACCGTTAGACCTCCTTCAAGTAGATATGCCACAGAATACTTCAGGAGCTTTATTCTATTGTGTACATATTTGCTGTCATCATCTTGTTCCCAAAGAGGAACCCCGTCCCAGCATTCAGACACCATGTGAAAGGCTGAAAGCAAAAATCTCTCAGAAGTCTTTCTCTGTACAATAACATGATCAACCTTCCAGCTGAAACAGGTATTTGATCTAAACCATATCCCATGAAACTGAAAGCCCAAATCTAACCTGAACTTGGCTACCCTCTTGGTTTCAATTCCTATCACTGAGACAATTTCTCTTTGATTTTACATGCCGAAGAGCCTATTAAGAAAGTGTTTAAGTTTCAAAGACTGACAGGAAATGCTCATGTTTGCACATCTTTATTTGAATACGTTCTCTGCAGGTTGAAACTTGAGGCCCCAAGGTTTAGGCTTTGATTTTTTTTTTTAAGTTACTTATTTTCACAAATGCTCATGTAGCATGAGGCCCCAGAGTACATTAACATGTGCAAAGATAAGCAGGTAATTAAAAATGGAGCTCTATACCTGTTGGAAGGCACTGTGGTACTGCAAGCTTTGCAAAGTAAGACATCTGATGATTCGTTCCTGCCCACTTCCCACCCACATGACCTGCCAAAATTGCTGCCACCTAATGGCCACCACAATGCTGTCTATTAAAACCCTGCCCTAGCAGCTATGCCCTATTTTAAGAAACAACATAAAAAATTTATAAAATAAAGCAGCAGCACCATAAGTTCTTTCAGTCATCAATAAGTCTGAAGACTCAAAGACAACTATGGCCCCAGAATAAACTGCGTGCGCTCATGCACACACACACACACACACACACACACACACACACACACACACACAAATGTTGCATCCAACAATAGGGGGTCCATGAAATTACATGCAACTTTTCTGAATTGCGTTCAGTGTCTTGACTGTTCTGCAACCAACATTCAATTCTCTCACTCAAAAACCAGTTGCACAGATATTGCAGCTCCTTCAGCTGCTCCAGTATAGTCATGTGCCTTCCAGGAGGGAAAGTACATGCATTGGATGCAAAATGACTAGGTTTGTACAGCCCAGCTCTACCAACTCTCTAGCTCACACTTAACCATATTCCATCTCAGTCTTCTCAGTTGAAAACGGGAACTAAAACAAATCACTGTGAACTAAATGACTATATGCAGAAGAATAAAACTAGATCCCCTCTCTCACACTATATACAAAAATCAAATCAAAGTGGATTGAAGATTTAAATATAAGACATGAAACTATGAAACTACTAGAAGAAAACACTGGGGAAATGATCTAGGACACTGGTCTGGGCAAAGATTTTTTGTGTAAGACCTTAAAAGCACAGGCAACCAAAGCAAAAAGAGACAAATGGGGTTATATCAAGCTAAAAAGCTTCTACACAGCAAAGTAAACAATCAACAATGTGAAGAGACAATCCACAGAATGGGAAAAAAAATCTGCAAACTATCCATCTGACGAGGGATTAACAGCCAGAATATATAAGGAGCTCAAACAACTTAATAGCAAAATAATAATAATAATAATCTGATTTTTATTTTATTTATTTATTTTTTTTGAGACAGAGTCTCACTCTGTCACCCACGCTGGAGTGCAGTGGCATGATCTCGGCTCACTGCAACCAATCACCTCCGAGGTTCAAGTGATTCTCTTGCCTTAGCCTCTCGAGTAGCTGGGATTACAGGCGCATGCCACCAGGCCCAGCTCATTTTTGTATTTTCAGTAGAGACAGTGTTTCACCATGTTGGCCAGGCTGGTCTCAAACTCCTGACCTCAGGTGATCCGCCTGCCTCAGCCTCCCAAAGTGCTGGGATTACAGGCTCGAGCCACTGTGCCCGACTCTAATCTGATTTTTAAATGGGCAAAAGATCTGAATAGATGTTTCTCAAAAGGAGACATGAAAATAGCCAGCAGGTATACGAAAAAATGCTCAACATCACTAATCATCACAGAAATGTAAATAAAAGCCACAACGAAATATTATCTCACCCCAGTTAAAATGGTTATGAAAAAAAAAAAAAACAGAATAATGAATGGCAAGGATGTGGAAAAATGGGAACCCTCGTATACTGTTGGTGGAAATGTTAATGAGTATAGCCACTATGGAAAACAGTATAAAGGGCCCTCAAAAAACTGAAAATAGAACTACTGTATGATCCAGCAATTGCACTACTAGGTATATGTGCAAAGGAAAGAAAATCAATATACTGGAGAGATCTGCACTCCCATGTTTATTGTAGCATTATTCACAATAGCCAAAATATGGAATCCACCTGAGTGCCCATCCATGGATGAATGGATAAAGAAAATGTGGTACATATACACAATGGAATATTATTCAGCCATAAAAAAGTATGAAACCCTGTCATAGGCAACACGGTTGGAACTAGAGGTCATTACGTTAAGTGAAATAAACCAAGCACAGAAAGACAAATAGCACATGTTCTCACTCATGTGTGAGCTAAAAAAGTGGATCTCAGGAAGAGAGAGACAGTTATCTTCTCTAGGTAGTTACCAGAGGCAGGGAAGGGGAGCGGGAGGGGAGATGAAAAGAAGTGGGTTAGTGGGTACAAACAGAAGTAAGACCTAGCGTTGGAAAAATCAGTAGGGTGACTCCAGTCAACAATAATCTAATGTACATTTCAAAATAGGTGGAAGAGAATAATTTAAATGATCCCGGCATAAAGAAAAGATAAATATTTAAGGTGATATAATATCCCAATTACCCTGATTTGATTTTTACACATAATGTGAATGTATCATATTATCACATGTCTCAAAACTACATATATTATTTATCAATTAACAAAAAAATGGGACTGAGTTCTGCGATGAAAAAAAAAAGGTCACGGTGAAGAATAAATGGCTGCTTCATATGAGATGGGTCTCAGTTCACGTGCTGACATGTGTTCCATGTTCAACCAATCCAAATGCCACTTCCCTCTAATTCAGCACAACGCTGTTTTACTTCTTCACGGCACTTACAACTCTGTGAAATTCTAATTTGCTGACTTATTTATTGCCTGCTCCCTCTAATAGCAGGCATTTTACCTGCCTTATTCGCCACTTTACCCTGTGCACCTAGGCTATGTGGCACATGGCACATTGATAAGTATCTGTAGAAGGAATAATAGTCACTGATACTGAGCACATGCTCTGTACAAGGCTTTATTGCTTTAAATATATTAACTCGTGATTGAATAAATGCTGAATCTGAGATGTTTAGCACTTTCTCACACACAATTAATACTCAATAAATGGTAGCTATTTATACCAATTCAAATTATAGGATGATGTCAACAAACACTCAACAGGAAAGAGTAAAGGGAGTTGAGTCCTAAGAATGCAGAACTCAATTCAGTTCTCAAGAGCTGATTTTTTCTTTTTAGAGACAGGATCTGGCTCTGTTGCCAGCCCAGAGTGCAGTGGTGCAATCATAACTCACTGTTAACTTCAAACTTCTGGGCTTAAACGATCCTCCCACCTTAGCCTCCCAAAGCAGCTAAGACTACAGGCACATGGTGCCACACCCAGCTACTTTTTTCATTTTTATTTTTGTACAGACAGGGTCTTGCTATGTTGCCCAGGCTGGTCTCGAACTCCTGGGCTCAAGCAATCCTTCTGCCTCAGTCTCCCAAAGCACTTGGTTTATGGGTGTGAGCACTGGGCCCAGCCCTGATTCTTAAGGTCTATTTTTTCTTGGACTCCCCCCATTCGAAGCACCCACTACCTTCAGAGAGGAAAGAGAGGAGAGGATTATCTTATTACTCCAATTATTCTTTACCTTATGAGTTTCTCAGATAATGTGATACAAACACAGCTTCTCAGCCAGCAGTACACAGGTCCATCTCTCCTCACTTCACAAGCTAATTTTCACCTCAAATACAGCAAAAGCCAGAATATGAAGCTGACATAGGGAGATGTTCAACCTGTCATGTCTCTTTTTGACCTGTACCTCAGGATCTTAGAAAAAATTCACATTAATGGAAATCACTTCTGCCTCTCTTTTCAGTCAGGGTGTTATGTCCAAGGGTTTACTGAAGCCACAGCCATGCACTGCACTCTAGGAAGACCAAGGGGCTCACCAACTGGGAACACTCCAGTGAAAAGCCTCAGGCTGCTGGTCTGAACTGCATCTTCCCCACCTCAACAAATAAAGGCATCATATTTAAGGTGTCTAGAGATGCAGGAGCAACAGCCAGCAGCTTTTTTGAATACTGCATACTACTTGCTTTAAATACGAATTCAACTGCTTAAAACACAAGGACTCATGGCCAGTGTTACACCTCTTGAGATGTTATACCACTGTTCACTTGATGACAGAGTGACTTTTAACTTGGAGGGCTGAAGCACATACCTTATCAAAGAGGGTAAGTGATACAGACAATAAAGGTCCTCCATCTCTTTACAGCCACCAGAGACAATGAACTTTGTTTCACATGACTGCGAGAAAGGCCAACAACTAAAGTCCTCAACGGGGCCCCCAAAGCCAGAGGTACTTGCTGAGAAAGCAAAGGGCAGATTCCACCTCCGCTGGCTGGCAGACCCACACATTCTGCTTAACCATGTGAAACAGCCAGCTCTTACTCTGCCCGCCCCCAGGCCCAGTTATGATATTTGGGGTAGAAAGAGAATAGCAACACCGGTGACTTTTCTAGGAGGCTGTTTTATAAAAACAGAGCTTCCAATTTTAGGCCTAAAATTGAAAAGAAAAATAGCCAGAATTAGAAGTCTGTTTTAACACAATATATTGAAAATTACAAGTTTAAACACTGGTAGCTGGAGACGGGGTATCACACTACCACATGACTTCTCAGTGAGTCATAAAAAATAGTACCGGCTTGTTTAACAGTGATCGTCCACCAGTGACAGAATTAAGAAGTCCGCTTGTGTCAAATGATGGAAAACCAAACTGATACCCCTCTTGTGTTTGTTTCAGCAGTGGCAGAACTGACACAAATGAATTGCAGCAACAATCTACAAGACAAACACTGATAAACCTTTTTTGAGGCTGGTCAAAGAGGAAATGTTTGAAACCCTGAATATGACTCATTTTTCAGAAGTCAGTTTAACAGGAGAAAAAAAAATCTCTAAACTATTAATAAATCACTAACTGAAATATTTCTGGATTGCTAACATCCAATCTTGATTAGCATACCTTTGTGTCAAAGCAAAAGCCAAATGCAGGCATTTAACAAGTCACTACCCTTTCAGTTAGGAGAATCGCTCTGGTGGAACTAGATGAGAACAACAAAAATTAATCTTCAGGCATAGATGGATACTGTCATGATAATAAGATAATAAAGACCTCCCCAAAGGATTTCTGGGTATCATAAATTATATAACAAATCCACTTCTGCCAGGCAGCCAAGATTAACTCCTATTCACCCAGGTTATGACTCGGTATTGCCAATGGGCTTATTGAAGTGGAAGTCTCATTATCCACCACTGCTCAGCAAAAGGCACAGTCATCTTTCTCATTGCAAATCAATTTGCTGACACCAACTACTCACTGTAAGAGAAGTCAACCTAATAATCTTAAAAACAACTTTGACACTTGTTTCTTCCAGGCCAAAAACATATTTTAAGAACCAGAAAAGAAAATGTTCCGTAATTTCTCCCTCCCAGTAAGTCCTTAAACCGAATTTTTTAAGTGCCTAAGATGACATTTTATTATAATATACTTTATTATGTCTATCGTGCGTCCAAGGCTTAAATGCATTACACATTATTTATTCCCTTGGGACAAAAACATTCATGGCTCCCAAGCAAATAGTCAAATATAAAAAGTACATAGAAGAGAAAGGCTGTTGTCATTTTAGTGACAGCATCTTAGACTGCAAGCTCCAAGAAGACAGGGAATGTGTATGATGACACAAAAAGGGTCAACTTGGCATAATGCGAAGGCTCACACCTGCAGACCCAGCACTTTGGGAGACCAAGGCAGGAGGACTGCTTGAGCCCAGTAGTTCGAGACCAGCTTGGGCAACATAGGGAGACCCAATTTCTACAAAATCACAAATAAAAAAATTAGCCAGCCTTGGTGGTACATGTCTGTGGTCCCAGCTACTTGGGAGACTGAGATAGGAGGATCCCTTGGGCCCAGAGGGCTGAGACTGCAGTGAGCAGTGATCATGCCTGGGTACTCCAGCCAGGGTGACAGAGTAAGACCCTGTCTCAAAAAAAAAAAAAAAAAAAAAAAAACAGAAAAAAGAAAAAAGAAAAGAAAATGGCTAACTGGCATCTAAGAGATACTTTCTAAAGAATCAAATGGAAAATAAGCACCTACTATGTCCCTAGTGCACTGCACAAATCTACCTAAATGCAGAGTACTACCACTTTTACATAGTAACATCCACAAATAGTTTCCCAAGGTTTACTACGTACCAGGCATCATTCTCAAAACATTTTTACACATATCAACTAATAAAACAATCCAACTCTCCAATAATAATACCCTAGGAGATAGTAAGCAGCAGAGCCAAAATTCAGACTCTTAAATTAAGGATGCTTTTCAAAGCTATTTTTTTTTAAGCCTGAAGGTTTAAATTGCTTCTTTCAAAACAGCATACTCCGATAGAGTGGTTTTTTGTTTGCTTTGGTGTGCTAAGTCTTTGAGTCACTGAGAAATGAGAGTTTGGACTATACAAGTAGTTTTCAAACTTTAACTGCAACCTTCAGTGAGAAATATATTTTATATCCTTACCCAATGCACACATATAAAGCCATGTACAACTCAAAGAAAAGTTCCATGAATATTTAACCTTTTAAATATTTACCCAAGCCTGGGCAACACAGCGATACTCTGTCTCTACAAAAAAATTTAAAACAATTAAGTGGGTGTGATGATGTACACCTCTAGTCCCAGCTACTCAGGAGGCTGAGGGGAGAGAACTGCTTGAGCCCAGGAATTTGAGGTTACAATGACCGATGAGTGTGCCACTGCACTCCAGCCTGGGTGACAGAGCAAGATCCTGTCTCAAAATAAATAATCTACTCAATATTTACCCTTACTTCTATGATGCACTGATTTGCACTATTTGTTTTCTTTTTTTCCCATTTTGTTTTTAATTGTTGCTTATAACCCACCAATGAGATATGACCCATAGCTTGGAAATCTCAACCAAGCTTGATAAACGTTCCCTCCATCACCTTTATTGTGCCTGAAACAACGTTAGGCATTTTACAGTCATGATAGCATTTACTCTCCACAGCTACTCTCGGAGGTTCCTATGGCTATCCCTATTTTACGGATGAGGAAATAAGCTCAGAACTAAAGCAGCTTATGCAAGCCCTTAGCCTGTGACAGAGACAGAGGAAATTCACCAAACTGCTCCCCTAATTTCAAACATCCTTTCAGTTAGGTGGGGAAATGTGTTTACTTTTTTATTTTTTGAGACAGAATCTCACTCTGTCACGCGTGCTGGAGTGCAGTGGTACAATTTTGGCTCACTGCAACCTCCGCCTCCCAGGTTCAAGCGATTCTCCTACCTCAGCCTCCCAAGTAGCCAGGATTACAGGCGCATGGTACCACGCCCAGCTAATTCTTGTATTTTTAGTTGAGATGGGGTTTTGCCGTGTTGGTCAGGCTGGTCTCAAACTCCTGACCTTGTGATCTGCCCGCCTCAGCCTCCCAAAGTACTGGGATTACAGGCATGAGCCACCGTGCCCGGCCTAGTCTTATACACACTGTTACCACTGCTCAGAATCCCTCCCCATTCCTTTCTCTAGTCTTTCATGCCTTATGCTGGGATTTTACTTCCCACAGGACTCCTTCCTGACTGAGAGCCTCTCTGCCCCTGAGCACCTTCATTTATAACATTGCTATTTTTTTTTTTTTTTTTGAGATAGAGTTTCGCTTTTGTCACCCAGGCTGGAGTGCAATGGTGCAATCTCAGCTCACCAAAACCTCCACCTCCCGGGTTCAAGCAATTCTCCTGCCTCAGCCTCCCGAGTAGCTGGGATTACAGGCATGTGCCACCACACTCTGCTAATTTTGTATATATATATATATTTTTTAGTAGAGACGGGGTATCTCCATGTTGGTCAGACTGGTCTCGAACTCCTGACCTCAGGTGATCTGCCCACCTCAGCCTCCCAAAGTGCTGGGATTATAGGCGTGAGCCACCATGCCCGGCCAGCACTGCTATTTTTACAGCACTGGTTTTACAACATTTTCTAATTGTCACTATCTTATGTTCCAACCAGACAATAAAGTCCTTAAGAGCAAGATCTACAATAGGCACTAAAAATTATTGGAACAAGTAGCTGGCAACATATAAACACATTTCTTCTTCCTGAAACACGATGTGTCCAATCCTAGAGTCAGTCTTTCAGAAAAATTCAGAATACATACGCTTCACTTTGAATACAACCATGAAAGCATTACATTTTGGAGGCCAACATTTTTTAGCTTACAAAACTGGTTTTTAGTTTCAGAAGTACCCTATGAATGGTCCACATTCTGTCTGAGAATGCCAGTCTTTTGCTTATAGATTTCTAACTTAAAAATAACAGTCTGGTTCTTCTTAGGGAGAAAATATCTTGTACAGGTTGAGTATCCCTTATCCCAAATGCTTGAGACCAGAAGTGTTCTGGATTTTGAACTTCAGATTTTAGAATATTAACATTGTACTTACCAGTAGAGCATCCCTAATATGAAAATCTGAAATCTGAAATTCTTCAATGAGCATTTCCTTTGGGCCTCATGTCAGGGATCAAAAGTTCTAAATTTTGGAGCATTTCAGGTTTCAGAGTTTCAGTAACTTCAGTACTTTAAAAGTGTGTTTTTGAAAGTTTTGTTCTGGCCGGATGCGGTGGCTCACGCCTGTAATCCCAGCACTTTGGGAGGCCGAGGCGGACGGATCACGAGGTCAGGAGATCGAGACCATCCTGGCTAACACGGTGAAACCCCGTCTCTACTAAAAATACAAAACATTTAGCCGGGCATGGTGGCGGGCACCTGTAGTCCCAGCTACTAGGGAGGCTGGGGCAGGAGAATGGCATGAACCTGAGAGGCGGAGCTTGCAGTGAGCCGAGGTCGAGCCACTGCACTCCAGCCTGGGTGACAGAGCGCAACTCCATCTCAAAAAAAAAAATTTTTGTTCTGTTAAACTGCTATCATAATTGAAAATTCTTTTGCTTAAGCTGGTTGTATCAGAAGTATTAAATACTGGAGATCTTTAGAACTTTCTGTTGAGTGAATCAATTGAAGTACTGTATGAAAATAGCAAATATGCAAATCAGAAAGGGGAGGAGCTTAGGCCAAACTGTTCAGAAGGAAAGAAAAACAGGTTTCCTTCCAAATGGGGAAAAGGCAACTGGAAAGATTTTTACCTGTTGCACAACTTTTTATTATCTCTTTCTGCTAGGCCAATCAACGATTGAGAGCTGTGAACTTGGAAAAGCAAATGCTCTGATAAATTAAGCAACTCCAGCTCTTTGACTAGGAAAGTTTTAAAGTCAGAGTTAAAGATTAAGTCTTCAATTAAACATTTTTATTTTTTTACTTGAAGTTGCCATGAATATTCAAGTTTCTAACATCCTAAAAGGGCTTTATTTTAGGAGTGAAAAGATTCTGGATAAACTAAAAGGTTATTCTACCATGAGAAGACCGCGATAAGTGGTGCTGGAACATGTAAGAATGGCTTGTAAAGGTACTGACCTCTGCCACTATGTTGTACATCTTTCCTTCTGACTCTGTTATATGTTAAGTTTTTAAATGTGTGGTCTCGAATGCTCATACTTCTTATGGAGATTATACGACCATGGAGATAATCATTTGTATGACTAGGAAAGAACAGTCTTCTTTCATGTGGCTTTCATCTTTAAAAGCCCAACTGCTCAGCTACCCACAAAAGATCTTAACCAAGACAAACTGATCCAATGGCAATTTCCCAAGAAGAGAAGAAAACAAACAGCCCCACTCTAGCTTTGCAAAACTTGGTCTGCAGACCAAGGGTGAATGTCACAACTCGGCCCCTCCCCTTTCAGAATGTATCCAGACTCATCAACCATTGCCTACACATAATGACTAACTTCCATACCACAGGAAATAGGCTGTTCTAGAAACCTGACATCTACAAGTAAGGTGGTCTTATAATTGTATATCCAAGGAGTTGCTTGGTTTGAACTCAAAATCTGCTCAAAGGATGCTTGCTGCGTGTCATCAATTAGATCTTAGTGGGAAGGCAGACTTGTAATCCTGCAAAACACAGCCTTCAGTAAAAGGCTTTTTCCACCTTGCCAATGTGCCCAATGACACAGGTCACGACACCTCTCTGAGACAAGACAGTAAGAATGACAAAATCGAAATTTACAAAGTATGAGGAATTGAAGCACAGATCCCACCTCAGTTGGGGAACATTTGAGAGTTTCTCATTATGAAGTCATGTAGAAACCTTGTATTAAATAAATGAAGTTCGAGGTTGCAGGGAACCATGATTAGGCTACTGCACTCAGCCTGGGCAACAGAGTAAGACCCCATCTCAAAATAAATAAATAAAATAAATTAGGAGAATAATGTTGGGCTATATCACTGCCACCATTTTGCTTTTTTTTTTTTTTTTTGAGACGGAGTCTGGCTCTGTCACCAGGCTGGAGTACAATGGCACAATCTTGGCTCTCTGCAACCTCTGCCTCCTGGGTTCAAGCAATTCTCCTGCCTCAGCCTCCTGAGTAGCTGGGACTACGGGCACCCGCCACCATACTCGGCTAATTTTTGTATTTTTAGTAGAGACATGGTTTCACCATGTTGGCCAGGATGGTCTCCATCTCTTTACCTCGTGATTCCGCCCGCCTCAGTCTCCCAAAAGTGCTGGGATTACAGGTGTGAGCCATTGCACCCGGCATTTTGCTCTATTTTAACCTAATCTTCACTAGTAACACTTGGCACAGGGACCTATCAGACTTGGATCCATCTTTATAGCAATTTTTTAAAACTAAAATCTGAAACACTAAATAACTTATTACAAGGAGCTATACCAGATCCATGGCCCTTTACAGCGTGTTAACTCAGAACAAGATCACTTGCAAACACAGACCAATCCCCAACTGTAGATAATAAAAGATGACAGTGTAAAGATACACAGAAAATGTTTAGGGACTACAGGTAATTAAGGCTTTAAAAAAAAAAAAACATAAACTACATCTGAAAGCAGCTTTTTCGGCTTCTATTGCTTAACAGAGATTTCCATTTTATTCTGGGTTTTACTGAAAAAGCAAGTGCCTCCCACAGTAGTCTGTATCATTTCTACTACTACTCGTTTCCCTTCTCAAGACCCCACTATGTTGAATTATGAGCAATATGACAAAGTGAAATGAGATTTTAAATACTGCCTGCCTCAGTGTTTAACATCATTTTAGGGCACATATCCCACTGTCCCTTTAAAGCAGTCACCAGGAAGAAGTAATCTACAGGTCAGCTCTTGAGATGGGACAGAGCCTTGAATCCATGCACTGGCTTGGGTTCAAGAAGCAATTAGGCTTTTTCTCCCACCCCAACAGAACAAGTCAGACCCTAACTTTACTTCTAACATGGGGAGTCCCAACAGCAAACAATGAGGAACTGAGGAGCAATCCAGGTAGCCGGGAAACTGCTAAAGGTGAAAGAGTAAACAATATTATTCATTTTTTCATTGAAAAAAAAAAAAAAGGCCACCAATACTAATGGCTATGGTATTTTAAATTCTACATAACCTACTTGTGGGTATTTTTGTCACAAATGCAAAAAAAGAAATTTGTCAATTTGCTTGAGTTAGTCAAGTCTTTATTTTTTTGCCTGAGACTTCTGAAGGCAAGTCTTTAAGTCCTGAAATCGGGACCTGCTCAGCAGTGGCCATCACCACAAAGACTTCATTGAATAAGGTGTGGCGCTGCACTAGAGTTACTGAGTCTTGGAACCTACAAACTTCAGCCATTCATATCCCATCTTTACCATCCCATCTACTGTTCACCTAATATTTTTCTTAAAAGCTTCTTTAAAAACTGCATCTACTGTTAAATAAAAATGATAGAAGACCATGGTTCTGGACTAAGCTCCTGCACTAGGCTCCAAGAGACCAGACTAAAAATCAAAATGGAGTCATTCATGCCCAAACTAAGTTTGTTATCTGACCTTCCCAGAAACCAGGAGAAAGAGATAACATCCAACTTCCCAAACTCCATGTTTAAATCTTCAACTGGCACGATAATGAAGTTCCCTAGTTTTAAACCTTACACACAAACACACACAAAAGTCTGAAGTAATCTAATGTTAACTATTCAGTTATTTCTCTATTGTTCTGTTTCCCTGTCCTGCCTTACAAGAAAAGCAGCTTTAAAAGGACTGATACACTCTTTGTTCTTTGCTTCTGCTTTCTTCAGCCCTTCTGTCTATAAAGCCAACTCCTGCTTTAGCTCATCTAAACACTTATTCTATATTATGGAATGAAACATTGCCCAATTCTAGAATTGCAATACAGCCAGTTGAGATCTGGAAACTAAATTGGTTGCAATTTTGTCTTTGACATGACTTTAGTATCATCCTAAGCACTATTGTCCATGAATTCATAGGTGTGATATGATAGTTATGTTTTCATTCATACACATTAAAAAACAGAACTAGTAGGCTGGGCGCTGTGGCTCACACCTGTAATCCCAGCACTTTGGGAGGCCAAGGAGGGTGGATCGCCTGAGGTAAGGAGTTCAAGACCAGCCTGGCCAACATGGTGCAACCCTGTTACAAAAATTAGCAGGGCGTGGTGGCGGGTGCCTGTAATCCCAGCTACTCGGGAGGCTGAGGCAGGAGAATCACTTGAACCCAGGAGGCAGAGGTTGCAGTGAGCCAAGATAGCGCCACTGCACTCCAGCCTGGGAGACAGAGCAAGATTCCATCTCAAAAAGTAAGTAAATACAATAAAAAACAGAACTAGTAAATGAAAAGTATTCATCATGTGCCACCAAAAATCATCTTATGCACCATCAGCAGTAAAAAAACACATGAGTATTCATTTCAGCAACACATAAATTACAAGTGTAACCAAAGCCACACTTTGAGAAACAGTGATTTAGTCCTAAATCCTTTATGTCATAGTTAAAGAAACAGACTGAGAGGGGATGTGATCTGCCCAAGGAAAAGCAGCAATGGTGGCAGAGTCTAGACTAGAACTAAGGACTTAATCCAATGGTAGTCCCACTACAGTAGACTGTCTTGGTTCTTGAGCTACAGGAAGAATTAGAGACCTGGCCTCAGAGGAGTTCACCAACAAGTAAACTCTAAGCAGTCAGGAAGCCCTTTTGCATGTGGATCTGGGCTTTTCTCTTTATCTGAGACTCTGTCAAACATTATCTAGACTGGCTGAAATAAATCTATTTCTTTTCCCAAAGTCTAATGTGGTTTTGCCCAACTCACTGAACCTCAAGGCATACAGTCAAAGATAAAAATGTCTCCTGGATCAGTTTCCCAATTTTTGATCCAACAGTATCCTAGCCCCTGTCCCCACTGCTAGACTTATACAGGCTCCATAGGGTTTCAGGAGGAAGATTTTCCATCTCTGGGTTTTAGGCCAGCTTTGGAAACATGCTGGAAGTTTCCATTACAGAGTCACTAGTGTATTTCCCAGATACCCAGAGGACAGGTTTTATTTTCAAATGATACATAACTTGTGTCTACTGTGTGCCTAGCAATCTTTTTATACACTGTCCCATAAACTGACTATAAGAGGAGGTAAAATGATATACATGATTCTTGACTCCTTGGGAATTAGCTGCCATTCCAGGTGGGCATAGCAATGGATGCCATGTAGCCAATAATAGCTAATGTTATTAAATGTTTGTTTTTATGCCCAGCACTGTGCCATGTCCTTCGAATGTACTATCTTATTGAATCCTCACAACCATTTACTGTGATTACCCTCACTCCATACATGAGGAAGCTGAGGCTTAGAGAGAGAAATGGCTCATCCAAGGTCAAGTGGCAAGTCGGTGATAAAGTTCAGACTCAAACCCAGACTGACTCTAGAGACTATGTTCTCTTAACCAAGGCACTATGTACATCTATTTTTTGTTTGTTTTGAGCAGGGTCTCACTTTGTCACCCCGAATGGAGTGCAGTGACACGATCACAGCTCACTACAGCCTCAACTTTCCGGGCTAGGGTGATTCTCCTCAGTCTCCCAAGTAGCTGGGACCACAGGCGGGCACCACCATGCCTGGCTAACTTTTGTATTTTCTGTAGAGCCAGGGTTTCACCATGTTGCCCAGGCTAGTCTTGAACTGGTGGGCTTAAGTGATCCTCCCTGGCTAGGCCTCTTAAAATGCTAGGACTACAGGCATGAGCCACCATGCCTGGCCCACTATGTATATCTAAATCTTTTAAAAAGTCATATTAAAAAGTAACATGGGCCAGGTGCCGTGGCTCACACCTGTAATCCCTGCACTTTGGGAGGCCGAGGCAGGTGGATCACTTGAGGTCAGGAGTTCGAGACCAGCCTGGCCAACATAATGAAACCCCATTTCTTCTAAAAATACAAAAATTAGCCAGGGCCAGGCACAGTGGCTCACATCTGTAATCCCAGCACTTTGGGAGGCCAAGGTGGGTAGATCACTTGAGGTCAGGAATTCGAGACCAGTCTGGCCAATATAGTGAAACCCCATCTCTACTAAAAACACAAAAATTAGCCGGGCGTGGTGGCACATGCCTGTAGTCCCAGCTACTTGGGAGGCTGAGGCAGAACTGCTTGAGCCCAGGAGGCGGAGGTTGCAGTGAGCTGAGATCGCACCACTGCACTCCAGCCTAGGTGACAAAGTGAGACTCCATCTCAAAAAAAAAAAAAAAAAATTAGCCAGGCGTGGTGGCACATGCCTGTAATCCCAACTACTCGGGAAGCTGAGGTAGGAGAATCGCTTGAACCTGGGAGGGAGAGGTTGCAGTGAGCTAAGATCGTGCCACTGCACTCCAGGCTGGGCAACAGAGTGAAGAAAAAAAAAAAAGGTAACATGAAATCTGTATTATAAAGTAAGCTGGTTTCTTGCATTAGGGAAGTCTAGACCTAATGCACCTTTGAAGTTCAAGAATACTGACTATTCTGGGAATGCCATTTCATACTAATTGAAGGAGGAATTTGCTGCTTATAATCTAAAGCTAATCAACTTGCAGTATCTGGTGTGTCAAGAAATGACAATTGTTAATTATCATTTAAATCAACTTTAGGTACCCTTATTCCGTTACTACTTACAAGATACAAAACTGGAGTACTAATGGAGTATTAGAAAAATGTATTTGGTCTTTGTCCCTGGTTCCTGCCAGAGATCCTAAAACCCTTGGAATTTTCTGTCTTTTATTATTCATGAAGAGCCCTCTGGACCACATGCCAGAGTTTATGCTAACAAGGTGATTTCACCATGGGCCCTTATAGTTTCCAGTGAAGGGCTAGCCAAACCAGAAAGACCAAGCACATGATTAGACCTCAAAGCCCTACTTTCTGAGCTTTGGGGAGGGGAGGGCTGGCTAGAGACAGAGTTCAATCACCAATGGTCAATGATCATGCCTAAGTAATGAAACCTCAATCAGAACTCCGAAACAATGAGGCTGGGAGAGCTTCCAGGTTGGTAAAAGCATTTATGAGCTAGGAGTGGCACACCAGAAGGGGCATGGAAGCTCTGCACCCCCAACTCATACCTTGCCCTATGCGTCTCTTCCATTCAGCTGTTCCTGAGTTATAAATAAATCCTTTGTAACAAAACTGTAATCCTAAATATCATGCTTTCCTGAGTTCTATGACTCATGATAGCAAATTATCAAACCTGGGATGGGGAGTCATGGGAACCTCCAAATTTATAGTCTGCTGGGCAGAAGTTCAGGTAACGTACAAATACCCAATACCTGCAGCTGGCATCTGAAGTGGGGCAATTTTGAGGTAATGCGTAAGTAATATGTGGGATCTGAGGGTGTGGGGGCCCACACCTGTAATCCCAGCACTTTGAGAGGCCAAGGCAAGAGGATCGCTTGAGGCAGTTTGAGACCAGCCTGGGCAACAAGCAAGACTCCATCTCTACAAAAAAAAAATTTTTTTTAACTAGCCAGCCATGGAGGTGTGTGCCTCTGGTCCTAGCTACTTGGGAGGCTGAGGTGGGGAGATCACTTGAGCCCCAGAGTTTGAAATGACAGTGAGCTATGATAGCACCACTGCACTCTAGCCTGGGCGACAGGGCAAGACCCTGTCTCTATAAACAAAAAATGAAATAAACAGGTGGGGTCTGTGCTAACTCCACGCAGTAACAGAACTAAACTGCTGGACACTCAACTGCTGCCCAAGAACTGTTGGAATGATATAATTAATCACCTCATTAAGAGGTCCACACTAAAACTAACCATTCTGATGCTCAGAAGCCACTTCCCTGCTTGATCTAATCATTAAATCTACACCTGTCACCAATTCAGAGCACTGCTTGCAGGTCGGCACTAGCAGGAAATCAGGTCCTATGGACAGATCACAGCACCTGGTCAAAATTTTTTTTTTTTTTTTTAAAGAAGAAAGACTAATTTGGCCTGCCAAAGAGAACATGGATGTTGTAGAAATGTGAAGTAAAAAATGATTTTTTTTTTTTGAGATGGAGTCTCACTCTATCGCCCAGGCTGAAGTGCTGTGGCGCGATCTTGGCTCACTGCAATCTCTGCCACCAGGGTTCAAGCAATTCTCCTGCCTCAGCCTCCCGAATAGCTACGATTACAGGCGCCTGCCACCATGCCCGGCTAATTTTTGTATTTTTAGTAGAGATGGGGTTTCACCATCTTGGCCAGGCTAGTCTTGAACTCCTGACCTCGTGATCCACCCACCTCGGCCTCCCAAAGTGCTGGGATTACCGGCGT
Organism: Homo sapiens; assembly: GCF_000001405.40. Taxonomy (NCBI): domain Eukaryota; kingdom Metazoa; phylum Chordata; class Mammalia; order Primates; family Hominidae; genus Homo; species Homo sapiens. The sequence continues at coordinate 20,891,274 of NC_000016.10, forward strand.
GAGCCACCATACCCGGCCGATTTTCTTTAATTAGTTTTTTCACATTACAGTTCCCACAAGAGAATCATTAATTACCTCAGCAATTGACATGTAACTGTTCCGTTTGGATAGCAAACATTGTTAAATGTCAAGAGCCACTATCCAGTGTTCTCTAATGCTCTAACGGATACAAATAATTACAATCCCTTCTTTACCAACTTCCGATTTGTCAAAATAAAGCCCTAAGAGACAGGGATGGAGGCCGGGGGAATTGGCCAGCAGTCTGTAAAGATGACTGGTCTCCAAGATGGGAAGTTGTCAGAGAGGAGGACATGTAGGGTAGCCGGCCTTCGAGGGGGCACAGTGGTGATGGGTGGTGGGTGTGGAGTGGGGAGAAATGCCCATCAGTGGTCTAGCCTGGACCAGGGATAACTCCTGATTATGGCTGATTAGTCCATCTTGGAGAACAATTTGGCCAAACCAGCCACTGTGTCCCTGTGCTCATCCCTCTTAGGCAGAAATATGCTTTCCAGTTGGGAGAGGACTTGTGATCAGAGCCCTGGCCAGGGCCAGTACACTGCCCAACTCCAGAGGACCCTGTCCCCTCCTTGTGAACGGCATTCCCTGGAGTTGGGCAATCTTGTGGGCCTGCTCCTTCCCTACCCTCTGTCCCCAGTAAGTGCACTGTTAGTATTTTGCAGCCTCTCCCAGCTAGACCACTGATGGGCTTTTCTCCCCAGTCCACAATACCACCAACCACCGTGTCCTCTCAAAGGCCAGCTACCCTACACAAGCTCATCTCCGACAACTGAACCTCCCATCTTAGTGCTCTGGGAGTCTTTAGGCTTTTCTCTTTCCTAAAAAGTTAGGAAACTCTCAAGCAGAATGCTCCTCACCGTGGGCATGAGATACACCAACTGTTTTGAGTAAATGACTGAACAACTGACTATTTCAAAGAACAACTAAATTTCTAAGAGAAAAAGAATCTGACAACATTCTCAAAAGTAGACACACAGCATTCACTCTATCACTCCTCACTCTCTAATTCCACTTACTGAGAAGGAAGAAAATGTCACAACTGGGGAAAAACACCTCCTCAGAGGGCCTGAGACTTCCAGTGTGCCCCTAGATGCTGTCTCATAGGACCCACACTGCTAGAGTCCCGGCACCTTCACTGTAATGGTATTATTCACCTCCCCCTCCTGTTTAAAGAGCACTTACTAGGCAAGTCATTAAGTAGACATAAAGCAACTATTTAATTGAAAGCCAATTTGCTTTACAGATATTTTTTAAAAATAAGGAATGCATGTCCATGGTGGTTATTTCCACAGAGCTGTTCAGAAGCTGTTCTGTCCATGGATCCACCTGGATTCTCCTCTTCAAATTCCAGGGCAGGTCACAGGAAATGGAAGTCTGGTTTAGCATTTTGCACTGGTGTTCGAGAACAGGCCCACTTGCTTATCTGAAAAACTTACAGTGCACTGACCATTTTGGGGTTGGTTTGGGGGGGAAAAAAAGAAAACTTACAGGGATAATGCCTCAACTCCTATTTGAATGTAATATGGTCACTTTCAGAACTATTCTGAAGAAAAAAGCCCAGCTTTCTATCAAGTATCCACAACCACTACTAAAACTAAGAAGCCTCTCATCCCACTACCATTAATAACCTCGCTTCACATATGCTTCACTATAGGGAGTCTTCTTTGAAAGATGAAGAGTTTGTGACAAAATGTTTGAGTACAGAACCCAAGAACACAGAGTCCAAACACCAAGGATTCAATTAAACTTTATCGGGTGCCTACACCAACTTGTTTGAGAGATGCAGTGCAACAGACAGAACAAGAATTAGTGCAGAGAAGGCCTGATTCTAGCCTTGCTGCTGCCTAGAGCTTGCTCTGTAACTTTAAGCATTTACTCATCTTTTTTTTTTTTTTTAAATGAGACAGGGTCTCACTCTGTCACCAAGGCTACAGTGCAGTGGTGCGATCTCAGCTCACTGCAGCCTGACCTTCTGGGCTCAAGTGATCCTGCTGCCTCAGCCTCCCAAGCAGGTGACACTACAGGTGCACACCACCACGCCCAGCTCCTTTCCCTTATTTCTTGTAAAATGAGGTCTCACTGTGTTGCCCAGACTGGTCTCAAACTCCTGGGCTCAAGAGATTCTCCCGTCTAAGCCTCCCAAAGTACTGGGATTACACGCATGCAGTGCATTACCATGCCTGGCCTACTTATTTTTCTTGATTTCTGTTTTCCCACTGAAAATAACCACTTTTCAACCTGTTTTCAGCCTCAGAACATTTTATTCAACTAGAATCTAATAGGGTAGCCCAATATAACAGAATATTACAGTAACTTTTCACAGACTGAAGTAGTAACGTGAAACAGAAGGAAAACAGCAAAACCCCCTCATCCCTGCCACAAGCATACTTCAACAATGGCGGAGAGGGCTCCTCAAAGCCCAGCTTGAAATAAACACCAGATATGCTAAGATTCTGCAAGGGTCTGACTTTTTCCTGCTTCTCCTAAACTTCAGGAAGGGGAATTAACAGCATTCAAAGTAGTAATGCTATGACTTGAGACTCGTTCAGAATCAAAATTAAAGGACACATACTAATCCACTTTAAGCAAACACTGCATAGAGTTCAAACCCATCATGAATGATAGAGAGCTAAAAGCTGTAACCCAACTCTGCCGCTTGTGTGGAAACAATCTGCTACTAAAATAAAGGAGCAGGCCAGGTGTGGTGGCTCACGCCTGTAACCCCAGCACTTTGGGAGGCCGAGGCAGGCAGATCACTTGAGGTGAGAAGTCTGAGACCAGCCTGGGCAACACAGCGAAACCCCATCTCTATTAAAAATACAATAAATTAGTGGTGCATGGTGGTGCAGGCCTGTAGTCCCAGCTACTCAGGAGGGCTGAGACAGGAGGATCGCTTGAGCCTGGGAGGTCGAGGCTGCCGTGAGCCTTGATCATGCCACTGCATTCCAGCCTGGGCCACTGAGTCCAGCCTGAGACTCTGTCTCAAAAAATAAATGAATACATAATAAATCAAAAAGGGGCAGGTTTTTTCAACACTTTCTCTTGGCCCAACAGGCAGAAAGAGGGGCAGTGGCTCCGAGATGCTAAGCAGTCTCAAAAATGAAGAGTCCCACACTATACACTGCTGCTATCTGAGATTCTTAGTCAGTCATCAGACCTGGTATGAATCTGCAGGCCCAAGTGACAGAATTATTTCTAGTCACCAGGTCCTGCGGTTGAGCCCTCCAGCAGAGCAGGGCACAAAAGGATCAGGGATGATGCTTCCCAACACTATGCAATCCAAGCTTCTGTGTGGCAATTCAATCCCAAGCCTAACAATATAGTACAGCTCAAAGGACACTCTTGAACAAGGTCAAGCCCTCAGGAAGGTAGACGAAGTCATTGACATGTCTGCCTTTGCATGCAACCAGGCTGGTATCCAGGCTCTGGGCACAGGTGACTTATTTTGCCACAAGAGCTAATCACCACCTCAAGACTGATTTACTAAGCTTCCCTGTTCTGATGTATGGTATTTAAAGAAGGTCTCATTTGCACACATCTTAAAGAAAATGATTTCCCTATCTGCCATTCTCTTCTTTCAACATGTCACAACTTCAAAGAATAAGAGTTTGAGCCACTTCCAATCTTTTCTTTCATTTTCAGTGCAATTGGCCATCTGTATCAATAGGTTCTACATTGGCAGATTCGACCAACCATGGGTCAAAAATATTTGGAAAAAAAAAACCTAATAACAATACAACAATAAAAAATAATATGAATTTTTTAAAATACAGCATAGCAACTATTTACATACCACTTACATTGTATTTGGCTGTTGTTTTTGAGATGGGGTCTTGCTCTGTCACCTAGGCTGGAGTGCAGCAGCTCCATCACGGCTACTACAGCCTCAACTTCCTGGGTTCAAGCAATTCTCCTGCCTTAGCCACCCCAGTAGCTGGGACTACAGGCATGCACCACCATGCCTGGCTAAGTTTTTTAAATTTTTTTAGAGACAGGGCCTGACTATCTTGCGTAGGCTGGACTTGAACTCCTGGCCTCCAAGCAATCCTCCCACATAATAAAACAAAAAGGGGGCAGGTATTTGTAGTAGCCTCCTAACGTGCTGGGATTACAGGAATGAGCCACCACACCCAAACTGTATTAGGCATTATAAGTAATCTGGAAATGCCTCCTGAGTAGCTGGGACTACAGATGTGCATCACCGCCACTCCCTGCACCTTCCCATATACTACCACTTTATGTAAGTCTTGATCATTTGTGAATTTGGTAACTAAGGGGTCCAAAACCAATCCCCCAGGATACCAAGGGGATGTAAATATGTTACGCTCTAGTTTGTAATTATTCACTGATTAAACGGTCAAGTTCTGTGGTAATCCCTTCTCACCACCCAAAAGAATAGGATTCACCATCATCTAGGAACACAGACGTAAGAACTAGTGAAACTAGATTTGAACTGAAAGACACTAACTCAATTAACCCTGGTCCATTGTGCAAAGAGCTCCAGAACAGTCTAAACAGACACAAAGAGATAATTTTAAGTTATCAAGACCCGGGAAAACAGGAGTTACCACGTCATTACCATTGTTTCAATCTAAGTTACCACTTCTTCACCTCAAAACAACTGGCAACTACTGCACAATTAAATGTCCTTACTTCAGCACATAGACAGTCCCAGACTACTTCAAGTACTTACACAACCATTCTGTTTTTCACTTCCAGTATTCACTCAATAAATTACATGAGATATTCAATATTTTATTATAAAATAGGCTCATTAGATGCATTTGCCAAACATGCCAAACATGCAGGTTCTTGGCATGTTTAAGGTAGGCTAGGCTAAGCTATGATGTTCGGTAGGTGAGGTATATTAAATGCATTTTTTTACTAACAATATTTTCAACTTATGATGGGGTTATAAAAGGTAACCCCACTGTAAATCAAAGAGCATCTGTACACCAAAACAGTAGCAAAATCTGATTACCTTTTAGTCGTGTAATGCAATGTAAAACCACTTACCCACAACTCCAATAGCAAGTGGCATCAACTGGCTTTCTAGGTTGCCCACCTTTCAGAAGAGTTTGTCCAAAAGCCTGCAAAGTGTAAGAAATAAATCCACTGGTACCCTAAATTAAAAGGCCAGCTCAGCTCCGAAAATCCAATCCACTTAAATTTGTGGATTCTTTCCCCAAACACAATTAGTAGCCAATGTAGGAGACAATGGCTTCTCCTTGTGTTCAAGTCCCCTCCTACCCACCCGCCCCCTTTCAAAAATTAGAAAAGAGCCACCAGTCTCCAAACTGGCTGATGAAACTTCAGCCTACAGGATATTTTCATATTTGAGTTACAATAAACCATTGAAATGAAAATGAAGTGGAGAGCTTAATAACCCATCAGATAGAGCATTTTATGCCAAGCATCAGCATATAAGTTAAGTCCAAAACCTTTAACCTGGGCCAAAGCCAAATAATTAAATTAACAAATCTCACTACCAATTCTCTATTCCTTTGAGATACTCTAGTATGAAGAGTAGAAGTTGCCTGTTCCTAGATGTTTACTTTAGTCATTTGCTTGCTAACTAAAAGACATTCTGTTTGCAATCAAATCAGAATTAGTAATTCAGTACCAGGATCTACCTCGTCCCCTTCATTGCCCCCAGAACTGCCCAGAAAGCTCTGTTCAAGTTTTCGATAATCCTTCTACAGGTGCCACGAGAATACTAGAACCTAAAACAGGTGACAAGTCCTCAATTTCTGATTCGTTTTCCCCAAACACTAAAAGGTTTTATTTAGCATTTCTAATACTGAGTTTACTACAAATAGCCCAAGCAACATTTAAGTCTCTCAACTGCCTGGCTCAAAGAGCCAATTCACTCAAAGAACACACTAGTCACTGTTGTAGGGTTCAAGAGAAGAAAAAAGCATATTCTGTTTCAGCCCAGTGTGACATGGCTCAAGAGGGCCAAATCAAGGAGTCTTGATTGGGCCTCTCAAGTGGACGGTCTGGTCAAGGTGAGGCTGAAAAGCAGCACACCATTAGAGATGAATGCCCTCAGCAGAAGGCAAAAGTAGGTTACATCCCTTGGTTACGTGCCAGCCCAAAGATGCCGACACAGTGGAATTGAGCCCCACAATGGTCATTTATCTAATGTAATCCACTGAGTGAACTTTTAGTACCAACCTACACCTCAGCTGAGTGTTATTAGTCATCAGAAGGATCAGACAAGAGTGGAACTATTGCAACATAAACTGCCTCCCTACAAAAGACAACTTGAAACTTAGATCCTGATGGTCATCTTGGTAGATGGATAAGGGCATATTATTAACACTTGCCCAGTCCTTAAATTCATACAGAGCTGGAAACAAAGGAGGATTCGTATACTAGAACACATTCAGAGAACTTATTATGCAGTTTTAAACAGCAGTATATAAGACAAAATAAAGAAAGAGGTGTGTCCTCAATTGAACATCCTGCTGAAAATCTGAACACCCAGCTTGAAATTTATCTGCCAGAAAAGACCCAGGTGACCACTGCCTCTTCCTCTCCCACTCAGCAGAGTGACTTTATTATGATAGTCCAACAGTACCTGCAAAAACAGTAAGTGATAAGACCCTAGTTAAGGCGACAGAATTAATCAACAAGCAGCATCATTTTCTACTTCCTACTCCTTCTGGCAATTTGTTTGCCTACCTATTCTGAGCCCCATATCCACCTCTCTGACCTTATCTCCAACTCTCCCCCGTGTTCACTAAGCTCTGGCTATTACTCACCCAACCCATCCTCTTTCCACTACCTCCCACCTACCCTGACCCTTTCTTCCCATTCCCTGGAACTTGACAAGCGCATTCCAGCCAGTTTCTGCACCAGCTGTTCCCTGAACCTGGAAGGATCTTCCCCTTTTCTTTGGATGGCTGGCTCCTTCTTTATACTTAAAGCTCAACTTAAGTGTCACTTCCTCAGAAAGATCCTCTTTGACTGCATCTACAGTTAAGACACTTTCAATCACATCACTCTTATTTTCTTCAGCGCTTGATCAAAATCTGGTTTACTGGGATATATATTATGTCTCTCTCTGTCCCCAGCTCCCACTCCGATGTAAGCTCCATGAAAGGGTGAACCTTTTGCTTGTGTTCACCTGTGTACACCCAGTGCCTGAAACACTGGCTAGCACTTAGGAGTCAATAAATGTTTGTTGAATTAATGAACTGTGAACTTTTTAGTCAATGGCAAACTAGGTTCTAAATCAGTTAAAGTGAGAACAGTAGTCATTCTTCTGTTGTATTTTTGTGAAACATCTAAACACGCTGTTACTGGTATAATCAAGCATTAAATATTCTGTTTTTTAGGGCCCGAAAGCCCTGAATAGGACTTCCTAGCATCAGATCTTCCTAGCACTATGCATATCAAGCTCAGTTACAGAAGGACAGGACTTACGGGCACTTTCTAATCAAAGGACTCCGAAAATGTAGGCACTATCTCTTAAAGTTCTTCAGAAAACAGTTTCAGATTCTACAAAAGATTTCCGAAGAATGTATCAACACCAAAAGGAAAATCATAACACTTCACTCTGATATCTGTCTGAGAGGCTAGAAGAGTGCTCCTTGATTTTTTTTAAACCAACAGCATATCAACAAAGAGGCCTTCTTTCCATTCTTTGCTTCAAATAATTTTTTCACATCCGTTATTGGTTTGTATTCGCCCTTAAACCAAAACTAAACAGATCACACTGTCTCATTTAGGACCCCCATACACAAAGAATCAGCTACGTAAAGATGAAAATCAGCACAAGCTGAACGTGTCACTGATGATTTGTGTGTCACACATAAATGGAGAAAAACATAAAAGAGCTATTGTCCAATTGTAGAAACAAAAAAGTAATATGGGGTTTTCTGTTCTCTGAAGTGCATCATGAAAAGTGGGTGGAGAGAAACACAGAAATCCAGAATTAGCCTAGCAAATCATTTTGGGAAGAGCTGACAACATGTAAATTCCTCACACATAAAGTATTTCGAGCAAGAGACCTTGATTCCTGGGCTATGATGCCATTCAGGATTCCTTGCAAAGGCTCTGGAATTCCAGTATTCATAAAAGAAAATGCTCATTATAATCGGAGCGTAAGAGGTACTCCCAACGTGACAGCCTGTATGAAGTATTACAAAGCTTACAGTTAAGATCTGGGATAGAGGCTGAACACCAAATTCAAAAGAGGTAACCAAGGCACTAAGTGCCATAAAGGAGGAAAGGGGAAGAAAAAAAAATCCACTATTGCCACTCAGCCACAGAGAATTAAAGTGGAAACCAGGGGTGTGCATGGGGGAGGATGAGGGGTGAGAAGTGCGGGGGGTGTGGTGGAGGAACAAACAATACATTTGTCACCCCGTCCCACTTCCTATAGAGGATACAGGCAAAGCCTCCAGCCTCATTACCTCGGACACAGATGGTTATCGTTTATAGCAAAGGTGCACAAAAAGGCCTTCAGGTCTGAGCCCCTTAATTCCAGGGCTGTTAATGATTAAAGAGAACGATGGGGGTGGGGAGGGAAATGAGGGCGGAGGGAGCTGGGAGATTCACCCACCACCTCCCCCTAGGGCTCCTACCTCACAGCGCTCACCCAGGACAGAGGACCAGAGTCTGCACCCCCTCCAGGGCAGCTCCAACCCCATATCCCCAGGCCCTGGGTTGAGGGGTGCTGGCGGTGGGGAGGCAGGGACAGTAGGTAAGTTTTCTGAGCCCTGCGGCTGACACGCCACAGGCTCCCCTCACAGCCTCTTCTTTCAGAGGTACCACTCCAGACAACGCGCTGACTTCCACTCCTCCCTTTCCACCCCCCTTTCTCGAAGGTACCCAACCCCCGCCCCTTCATCTCTCAATGCCCCCCCGCCTTTTCCTCAACTCCCCCCCTCCCCAAAACTCACAGCTGCTCCAGAGGTTCCTCCAGTCAAACCCTTTCTGGAAACGACGGCGGCCCGGCGGGTCCAAACCACCTACCATCCCCGCTCGCGTTTCCAGGCTCCCTACCCCCGCCGCCGCCGCCTCTTCTTCCACCACTGCCACCGCCTCCTCTTCATCTGCGGCCCACCGGCGGCGGCCGCCCCGAAGCCCCGCCCCCTCCATCGCCTCCTGCATCATCACTTCCGGTAACCCCGCCGGCCGCCAGCTCCAGGAGGGAGAATGGGAGAGGGGCAAGGAGGGAACGAGTGGAAGATTGCGTCACGACGCACATAAAGACGTACGAAGCCGTCGCCAAGTAAGGGCAAAGACCTAGCAACCCGGAGGGAGCTGGGCTGGACCATTTTTTTTTCTTGTTTTACGGGAATGGAGCGGGGAGGATAATGAAAGCGTAAAGGAAAAATAGGGGGAGGAGGAGCTCAGCTTATTGTTGGATGCGGCGGGAGATGGGTAGAGTCAGTCAGTCGAGACTCCCCCAGACCTGGAACTGGTGCTCCCACAGAGGTGGGCCCGGTGGTTTGGTCCGGCCTGGCCTACTGGACCAGCCTGTGCTCGGTCGGCCACGGCTCTGCTGGGCTCCTGGCGCCGCCTCCTCCCAGCCCGCCGCGGGCTGCGCGCTTCTGTGGGTGGGGGAAGGCAGGACTGACGCAGAGTGAGTGTAGGGGATGGAGGCGCCGACTCCAGGCGCGGGAGACTGGCGGGGAAGGGGTTGGCTCCCCACGGGCAGGGATGGTTTGGAGGTTGGGCTGCGGCGTTGCCGGGAGACGGGCCTGTGTGACCCCAGCTTCGCGGGGGCGGCTCGGTGTCATCGCCACCGGCCTCGGGGACCTGCCTCACGGAAGTGGCTCGCGCGTCCAAGAGGGGAGGCCTGGTGTGGGGACGCTCAGGTGCCGGCGTGGGGCCCCCTCGGAGGCTGTGAATCTTTTGGACCCCCGAATGTAAATGGGAGATGGTAGGGGCCGGTCCGGGGGCGAGAGGTGTCTGGCTGGGGAACGTTGACCCACACCAGGTCCCGTACAGGAACGGAGACTCCCTAGGACCGTGAGAGCCAGCTTCGTAATTCTCTTGCTCTTCAAACCTGAGAGTAGGGTGTTGCTCCGTTACCTTCCATTCGTGTGCAGGAGAGAGTTAAGTAAATCAATAAAGAAGGTATCAGCAAGTGAGAAATGCCCCCCAAAGACCGGATGAGGTGACAGAAGATGGGGGGAGGGCCCCTCGAAATCGGGTAAGGTCGTTCAAAGGAGGCCACGGTTTTGCGGGGATCCGAGACAATGGGTTTTCTGGGTGGAGAGAAGAGCCAATGAGAAGGACTTTTAGGTTGGAAACAGCCAGAAGGCCATGTGGCTGAAGCAAACAGAGCCAGGGCCGGAGTGCCCTGTGATGTAGTTGGGGAAGTGGCATGACTGTAGCAGCGCCTTTTAGCCCAAGGCAGGGGTTTGGCTAATGTGTACCTTAAGGGTTTTAAGAAGGGAAGTGACCTGACCTGATTTACATTTTTAAAAATCCGCTCTGCCTGCTGGATAGAGAAGGGTGGAAGTAGTTAGACCTGTTAGGAGACTGTTGCACTGTAAGACAAAGGAGAGGTGAAGATAGTGTTGAAAGGGCCGGCCGGGCGCGGTGGCTCACGCCTATAAACCCAGTACTTTGGGAGGCCTAGGCGGGCGGATCACGAGGTCAGGAGATCGAGATCATCCTGGCCAACATGGTGAAACCCCATCTCTACTAAAAATACAAAAATCAGCTGGGCGTAGTGGCACGCGCCTGTAATCTCTGCTACTCAGGAGAATCGCTTGAACCCGGGAGGTGGAGGTTGCAGTGAGCCAAGATCGCGCCACTTCACTCCAGCCTGGGCAACGGAGTGAGACTCCGTCTTAAGAAAAAAGAAAAGGCCCTCAGTCACAGTGGAAATGGAGAGAATTCCATTCAGCATATATTTGGGAGGTAGTGCTTGCAGGACTTGCTGGGGAATTGGATGTGAAGTGTGTAGGAGAGGGAGGAACCAAGGTTAACTCCCTACGGGAAAACAGTTTAGAAAGGAATATCGAAAGTTCTCTTTTGAACATATTAAGTTTGATAAGTCTATTAACAAGTCAAATGAAGTTGTCAAGAAGTTAGATATACAAGTCGGGGAAAAATCATAGTTGGAGATAATAAATAAGGAAGGCAGGGAGGAGCTCCCAGATCACCTAAGAAGAGCGTGTAAATAAAAGAGGAAGACCCCTAAATCCCTTGGGTTCTTACCATTTAGAGAGTACCCAGAGAAGGAGAAGCCAGCAAAGGAGACGACACAGACAAGACCTCAGAGATCAAAGGAAGAGGCCCCTTAATATCCTGGAATAATGGGACCCATCCCCGTAATCAGTGAATCTCATCCACCCGCTTGCCAGCTTCTACCCGCAGCAAGTAGAAGCTAAGTCCTGGCTCAAATCTCTTCCCTCCCTCCCTCTCCCAGCTGTCAGTGCTTTTGGACTTGTGCTCAGGTAATTTGTGTCCGTTATAGAAAACCTGACTTTTTGGATAAATTGTCTGTTTATATGGCTGTCTCCCCCAGGTACTGTTTCTTATTTGTGTCTTCCTGGCTCCTGGTACAGAGCCTTGTCCATATGGTGGTTGTAGCTGGGCAGGAACACTGTGTTCATAAGGTATCAGCCATACAATCCAACAGCTTCTCACAAAAAGGGGCTTTTGTCCCTGCCACTGCTGCCAAGCCCACCACAATTACGATCAGTTCCACAATATAGTGTAAAGGGTATCAGAAGATGAATAAGAAGGCCTGGGTTTCAATCCTGGATCTGCCACTGACCAGCAGAGTGGCCATGGATAAAGCTCTTCTCTCTGAGCTGAAGGGTTGGCCTAGATTTGAAGTTGCATACTGACAAGACAGATATTGCCTGCAAACATATTGTTCAGCCCACACAGTGATTTAAATTCTTTTTTAAATTTACTTGCCAACATTTAAAAATTGGACATCAAAATCCAGACTTTGGGCTTCATTTGAAAAATCCGACAATCTGACAACACCAGCCTGAAGTTCCTAGAGGTTCCTACACAGCAACTGTCAGCCAGAGCTGAAGAGCTGTCTCCCGTCTATGTGGCTCATGCTCAGGGTTTGCCAAAAAGGCCTCTCCTCTCCTGCTACCTGGCTGACCCCTGTGGGCATTTGATTTGCAATTCTTGGTCTAGGGCTGTGCTATCCCTGTGTAGCCACTGACCACATGTGACTATTTAAATAAAAATTCAGTTCCTCCAACACAGTATGTTTCAAGTGCCAGTAGCTACCTGTGACAGGTGTGTGTCCTATTGGACAGAGCAGATAGAACCTTTCCTTCACAGAAAGTTATCTTGGTCAGCATTGGACTGGAGGAACTCGAGGGTACTATGTAGGCTAGTCATTCTCCGCATGTGAAACTCAAGGGACTTAGCCTACTGAGGAGCTCTGGTGCCTCTGCAGATGGGAAAGTTGCGCATTCAGTAGTTATTTGATGGTGGAGGAAGCTGTCCTGAAGGCCTGGACCCCTGCACAGAATGTGGTTATTTATCAGAGAGTTGGATCAAGGGTCAGGTGCTAGAAAGCCCCAACTGTATCTAGTGTGGCATGCAAAGCTCTTTGGTCAGTTTCCTAATCCAGTTCCTCAGAAAACTATAACAAAGCAAGAACTTAAGTCAGTGTCTTGTGTTCTCAGACTTTTCGATTTGATATGAAGGGTGAAAGATCCTGGCTGGGGAGTTATGAATGAATGAATGAATGAATGAATGAATGATCTTTAGCATTGGCCTTCAATTCCAGCCCCCCCACCACATCTCTTCCACTGCCTTCTACTACTAGTAACTGGTGACTGCTTTTTCACCACCTCTGACTGACCCGTACCTTTTCTTTGCCTGTTAAAATATGCTAATAAGGAAACATACTTCCATTTCTTTTGAATTGAGGGGCCCATAACTTTTCATTTAGAACTTCTATCCCTGATGGGAAAAATAGCTGTATATCTATTGGTTGTTATCTTGGTTACAGTAGCCTGATTGGAGTTCCCCTGTACAAATATAATCTTGTGTGCGCTCCGGTGCTGGTATGATATATTTAGAATGGGTGTGCTTGCCTCCTGTGATCTTGTTTGGGATAGACATTTTAGAAGTCTTTCAGACATTTTTTGTTTTGGCCCCGTGTTCTAAAAACTTCCCATATTACAGGGCCTAAACTAAATTATTTTCCCTTAGGTAAAATAAAAATGCCATCCACCCTCTCCTCCCTGCCCCCTATTGCTGACAGACCATATTCTTATCATTTTCTGTGTAAAAAGATGCTGTTTCATAAAATAGCTGCGGTATGATTAAGTATACCACACAAGCATATCCTGAAATTTGCAAAACAGTGTGTGGCATGTGAGGCATTACACTTCCCTTTTTGGATTCTAGTAACCAAAAACTGAATCTGAAACAGGAAATAAGTCTGTGGTTGTGTGTGTGTGTGTGTGTGTGTGTGTGTGTGTGTTTAATTGATAGGAGGATATGGGACCAGAAATGTATGGAGAACAATTTCACTTAAAGGTTATTGGATTGGGGTAAGAATATGGGTGTACACCAAAAAGGAGGGAGTATAACAGATCTAAGAGAAAAGTGCCCTGAGGGATAAACAAGGAGTAAGAGATAAAGGAAGAAAAATAGGAAGGGAAGCCTGGTCATGCCTTTGGTGTTGGCACCTGCATTATATTTCCAGTAAGAAGTATGCGCTGTGGTCTGAAGATAAGCGGTGCTTCCAACAGGGTTATTTACTCATACCAAAGAACAATAGTCCTTTGCTGTACAGGGATTATTAATGATCAGAGGGAAACAGCTTTAGGAAAATCCATTACTACCACAAAGCAATAAATTCACCAACAGGCCACACATTTCTCTCCTATTCAGACAAAGCTTAGCATAGATAAAAGAGACCTCGTTGTTCTTCCTCTGTTTCCTCCTATTCAGGTAACATTTGCCTTTGTTAACTCTCAGTGCTAAGTGATGTTACATGGATTATTTCATGAATAATCCTTACGACTCTGAAAGGGGTTCTGCTATTACCCCATTGTACATTCTAAGAAACCAAGTCTCAGGCAGTTAATAATTTGCCCAATGGGGTAAAGTCAAGATTCAAACCCAGCCTTGTCCGCCCAGAGCCCAAAATAAATGTTCATTTATTTTGTATTATATCTGCTATTCCTTACAAATGGGACAGACATTCCCTACTCTGCTATACAGGGCAAGAACATCTGGTTGCTCTGACATTAGCAAGAGCATTTCAATTCTGTAGAGGTTTTCCAAATGATAGTTTTAAGTCACAGTTTTCTAGATTGATTTTAACCCATGATCATTGAGTATAGTGGACCTTATTCCCCAAAAGGATTTTTTCAGGAAAAAAGTATCAGAACCCCATTCTTCTATGTTTGGTTCTAAACTTCATGGAAATATTATAAGGTATTTCAGTCCAGTGGACAAACCCTAACCAGCCTTAAGAAAACTTAAGAGTGAGGGTTACATCATAGCTGTGTCTCTTACGCTGTTCTGGATGAAACTGATGAGGATTCCTCCCCAAGTAACACTGAGTCTCCAGTTCTTTATCCTGACACACACTGCTCTTGAAAGCATCCTAGTAAGGGTTAATTAGTATTTAACCCTTCAATGCTCTGGGATCATCAGTTGGGAAGCTTGTCCAGATACCATCGTGTGTATCTCAGGATGAGAACATACGTTATCAATGACCATTCTGTGTGTGTAAATTTATTCTTCTAATACATATTTGTCATGTTCCAACTATGTGCCAGCCTAGGCATGTAATGTACAAGACAGTCCCAAATCTCCCCCTGCTCTCCCCACCTCCTACTCCCTGCAACACACACATGGTGGAAAAAGAAAGGTAAGTCATGCAAAATTATGATAGAGTAGGATGAACATTATGACAGGGGTATGCCAGAGGTGCCAGGAGTGCACATAGCCGGGACACTGACCCAGCCCCAGTGTGAAAAGGGCACCCGTCCAGAAGTGATGGAAGTCAAAAGGTGGAAGCAGCAAATAGGCAAAGAAAGGGTATTTCAGTTGTATGAAGTAGAGAGGCTTCCTATGGCAAAAAGAGGGACATTGCACATACAGAAGACCATGATCTCATTTGGGTGGAGTTTATGATTCCCCCTCCTTGCTAAAAAATCATAAAGTACTTGGGAGAGAAATTTGACTATACTACGGTCATGAGTTCTGATGAGGGAAAAAATTCCACCTAGGGGTAGGTCTTTCCTGAAATAAATGGAAAGGGGTGTTTAACTTCCTGGGGCTTGAAAATCAGGGTAAATTCCTCTTGCCTTTGTCCCATTTCTTATTTGTACTGCAACACATTTTCTTTAGAAGGCAAAGCCTCATGAGAGTCCAGCATTTGGAATTTGGACATTCCTGAGACCAGAGTCATACTTCTATAAATCTCAGCTGGGGAAAGGGAATTTTCATCTCTGCTCTTAAATTCCTAAGTGTTCATGCTGCAATGGTCTTTCCAAAGGCAGAGGAACTGTTCCAGAGGTGGGGTAAAAGGGCACAGTGGATGAGGCCCCTCATACCAGCAGATCTTTCCATAGTCCTCCTGTAGAAACACCAAGTGTCTGGGTATGCCTTGTACAGTAAGTTCTTGGAACCTCCCCAGACCCTCTCACTGCACTTTGGACAGTGAGTGGCAGAGTGGGTGGGTGTTTGGTGTTTGGTTTTTGTTTTTGTTTTTTAGACTGATCGCTGCCCATTATGAGTCCCCATTACTGACTCCAAAATAGAAAAGCTTGTGGTCAGTCAGGAAAATGATCATCCAGCTTTTTTGGCTCTTGACCCTGACTCCTGTCAACTAATTAGGGGCATTAGGCAAGATCTTGTTTCACCATCTGTACAAGTGTTGGAATTATAAGTAGTTATGATATACAGTAGTTTGATATACAGTGTATTTAAAAAGATATAAATCAGACCGTGTTACTCCAGCTTGCATAAAATCTACCAGTGTCTTTTGCGCTTAAGACCAGAAACAAAGTGCCTTTCCAAGGCCTACCCCCAACCTGTGCTGGATTCTGTGGACCTGTGGCCCCTTTCCCAAAGGCTCTTGTTGCATTCATGTTCATCTTTTTTATTTTCATTTTTTGAGATAGAGTCTGACTCTGTTGCCCAGGCTTGAGTGCAGTGGCGTGATCATAGCTCACTGCAGCCTTTATCACCTGGGCTCAAGGGATCCTCCCACCTCAGCCTCTGAAAGTGTTGGGCTTATAGGCATGAGCCACCATGCCTGGCTAATGTTTTTATTTTTCAATGGAGATGGGATCTCCCCGTGTTGCCCAGGCTGGTCTCAAACTCTTGGGTTCAAGCAATCCTCCCACCTCAGCCTCCCAAAGTGCTGGGATTACAGGCATGAGCCACCATGCCCTGCCTCATGTTCATCTTTGAAGTCGATTCCCACGTCACATCCTTTGCTCCTGTTGTTCCCTCTACTTGCACCAGCTTCCCCTTACCTGGGTCCGTTATTAGGTTCCATCACACCATTCAGGACTCAGCTCAAATGTCACTGACCACCCAGAAAATAACCCCCACCTCTGGTCATTTGTATCTTATTACTCTTCAGAGCACATATGACTGTCTGAAATTCTTGTTCTTGTACATCATCTGCCTATGCCACTAGAATATAAGCTCAAGGAGGGTAGGGACCATGGCTGCTTATTTATCACTGTATCCCCAGAAACGGCAGGTGTCTGGCACATGGTGGACCTTCAATAAATGTTGAGTGAGTGGATGGATGGATGGATCCTTGGAAGGGAAGAGTAAGGCCTACCAGGTAGTAGCACTGTAGTGAGCCCCTGCACTGGTGGCTTTTATGTTGGCTCCATTGGAGTCAGAGGGGACAGGGTTGCCACGGGGAATGGAAGAGCAAAGCGGTGCAGCCATGTGCCCAGCCTGCTTAGAGCATGCTGGTGTGTAACATAATTAAAAAGGGCGGTTGCAGGTTAGGAGCAGGGGCAGGTGGCAAATGGGGAAGGCTATTGGAATTCACATCAATGTGCAAAAAAATTGCTTCCTTTGCTCTTTGTATAGAAAGGGACTAGAATTATTTAGTTCCCTTTGTCACAACTAGCTAAGCTCTTTAAAGCAATCAACAGACATTCAACATTTATTGAGATTGAACAGTGTATTTCGTGATTAAAAGCATGGGCTCTGACTTCAGACCAGCTGAGTTTGAATCCTAGCCCTGCCTATTGTTAGCTGTGTGACCTTGGACAAGTTACTTAGTCTCTGCATCAGGTTCCTCCTTTGTAAAATGGGGATAATGGTAGTATCTGCATATATAGAGTACCTAGCAAATTATCTGGCACACAGTAAATGCAAAGCAAATGTAACTTTTAATATTTTTCTTACTGTAATGAACAAGATACAATCCCTGCCCTTCAGGAATTCAGACTCAGAGAAGAAAAAACAGAGTGAAAGAAATGCAGAACTATCTGCTGGCCATGATAGAAGCAAGGAAAAGGTTGCTTTGGAAAAGCTTAATAGCAAGTAGGTGTCTGTTTGATGGTGTGGGGTGGCTAGCAGAAAGGAGACATTGTAGGCAGAGGAAGACTCAGCCAAGACAGACAGAAGTATGACATGGCAAGGCACCTTAGAGCAGTAGCTCCCAAACTTCAGAGTCCACATCACAGTTTTTGCTGTTTACCTATATTTTAAACTAGCTTAAAAAGTTTTCTAATTCATTTCTTTAAAGGAAGCTGTATATCACATAAAATCTAAATCACTCAAAATTATGGGTTTGATGGGCTTTTCTAATATACAGTTTGTATTGTATATCTAAGATCACCTCCCCAACCAATCTTTGGGACACTTGGCATTAGGGGACACATCTCTTAACTATGACCAGAGGCCACAACACACTGGCAGCAACATCTGTCAGCCTTTTCTTAGTGGCACAGGCCTGCACATCACAGAGGCTTGGAAATGATCCTCACCTCCACACATGTATATCCCTGTGTTATAACAGGGCGTGATTTTTAAGAAAAGAGACCAGCTTCTAGTCCCATTTCTTTCCAGGCACACCTCATATCTTCTGTCTTTCTTCATTCTGGGATTTGGGGGTTAGGGAGATGAAAAGGAGTAAAGAATTGGAAGAAATGTCGGTCTCAGAATAAAGATTATAGAAGGTTAACTTTTAAAAATCTACATGGATAGACTTCGTGACCAGCTGAGACCGCAGTTGAATTGTGGTCCTCTAAACTACTGAATATTCCTGATGTATTGCTGGTAAGAAAATCCCAGCAGACCCCATTGTATCAGATCAACCCCTGATGTAGTGAAGAAGGAAAAGGGCTTCCTTAGTCTTGCATTAATTGTGAGAGATAATTGATAGTTTTAGAGCAATAAATGTTGGTTTCAAGCCATTAAATCCATATTCGGGAAAAGCTGATTTTTCTAAATAAGTTGCTTTCTAGGAACAAAGACAAAAATATAAAAAGGAAAAGAGCTTTTTAAACTTTTTAAAAAATATATGGCTGATTCTGTTTCTAGAATCACAAACTTTCTATAGCACAGGATACTCTCAATTATTCAGCAAACATTTATTGAATACTGATTATATACCTTTCTAGGTGCTGAGAATTCAGCAGTAAAGAAGATGAATGTGATCATTGTCCCCCATAAAAATGAGAGTTTACTGGGGGAAGACTTTAACAAACCATTACTTAAGTGAGGAGTGCTATACAAACAAGAATATTAGGACCTGTGAGAAGGTTCAACAGAGAGCCCCAACCCAATGGGTGTGAGGGAAGCAGGAAGATTTTCTGAGACATCCATATTTTCACTGGGAACGGCAGGATGGATAGGGTTGGTCAGGTAAAAGGGAGGGGTTCAGGGGAAAGCCTTCTAGAAAGAGAAAACTGCATGGATATGTGCCCCTAAGGCAAGAAAGAACATGGTTCCCTCAAAGACCTGAAACAAACCCAGTAAGAAAAGAACAAAAGAAACATTTTTCTTTTCTTGCCTTTTCTCTCAAGACTTGGAAGGAAATGGTAGGCTAGATTTAATAGGACACAATGGTGAATACAGCTTTAGACCCTTCTCTCAGGAAATCTTTGAAACTTGGGTTTTCTGGGTCACCTGATGTTGCAGAGTGAGACATCACATAAATCCCTTTCAGGATTAGTTTTCAAAACACTTAAACGTTAATTAAAGTGTTTTGAAAATAGTCCTATTAAGTACCAATTGTTAGCACTGCTCATTACCTTGAGGGTATTAACCTAATTGCAGGGCTTGTGTATCAGATTATGGTATATGATCAGTTAGAGTTTGAAACAGTGATTCTTAGAGTCATAGAAGGAAACTAATTAAAGTTAGATTTTTAGAGAAGGTTGCTTTAGCCAGTTGTTGTGGCGCACGCCTGAGGTCCCAGCTACTCTGGAGGCTGAGGCAGGAGGCTCACTCGAGCCTGGGAGGTCAAAGCTGCAGTGAGCCATGATC